>NC_000010.11:38225624-38529907 GCF_000001405.40 Homo sapiens | reverse complement strand
GAATTCCATTCAATTCCATTCCTTTTGAGTCCATTCAATTCCATTCCATTCCGTTTGAGTCCATTCCATTCCATTCCTTTTCCTTCCATACCATTCCATTCCATTCCATTCCATTCCATTCCATTCCATCCCAGTCCATTCCATTCCATTCCATTCCATTCTGTTTGTGTCGATTCCATTTGATTCCATGACATACATTCGGGTCCATTCCATTCAACTCCATTCCATTTGTTTCCACGCCATTACATTCTTTTCCATTCCAGTCCACTCCTTTGGATTCTATGCCTTTCCATTCCATTCCATTCAAGTCCATTCCTTTCCATTCCTTTCTATTCAATTCGAATCCATTCCATTCCAATCCATTGGAGTCTGTTCCATTCCACTCCATTCCATTGCAGTCCGTTCTATTCCATTTCATTCCATTCCATTCCATTCCATTCCATTCGAGTCCGTTCCATTCCATTCCAATTCATTCTGTTCGGTTCCATTCCATTCCATTCCATTCTAGTCCATTTCATTCCAATCCATTCCATTCCAGAAGAATCCATTCAATTCCAATCCATTCGAGTCCTTAACACTCCATTCCATTAAAGTCCATTCCATTCAACACCATTCCATTCGAGTCCATCACATTCTATTCCATTCGTGTCCATTCCTTTCAATTCCTTTCTAGTCCATTCCAATCCATTCCATTACATTCGAGTCCATTCCATTGTGTTCCATTCCAATCGAGTCAATTCCATTCCATTCAATTCCATTCGATTCCATTCCATTAGATTCCATTCCATTAGGGTCCTTTCTATTACATTACATGCCCTTCCTTTCTAGTCCATTCCATTCCATTCGAGTCCATTTCATTCCATTCCCTTCGAATCCATTCCTTTCCATTCCATTCCATTCCACTCCATTCCATTCCATTCTATTTCATTCAAGTCCATTCTATTCCATTTCATTCCATTCCATTCCAGTCGATTCCACTCCATTCCATTCCATTCCATTCTATTCCATGCCATTCAATGCCATTCGATTCCATTCCATTTCATTCCATTCCATTCCTTTCCATTCGCATAAATTACATTCCATTACCTTCCATTCCATTCGAGTACATTCCATTCCGTTACATTCAATTCCATTCGAGTCCATTCATTTCCATTCCATCTATTCGTTTCCAATGCACTCCATTCCATTCGAGTCCATTCCATTTCTCTCCATTCCATTACAGTCCATTCTCTTCTATTACATTTGAATCTGTTCCATCCTATTCCATTCCATTCGAGTCCATTCCATTCCATTTCATTCGAGTCCATTCCATTCCATTCTATACCATTTGGTTACATTCCATTCCTTTCCATTCGAGTCCATTCCATTCCAACCCATTTCATTCGAGTCCATTGCATTCCATTCCATTCGAATCCATTTCATTCGAGTCCATTGCATTCCATTCCATTCGAATCCATACCATTCCATTCGATTCGATTCCATTCCATTCCATTTGATTCCATTCCATTGCATTCCATTCCATGCCATTCAGGTCCAATCCATTCAATTCCATTCGAGTCAATTCCATTGCAATCCATTCGAGTCCATTCCATTGCTTTGCATTCCAATCCCTTCGAGTCGATTCAATTCCATTTCATTCCATTCGCATCCATTCCATTCCATTCAGTTCGAGTCCATTCAATTTCATTCCATTCTATTTGAGTAAAGTCCATCTTATTCCATTCAAGTCCACAACATTTCATTCCATTAGAGTCCATTTCTTTCAATTCTGTTGTATTTCATTCGAGTCCATTCCATTCCATTCCATTCCATTCCATTTGAGTCCTTTCCATTCCATTTCATTCCATTCGTGAGCATTCCATTCCATTCCATTTAAATAGGTTCCATTCCATTTCATTCCATTCGAGTCCATTGCATTCCATTGCATTCCTTTCTGTTCCTATCCATTCCCTTCCATTTCTGTCCATTCCAAACCATTCCATTCCATTCCATTCCATTCCATTCCATCCGAGACCATTCGATTCCATTCCATTCCATTCGAGTCCAATTTACTCCACTACATTCCATACAAATCATGTCATTTCAGTTCCATTCCATTTGAGTCTATTCCACTCCATTTCATTCGTGTCCATTCCGTTCCACACCATTCCATTGGAGTCCATCCCATTCTGTTCCATTCGTGTCCATTCCATTCAATTCCATTCAAGTCAATTCTATTCCATTCCTTTCCAGTCCATTCCATTGCATTCCATAGCATTTGATTCCAATCCATTCCATTCCATTCGAGTCCATTCCATTCCATTCCTTTAGATTCCATCCCATTGGGTCCATTCTATTAAATTCCATTCCCTTCCATTCGAGTCCATTCCATTCCATTCGAGACCATTCCATTCCATTCCCTTTGATTTCATACCATTCCATTGCATTCTATTCCATTCAAGTCAGTTCCATTCCATTTCATTCCATTCCATTCCAGTCCATTCTATTCCTTTCCATTCCATTCCATTTGATTCCATTCCATTCCATTACCTTCCATTCCATTCGAGTACATTCCATTCTATTACATTGGAATCCATTCCATTCCATTCCATTTCATTCGACTGCATCCCATTCGATTTCATTCGAGTCCAATCCATTCTATTACATTTGAATCCATTCCATTCCTTTCCATTCCATCCGAGTCCATTCCATTCCATTCGAGTCCATTCCATTCTATGACCTTTGGATCCGTTCCATTCCATTCCATTCGAGTCCATTCCATTCCATTCGAGTCCATTCCATTCGTGTATAGTCCATTTTATTCCATTGGAGCCCGCAACATTCCGTTACATTAGAGTCCATTCGATTAAATTTCGTTGTATTTCATTCGAGTCCTTTCCATTTCATTCCATTCCATCCGTGACCATTCCATTCCAGTCCATTCCTTTCAAATCCATTTCATTCCAATGTATTCCATTCCAATCGTGTCCATTCAATTCCATTCCATTCGAGTCCAATCCACTCCATTCCATTCGAATCCCTTCCATTCCACACCATTCCTTTCGAGTCCTTTCCATTCTATTGCACTCAAGTCCATTCCATTCAATTTCATTCGAGTCAATTCCATTCCATTCCATTCGAGTCCATTCCATTGCATTGCATTCCTTGGGAGTCCATTCCATTCCATTCCATTCGAGTCCATTTCATTCCATTCCATTAGATTCCATGCCATTAGACTCCATTCTGTTAAATTCCATTCCTTTCCTTTCGATTCCATTCCATTCCTTTTCCTTCGAGTCCATTCCATTCCAATCCATTCTATTCCATTCAAATCCATTCCATTCCGTTTCACTCCATTGCATTCCATTCCGTTGAATTCCATTCGAATCTATTCCATTCCATTCCACTCCATTCCATTCTATTCGAGTAAATTTCATGCCATTACCTTCCATTCCATTCGAGTACTTTCTATTCCGTTACAATCCATTCCATTCGACTCCAATCATTTCCATTCCATTCTATTCATTTCAATTGCACTCCATTCCATTCGAGTCCATTCCATTCCACTCCATTCCATTCAAGTCCATTCCATTCTATTACATTTGAATCCGTTCTATTCCATTCCATTCCATTTGAGTCCTTTCAATCCCATTTCATTCGAGTCTATTCCATTCCATTCTGTACCATTTGATTTCGTGCCATTCCGTTCCATGCGAGTCCATTCCATTCCAACCCATTCCATTCGAGTCCATTCCATTCCATTCCATTCGAATCCATTCCATTGCATTCCATTCCCTTCGATTCCATTCCTTTCCATTCCATTCGAGTCCATTCCATTCCATTCCAATGTCCATTTCTTTCAATTCCATTCGAGTCAATTCCACTCCATTCCATTCGAGTCCATTGCATTGCATTGCATTCCAATCCTTTTGAGATCATTCAATTCCATTTCATTCCATTCAAATCCATTCCATTTCATTCCATTCGAGTTCATTCCATTGCATTCCCTTCCATTCGTGTCCAGTCCATTTTATTCCATTCAAGTCCACAACATTCAATTCTATTATAGACCATTCCATTAAATTCCGTTGTGTTTCATTCGAGTCCTTTCCATTCCATTCCATTCAAATCCATTCCATTGCATTCCATTCCCTTCAGTTCCATTCCTTTCCATTCCATTCGAGTCCATTCCATTCCATTCCATTCTATTCGGGTCCATTCAATTCCATTCCACTTGAGTGTATTCCACTTCATTCCATTCAATTTCATTCCATTCCATTCCATTTCATTCCATGCCATTCCATTCCATTCCATTCCATTCCTTTTCATTCCATTCCATTCGGTCCAAGACCATTCCATTCCATTCCATTCGAGTCCATTTCATTCCATTCCATTCCATTCAAATAGAGTCTATTCAATTTCATTTCATTCGAGTCCATTCCACTCCATTCCACTCGATTCCATTCCATTCCACACCATTCCATTCGAGTCCATCCCATTCTATTCCATTCAAGTCCATTACATTCAATTCCAATCGAGTCAATTCCATTCCATTCCATTCGAGTCCATTCCTTTTCATTCCATTCTCTTCGAGTCTATTCCATTTGATTCCATTCGAGTCCATTCCATTTGATTCCATTCGAGTCCATTCCTTTCCGTTCCATTTGATTCCATTCCATTAGAGTCCATTCCATTAAATTCCATTCCATTCCATTTGAGTGCATTCCATTCCATTCGAGTGCATTCCATTCCATTCTATTCCATTCAAGTTCATTCCATTTCATTTCATTCCTTTCCATTCCAGTCTACTTGAGTCCATTCCATTGCATTCAATTCCATTCCATTCGAGTGCAGTGCATTTCATTCCATTCTAGTCCATTCCATTCCATTCCATTCCTTTCAAGACCATTGAAATCCATTCCATTCCATTCGAGTCCAATACTTTTGAGTCCATTCCATTGTAGTCCATTCCATTGGATTCCATTCCATTCTATTCCATTCCATTCTATTCCATTCGAGTCCCTTCCATTAAATTCCATTGGAGTCCATTCCATTAAATTCCACTGTATTCCATTCGAGTCAATTCTATTCCATTCCATTCCATTCGAGTCCATTCCAATCCACAAGATTCCATTCCATTCCATTAATTTCGATTTCTTTTCATTCCATTCCATTCTTTTCCAATCAAGTCCATTCCATTCCATTTCATTCCATTCCATTCCATTCCACTCCTTTCCATTCATTTCCATTCCAACCTATTCCATTCGAGTCCATTCCATTCCATTTCATTCCATTCGATTCCAGTCCATTCCATTCCCTTCCATTCCACTTGGGTCCATTCCATTCCATTCCATTCGAGTCCATTCCATTCCACTTGAATCGTTTCCATTCCAATCCTTGAAATTCAGGTCCATTGCTTTCCATTCCATTCCATTCTATTCCATTCAAGCCCATTCTATTCCATACCATTCCATTTCATTTCATTCCATTTCATTCCATTCCATTCCATTCCTTTCCTTTCCATTGCATTCCATTCCATTCCATACCTTTCCATTCCATTCAATTTTATTCCATTCCATTACATTCCTTTCCTTTCCATTCAGGTCCATTCTATTCCATTCTATTCGAGTCCATTCCATTCCATTCCATTCCTTTCCATTCCACTCCATTCGAGTGCATTCCATTCCATTCCTTTCTGTTCCATTCGGGTCCGTTCCATTCCATTACATTCCATTCCATTACACTCGACTCATTTCCATTCCATCTGAGTCCATTGCATTCCTTTCGTTTCAATTCCATTCCATTCCATTCGAGTCTATTCCATTCCATTCTCTTCCATTCCATTCCTTTCAAGTACTTTCCATTCCATTCCATTCGAGTCCATTCCATTCCATTCCTTTGTATTCCATTCTAGTCTATTCCATTTCGTTCCATTCCACTAGAGTGGATTCCATTCCATTCCATTCATTTTGAGTCTATTCCTTTCCGTTTTAGTCTACTCCTTTCCATACAATTCGAGTCCATTCCATTCCCTTCTATTGCAGTTCATTCAATTCCATCGCATTCCATACGAATCCATTCCATTCCATTCCACTCGAGTGCATTGCATTCCATTCTATTCAATTCCATTTGATCCCATTCCATTCCATTCCATTCCGTTTGAGTCCATTCCATTCCATTCGAGTCCATTCCATTCTAAACCATTCGAGTCCGTTCCTTTCCACTCCATTCCATTAGATTTCATTCCATTCTATTCCATTTGCTTTCATTCCATTTCATTCCATTCCATTCCATTCCATTCGGGTCCGTTGCATTCCATTCCATTCGAGTCCATTCCATTGCGTTCCATTCAAGAACATTCCATTCCATTCGAGTTCATCCATTTCATTCGACTTGATACCATTCCATTCCATTCCATTCCCTTCCCTTCTATCCCCTTCCATTCGAGTCTATTCCATTCCATTGCATTCAATTCCATTCCTTTGCATTCCATTCCATTCGAGTCCAGTCCATTGCGTTCCATTCGAGTCCATTCCATTGCATTCCATTACTTTCCTTTCGAGATCATTCAATTCCATTCCATTCCTTTCGAGTCAATTCCATTCGAGTCCAACCCATTACATTCCATACCATTGGCCTCCATTCCATTCTATTCCATTGGTGTCCATTCCATTACATTCCACTAGGGTCCATTCCATTAAATTCCATTGTACTCCATTCGATTCCTTTCTTTTCCATTCCATACCATTCGTGCTCCTTCCATGCCACCCGAGTCCATTCCATTCCATTACTTTTGAGTCCATTCCACTCCATTCAATTGTTTACCAATCAAGTCCATTCCATTCCGTTCAAGTCCATTCCATTCCATTCCATTCTAGTCCATTCCATTCCACTGCATTACATTCCAGTCCATTCCATTCTATTCCATTCGAGTCCATTCCACTCCATTCCATTCTGTTTGTGTCCACTCCATTCCCTTCGATTCCTTTCCATTCCATTTCATTCGAATCCATTCCATTCCATGCTATTCCATTTGAGTCCATTCCATTCCATTCGAGTCATTTCCATTCAAAGCCATTCCATTCCAGTCCATTCCATTCCATTCCAATCATTCTATTCCATTCCATTCGTCTCCATTCCATACCACTCCATTCCATTCGAGCCCATTCCATTCCTTTCCTTTCCAGTCCATTCGTGCCCAATCCATTGAATTCCATTCGAATCAATTCTAATCCATTCCATATGAGTCCATTCCGTTGCATTCCATTCGATTTGAGTACATTGCATTCCATCCCCATTGAGTCCATTCCATTGCATTCCATTGTATTCGACTCAAGTCCATTCCATTCCATACCATTCCATTCGGGTCCATTGAATTCCATTCCATTCGAGTCCATTCCGTTCAATTCCATCCCATTCCATTCCTTTCCATTCCATTCCATTCCACTTCATTCCATTCCAATCCATTCCACTCCATTCCATTCGAGTCCTTTCCATTCCATTCCATTCCGTTCCATTCCCTTCTGTTCAAGTCCACTCATTTCTATTGCATTGGAGACAATTCCTTTCCATTACATTCGTGTGCATTCCATTCCATTCAATTCCATTCGAGTCCATTCCACTCTATTCCATTCGTGTGCATTCCATTCCATTCCATTAGAGTCCATTCCAGTAAATTGCATTGTATTCCATTAGAGTCCATTCCATTCCATTCCGTTTGTGTCCATTCCATTCCATTCGAGTCCATTCCTTTCCATTCCTTTCGAGTCCATTCCATTCCATTCCATTCCATTCGAGTCCATTCCGTTCCATTCCATTCCATTCCATTGCATTCCATTCTATTCCATTCGACTCATTTCCATTCCTTTGGATTTCATTCCTTTAAGATCCATTCCATTCTATTCCGTTCGGGTCCATTCCATTCTATTCCATTCAAGTCCATTCCATTCCGTTAAATTACATTCGTTTCCATTCCATTCTATTCCATTCCACTCGCGTCATTGCAATTATATTCCATTCCTTTCGAGTCCATTCCATTCCATGCAATTCCATTCCATTCCATTATATTCGAGACCACACCTTTCCGTTCCTTTCCATTCCTATCGAGTCCATTCCATTCCATTCAAGTCCATTCCATTCCACTCCATTCCATTCCATTCGAGTCCATTCCACTTCATGCCATTCCATTCGAGTCCATTCCATTCCATTCCATTCCATTCAGGTGCATTCCATTCTATTCCCCTTGAGTCAATTCCATTCCATTCCATTCGAGTCGATTCCACTGCATTCCATTCCATTCCCTTCTACACCATTCAATTCCATTCCATTGCATTCGAATACATTCCATTCCGTTACATTTGAGTCCATTCCATTCCATTTCATTCGAGTCCATTCCATTCTGTTCAGTTTGAGTCCATTCCATTCCATTCCATTAGATTCCATTCCATTAGAGTCCGTTCAATGAAATTCCATTCCATTCCATTCGAGTCCATTCAATTCCATTCGAGTCCATTCCATTTCATTCCCATCGAGTCCTTTCCGATCCATTCCTTTCTCTTCCATTCAAGTCCATTGCATTCCATTCCATTCCATTCCCTTCCAGGACCTTCCATTCCATTCCAATTTGTTACATTTCATTGCCTTTCACTCAAGTGCATTCCATTCTTTTCGAGTCCCTTCCATGCCATTCCATTCGAGTCCATTCCATTCCACTCCATTCCTTTTGATTCCATTCCATTCTATTCCATTCGTGTCCATTCCATTCCATTCCATTCGAGTCCATTCCATTCCATCCATTCTATTCCATTCATGTCCATTCCACTCCATTTCATTCCATTCCATTCCAGTCCATTCCATTCCATTCCAATCCATTCCATTCCATTACATTACATTCGGGTCCATTCTTTTCCACTCCATTCGAGTCCATTCCATTGCATTAGTGTCCATTTCATTCGAGTCCATTCCATTCCAATCCATTCCATTTGATTCCATTCCATTCTTTTTCATTCATGTCCATTCCGTTACATTCCATTCTAGCACACTACATTCCATTCCATTCAATTCCATTTGAGTCTAATCCATTCCATTCTATTCCATTCCATTCGAGTCCATTCCATTCCATTCAAGTACATTCCATTTCATTCCATTCCAATCCATTCCGTTCCATTTGATACCATTTGAGTCCATTCCATTCCTTTCGATTCCATTCCATTCCAACCCATTTCATTCGAGTACTTTCCATTCCATTCCATTCGAATCTCTTCAATTCCATTCCATTCCATTTGAGTCCATTCCACTCCATTCGAGTCCATTCCATTGAATTCCATTCCGTTCGAGTCCATTCCATTCCATTTCATTCGAAGAAATCCCATTCCTTTTCATTCCTTTTGAGTCAATTCCATTCCGTTCGAGTCCATTCCTTTCCATTATAGTCCATTCCTTTACATTCCATTCGAGTCCATTCCATTCAATTAGATTTGAGTCCATTCCATTCCATTCCATTCGAGTCCATTCCATTCTATTCTGTTCGAGTCCATTCCATTGAATTCCATTAGATTCCATTCCATTAGACTCCGCTCAATTAAATTCCATTCCATTCCATTCGAGTCCATTCAATTCCATTCGAGTCCATTCCATTCCATTCCCATCGAGTCCTTTCCGATCCTTTCCATTCTTTCCATTCAAGTCCACTGCATTCCATTCCATTCCATTCCCTTCCAGTACCTTACATTCCATTCCATTCCATTCCAATTGGGTACGTTTCATTACATTTCTTTCAATTCCATTCCATTCTATTTGAGTCCCTTCCATGCCATTCCATTCTAGTCCATTCCATTCCACTCCATTCCTTTTGATTCCATTCCATTCTATTCCATTCATGTCCATTCCATTCCAGTACATTTGAGTCCATTCCATTCCATCCATTCTATTCCATTCACTTACATTCCACTCCATTTCATTCCATTCCATTCCAATCCATTCCATTCCATTCCAATCCATTCCATTCCATTCCATTCCAGTCCATTCCATTCCAGTCCAGTCCATTCCATTCCATTCCATTTGGGTCCATTCTTTTCCACTCCATTCGAGTCCATTCCATTGCATTCGTGTCCATTTCATTCGAGTCCATTCCATTCCACTCCGTTCCTTTCGATTCCATTCCATTCTATTTCATTTGAGTCCATTCCATTCCATTCCATTCTAGTACATTCCATTCTATTCCGTTCAATTCCATTTGAGTCTAATCCATTCCATTCCATTCCATTCCATTCGAATCCATACAATTACATTCGAGTCGATTCCATTTCATTCCATTCCAGTCCATTCTGTTCCTTTTGATACCATTTGAGTCCATTCCATTCCATTCCATTCGAGTCCATTCCATTCCAACCCATTTCATTCGAGTACATTCTATTCCATGCCATTCGAATCTCTTCAATTCCATTCCATTCCATTAGAGTCCATTCCACTCCATTCCATTCCATTCGAGTCCATTCCATTGAATTCCTTTCCATTCGAGTCCTTTCCATTCCATTTCATTCAAAAAAATTCCATTCCATTTCGTTCCTTTTGAGTCAATTCCATTCCATTCGAGTCCATTCCATTCCATTAGAGTCCATTCCATTCCATTCCATTCTAGTTCATTCCATTCCATTAGATTCGAGTCCATTCCTTTCCATTCCAGTCCATTCCTTTCAAGTCCAGTCAATTCAATTGCAATCCGTTCGAGTCCATTACATTTAAATTCCACTCCATTCAATTCCACACCTTTCCTTTCCCTTCCATTCCATTCGATTCCATTTCATTCCATTCCATTCCATTCCATTCGAGTCTATTCTATTCCTTTACATACCATTCCATTCGAGTCCATTCCATTCGATTCCATTCTGTTCGACTCCATTCCATTCGATTCGTGTCCATTCCATTCCATGGCATTCCATTCCATGTTATTCCTTTTGATTCCATTCCATTCTATTCCATTCGAGACCATTCCATTCGATTAGTGTCCATTCCATTCCATGGCATTCCAGTCCATTCCATTCCATGTTATTCCTTTTGAGTCCATTCCATTCTCTTTCATTCGAGACCATTCCTTTCTGACCCATTACACTCGAGTCCATTCCATTCCATTCCATTCGAATCCATTCCTTTCCATTCCATTCCAATCCTGTCCATTCCATTCCATTGACTTCGAATACATTCCATTCCATTCCATTCGGGTCCAATCCATTCAATTCCATTCTAGTCAATTCCATTCCATTCCTTTTGATTCCATTCCATTGCATTCCATTACAATTTTTTCAAGTCCATTCAATCCCATTACTTTCTCTTCGAGTTCATTCCATTCCATTCCATTCGAGTCATTTCCATTCCATTCCATTCCATTCGAGTCCAGTCCGTTTTATTCCATTCCAGTCCTCTCCATTCCATTCCATTAGAGTCCATTCCATTAAATTCCACTGTATTCCATTCGAGTCCACTCCATTCCATTCCATTCGAGTCCATTCTACTCAATTCCATTCGAGTCCATTCCATTCCACACCATTCCATTCCATTCGAGTCCATTCCATTCTATTCCATTTGAGTCTGTTCCATTCATTTCTATTAGTTTCCATTCCATTAGAGTCCATTCCATTAAATTCCATTCCATTCCATTTGAGTCCATTCCATTACATTCGAGTCCATTCCATTCCATTCCATTCCATTCCATTCGAATCCATTCCATTCCATTACATTCAAATCCATTACATTCCATTCCCTTCCAATCCAGTCCGTTCCGTGCCATTGAATTCGAGTCCATTCCATTCCATTCCATTCGGGTCCAATCCATTCAATTCCGTTCGAGTCAATTCCATTCCATTCCACTTCAGTCCATTCCATTGCCTTCCATTCCAATCCTTTCAAGTCCATTCAATACTGTTACGTTCTATTCAAGTCCATTCCATTCCATTGCATTCGAGTTCTTTCCATTGCATTCCATTTCTTTCGAGTCCAGTCTGTTTTATTCCATTCGAGTCCGCTCCTTTCCATTACATTTGATTCCACACCCTAAAATTCTGCTCTAATCAATTCGAGTCCATTCCATTCACTTCCATTCCATTCGAGTCCATTCCATTCCATTTGAGTCCATTCCATTCCATTCAAATGGAGTCCACTCCATGCCATTCCATTCAAGTCCATTCCACTGCATTCCATTCGTGTCCATTCCATTCCACACCATTCCATTCGATTCCATTCCACTCTATTCCATTCAAGTCCATTCCATTCCATTCCATTCGAGTCTACTCCATTCCATTGCATGCCATTCGAGTTAATTCCACTGCATTCCATTTCATTTGAGTCCGTTCAATTCCATTCCATTCCATTCCACTCGAGTCGATTCCATTCCATTCGAGTCCATTCCATTTCATTCGAGTCCATTCCATTCAATTCGATTCCATTCGAGTCCACTTCATTCCATTCCATTCAATTCCACTCCATTCCATTCCATTCCATTCCATTTCACTCCATTCCATTCCAATCCATTCCATTCCATTCTTTTCGGGTCCATTCATTTCAAATGCATTCCATTCTATTTCATCCCATTCCATTCCATTCCATTCCATTGAGTCCATTCCATTCCATTCCAATCCATTCGAGCCCATTTCATTCCATTACTTTCCATTCCATACGAGTTCATTCCATTTCGTTACATTCCATTCAATTCGATTCCATTCAATTCCATTGCATTCCATTCGAGTCCATTCCACTCCATTCCCGTCGAGTCCTTTCCATTCCATTTGAGTCCATTCCATTCCATTGCATTCGAGTCCATTCCATTCCATGCTATTCCATTTGAGTCCATTCCATTCCATTCCATTTGAATCCATTCCATTCCATTTGAGCCCAATCCATTCTATTCCATTACATTCCATTCGGGTAAATTCCATTCCATTCCATTCCATTCCAGTCAATTCCATTCCATTCGGGTCCAGTCCATTCCATTCCATTCGATTCCATTCCATGCCGTTCCATTCAAGTCCGATCCATTCCGTTACGTTCCATTCCATTTGAGTCCATTCTATTCCATTGCCCTCCTTTCAGGTCCATTCCACTCGAGTCTATTCTATTCCATTCCATTCCTTTCGGGTCCATTCTATTCCATTCCTTTCGAGTTCATTCCATTCCAGTCCATTCCACTCGAGTCCATTCCACTCGAGTTGATTCCATTCCATTTGAGGGCATTCCTTTACATTCGAGTGCATTCCATTTCATTCAATTCAAGTCCATTCCATTCCATTCCAGTCCAGTCCATTCCATTCCACTGAATTCCTTTTGAATCCATTTAATTCAATGGCATTCTACTCCAGTCCATTCGATTTTATTCCATTCCATTGCATTCCATTCCATTCCGTTCCATTGCATTCCGTTTCATGCCATTAGTTTCCATTCCATTTGAGTCCATTTCATTCCATTCCATTCCATTCCATTCGTGTCCATATCATTTCTCTACATTGCTTTCCTTTCGAG
This sequence comes from Homo sapiens, assembly GCF_000001405.40. Taxonomy (NCBI): domain Eukaryota; kingdom Metazoa; phylum Chordata; class Mammalia; order Primates; family Hominidae; genus Homo; species Homo sapiens. The sequence goes on along the minus strand of NC_000010.11, from coordinate 38,516,419 downwards.
TCCATTCAGATTGGCTACATTGCATTCCATTCGGGTCCATTCCATTCCATTCCCTTCCATTTGAATCCATTAGACTCCATTCCATTTGACTCCATTCCATTTCATTCAATTCGAGTCCATTCCATTCTATTCTATTCGAGTCCATTCCATTCCATTCCATTCGAGACCATTACAATCCGTTCTATTCCTTTTGAATCCATTCAATTCCATTCCATTCGAGTCCATTCCATTCATGTCCATTCCATTCCATTTATGTCCATTCAATTCCATTACATTCCATTCGAGTCCGTTCCAATCCATTCCTTTCCACTCCATTAGAGTCCACACCATTCCTTTCCATTACATTCCGTTAGGGTCTCTTCCATTCAATTCCATTCGATTCAATTCCATTCCATTACATTCGAGTCCATTCCATTGCATTCCATTCGACGCCATTACATTCCGTTCCATTCGAGTCCATTCCATTACATTCTATTCGAGTCCATTCCTTTCCATTCGAGTCAATTCCATTCCATTCTGTTCGAGTCCATTCCATTGCACTCCATTTGATTCCATTCCATTACATTCGAGTCCATTCCATCACATTATATTCCAGTCCATTCCATTCCATTCGAGTCCATTCTATTCCATTCCATTCCACTCGAGTCCATTCCATTCCATTCCATTACATATTCCATTCTACTCGAGTTGACTCCATTCCATTCCATTCCATTCGAGGACATTCCATTATATTCAAGTCCATTGCATTCCATTCAATTCGAGTCCATCAATTCCATTCCATTCCATTTGAGTCCATTGTATTCCACTCCTTTCCTTTCCATTCGAGTCCATTCAATTCCATTCCATTCTTTTTGGATCCATTCCATTCCATTCCATTCCTTTCCTTTCCATTCGAGTCCATTCAATTCCATTCCATTCCTTTTGGGTCCATTCCATTCCATTCCGTTCCATTCCATTCCATTCGAGTCCATTCCATTCCAGTCCATTCCACTCGAGTCCATTCCATTCCATTCCGTATTCCATTCCAATCGAGTTGATTCCATTCCATTCATTCCGTTCGAGGGCATTCCGTTCCATTCGAGTCCATTCCATTCCTTTCCAGTCGAGTCAATTGCATTCCGTTCCTTTCCATTCCTTTCCATTCTATTCCTTCGAGTCCATTTAATTCAATTGCATTTCATTTGAGTCCATTCATATACATTACATTAAATTCCAATCCATTCCATTTCATTCCTTTCAATTCCATTCCATTCCATTAGGGTCCATTCCATTCCATTCCATTCCATTCTAATCCATTCCAATTGGTTACAGTCCATTCCATTCTAGTCCATTGAGTTCCATTCCTTTCCATTCGAATCCATTCCACTCCATTACTTTTGAGTCCATTCCAGCCCACTCCATTCCATTCGCCTGCATTCCATTTCATTCCACTCGAGTCCATTCCATTCCATTCTATTCGATTCGAGCCCATTCCATTCCTTTCCATTTGAGTCCATTCCATTCCATATGAGTACATTCCATTCCATTCCATTCGAGTCCATTCCAATCCATTCTATTCCTTTTGAATCCATTCCATTCCATTCGATTCGAGTCTGTTCCTTTCGAGTACATTCCATTCAATTCGTGTCCATTCAATTCCATTAAATTTCATTCGAGTCCATTCCATTCCATTCCATTCCATTCAATACGAGTCCATTCCTTTCCATTACAATTCATTCCATTCGGTCCATTCCACTCAATTCCATTCGAGTGAATTCCATTCCATTCCATTCAAGTCCATTCCATTGCATTCCATTCGAGTCCGTTCCATTCCATTCCATTCCATTCCATTCCATTCGAATGCATTCCATTCCATTCCATTTCATTCCTATAGAGTCCATTAATTTCCGTTCGAGTCCATTCCATTCCAATCCATTCAAGTCCATTTAATTGCTTTCCAGTCCATTCTTTTGAGAACATTCCATTCCATTCCATTCCATTAGGGTCCTTTCCATTCCACTCAATTCAAGGTCTTTCCATTGCATATCATTCCATTCGATTATATTCCATTCCATTCCATTTGAGTCCATACCATTCCTTTCCATTCCATTCGAGTCCATTCCTTTCCATTCCACTGCCTTCGAATCCATTCCATTACATTTGACTGCATTCCATTCCATTCCATTCCATTTGAGTCCATTCCACCGTATTCCATTCCATTCCTTTCGAGTCCATTCAATTCCATTCCAATCCATTCGAGTCCTTTCCATTCCATTCCAATCCATTCGAGTCCATTCCATTCCATTCCATAAGATTACATTCAATTGCATTCCATTCCTTTCGAGTACATTCCATTTAATTCTATTCGAATCCATTCCATTCCATTATATTCAAGTCCATTCCATTCAATTCCAGTTTTTCCATTAGAGTCCATATCATTCCATTCCATTACATTTGAGTCCATTTCATTGCATTTGAGTAAATTCTATTCCTTTCCGTTTGAGTCCATTCCTTTCCATTCGAGACCTTTCCATTCCATTCCATTACGTTTGACTCCTTTCCATTCCATTCCGTTTGACTCCTTTCCATTCCATTCCATTCCAGTCGAGTCCATTCCATTCCGTTCCACTCCATTCCGTTCCAGTCGAGTCCATTCCATTCCTTTCCACTCCATTCGAGTCCATTCCATACCTTTCGAGTCCATTCCATTCCATTCACCTCGAGTCCATTCGATTCCATTCCATTCCACTAGAGTCTATTCCATTCCAATCCATTCGAGTCCAGTCCATTCCATTCGAGTCCATTCCATTTAATTTCATTTGAGTCCATTCCGTTCCATTCCATTCCATTACATTCCTTTACATTACATTACATTATATTCCTTTCAAGTCCATTCAATTCAATTGCATTCCATTCGAGTCCATTCCATTCCATTCCATTCCTTTGAGTGCTTTACTTTCCATTCCATTCCATTTGAGTCCATTTCATTCCATTACATTCCTTTTGATTCAATTCTATTCCATTTCATTCCATTCCATTTCATTCGTGTCCATTCCATTCCATTCCAATCCACTCGAGTCCATTCCTTTCCATTCCTTTCGAGTCCTTTCAATTCCATTCCATTCCACTCGAGTCCATGCCACTCCATTATATTTGAGTCCATTCCATTTCACTCCATTCCATTCGAGTCCATTGCATTCTATTCCTTTCGAGTCCATTCATTTCCATTCCATTCCAGTCCAGTCCATTCCATTATATTCCATTCAATTCCATTGCATTCAAATGCATTACATTCGAGTCCAATACATTCCACTTGAGTCCACTCCATTCCATTACATTCGAGTCCATTCACTTCCATTCTATTCCATTTGAGTCCATTCACTTCCATTCTATTCCATTTGAGTCCATTCCATTCCATTCCATTCGAGTGCATTCCATTCCATTCCATTCGAGTCCATTCCATTCAATTCCATTCCATTTGAGTCTCTACCTTTCCATTCCATATTATTCGAGGAAATTCCATTCCACTCCATTCCATTCGGGTCCATACACTTCAATTCCATTGCAGTCAATTTCATTCCATTCCATTCCATTCGAGTACATTCCATTCTATTCCATTCCAATCCATTCCATTGGACTAGATTCCATTAGAATACATTCTATTAAATTCCATTCCATTCCATTCGGGTCCATTCCATTTGAGTCCATTCCTTTCCATTGCATTCCATTCCATTCGAGTCCATTCCATTCCATTACCTTCCATTCCATTAGAGTACAATTCATTCCATTCCACTCCATTCGAGTCCATTAAATTCCATTCCATTCTATTCCATTCGAGTCCATTCCATTCCATTCGAGTCCATTCCATTCCATTCGAGTCCATTTGATTCCATTCTCTTCCATTCGAGTCCATTCCTTTCCATTCTATTCAAGTCCATTCCTTTCCTTTACATTGCATTCCATTCGAGTCAATTCAATTCCATTTTATTCCATTCCATTAGTGTTCATTCCATACCATTCCATTCCATTCAAGTCCATTCCATTGCATTCCATTTTATTCGAGTTCCTTCCATTCCATTCCTTTCGAGTCGATTGCATTCCACTCAATTCCATTCGAGTCTATTCAATTCCGTTCCATTCCATTCCATTCCATTTGAGTCCATTGAATTCCATTCCATTCCATTCACTTTCATTCCATTCCATTCCATTCAATTCCATATGAGTCATTACTTTCCATTCTATTCAGGTCCATTCCACACCATTCCATTTCATTCCATTCCATTCTATTCCATTCGAGTCCATTCCATTGCATTCCATTCCATTCGAGTATATTCCATTCTATTCATTTTGAGTCCATTCTGTTCCATTCCATTTTACTAGATTTCGTTAGTATCCATTCCGTTAAATTCCATTCCATTCCATTAGAGGCAATTCCATTCCATTAGGTTCCATTCAATTCCATTCCATTTCAGTCCATTCTTTTCCATTCTAATCCATTCAAATCCATTCCATTCCATTCTCGTCCATTCCATTCCATTCCATTCCATTGCATTCCATTCCAGTCCCTTCCATTTCTTCGGGTCCATTCCATTCCATTCGAGTTTTTTCCATTCCATTCTAGTCCATTGAATTCCATTCGATTTGAGTCCATTCCATTCCACTGGAGCCCATTGCATTCCATTTCGTTCCATTCCATTAGAGTCCTTTCCATTACATTCCACTCTTGTCCATTCCATTCCATTCCATGTTCCATTACACTTGAGTTGATTCCACTCCAATCCATTCCATTCAACAGTATTCCATTCCATTCGAGTCCATTCCATTCCATTCCTGTCGTGTCCACTGCATTGCATTCCTTTCATTCCTTTCGAGTCCATTCAATTCAATTGCATTCCATTCGAGTCCATTCGAATCCATTGCCTTCCATTCCATTCCGTTTCATACCATTCCATTCCATTCAATTCGTGTCCATTTCATTCCATTACATTCCATTCCATTCGAATCCATTCCTATCGGCTACATTCCTTCGAGTCCATTCAATTCCATTGCATTCCATTCGAATCCATTCCACTCCATTCCATTCAAGTCCATTCCATTCCACTCCATTTGATTCGACTCCATTGCATTTGATTGCATTCGAGTCCATTCCATTCCATTCCATTCTATTCATTTCGACTACATTCCATTCCATTCCGTTCGAGTCCATTCCATTCCATTTGAGTCCACTCTTTTAGACTCCATTCGAATCCATTCCAATCCATGCTATTCCTTTTGAATCCATTCCATTCCGTTCCATTCGAGTCTATTCCATTCAAATTGTGTCCATTCAATTCCACTACATTTCATTCGAGTTCATTCCATTCCATTACATTCCATTCGGGTGCATTCCATTCAATTCCATTCGAGTCAAATCCATTCCATTCCATTCGAGTCCATTCCATTTCATTCCATTCGAGTCCATTCCATTCCATTTCATTTGAGTCCATTCCATTCCATTCAATTCCATTCGAGTAAATTCCATTCCATTCGAGTCCATTCCATTCCATTCCATTCGAGTCCATTTTTTTCCATTATATTCCATTACATTCGGGTCCATTCCATTCCATTATCTTCCATTCCATTAGAGTTCAATCCATTCCATTTCCTTCCATTCGAGTCCATTAATTTCACTTCCATTCCATTCCGTTTGTCTCCATTCCATTCCATTCGAGTCCATTCCATTCCATTTTATTCCATTAGATTCCATTCAATTCCATTCGGGTCTTTTCCATTCTATTCCCTTCGAGTCCATTCCTTTGCATTACATTCCATTCCATTCGAGTCTATTACATTCCATTACATTCTATTCCATTAGTGTTCATTCAATTCCATTTCATTCCATTCAAATCCATTCCTGTCCAATTCATTTTACTCTAGATCCTTCCATTATATTCCATTCCATTCAACTCCTTTTCAAAAAATTCCATTCCATTCGAGTCCTTTCTGTTCCATTCAAATCCATTCGAGTCTATTCAATTCCATTCCATTTCATTCCATTCCATTCGAGTCCTTTCCATTCCATTCCATTCGAGTCCATACCATTCCATTCCTTTCAATTCGCGATCATTCCATTCCACCCTATTCCCTTCGATTCCATTCCATTCCATTCGACTGCATTCCATTCCATTCCATTCCATTCGAGTCTATTCCATCGTATTTCCTTCCATTCCTTTCGAGTCCATTCAATTCAATTCCAATCCATTCGAGTCCTTTCCATTCCATTCCAATCCATTCGAATCCATACCATTCCATTCCATATGATTCCGTTAAATTGCCTTCCATTCCATTCGAGTCCATTCCATTCTATTCCATTTGAGTGCATTCAATTCCATTACATTCGAGTCCATTCCATTCAATTCCACTTTTTCCATTCAAGTCCATTCCATTACATTACATTTGAGTTCATTCCATTGTATTTGAGTATATTCCATTCCATTCCATTTGAGTCAATTCCATTCCATTCGAGACCATTCCATTCCATTATGTTCGACTCCTTTCCTTTCCTTTCCGTTCCAGTCAAGTCCATTCCATTCCTTTGCATCCCATTCGATTCCATTCCATTCCATTCCATTCCACTCCATTCCCCTGGAGTCTATTCGATTCCATTCCATTCCACTCGAGTCCATTCCATTCCAATCCATTCGAGTCCAGTCCATTCCATGCGAGTCCATTCCATTTAATTCCATTTGAGTCCATTCTGTTCCATTCAAATGCATTCCATTCCTTTCCATTCCATTCCATCTGGGGCCATTCCATTCCATTCCATTCAAATCGAGTTGATTCGCTTCTATTCCATTCCATTCGAGTCCATTACACTACATTCCAGTCCATTCCGTTCCTTTCAAGTCCATTCCATTCCATTCCACTCCATTCCTTTCCATTCCATTCCATTTCTTTCCATTCCATTCGAGGCCATTCCATTCTATTGCTTTTGAGTCCGTTTCTTTCCATTCCATTCGTGTACATTCCATTTTATTGCTTTCGATTCGAATCCATTCCCTTCCATTCCATTTCATTCCATTCCATTCCATTCCTGTCCATTCCATTCCATTCCATTCCATACCATTCCATTCAATTAGAGTCCATTCCATTCCATTCCTTTCCGTTCATTTCCACTCCTTTCCATTCCATTCCATCCATTCGTGTTCATTCGATTCCATTATATTTTTTCCATTAGAGTCCTTTCCGTTCCATTCCATTCAATTCCAGTCCAGTCCATTCCAGTCCATTCCATTTCTTTGGGTCCAATCCATTCCATTCCATTCGAGTCCATTCCATTCAACTCCATTCCATTCGCATCCACTCTATTACATTACATTCCATTCCAGTCGATTCCTTTTATTTCCATTCATGTCCAATCCATTCCATTCGAGTCCTTTCCATTCCACTCCATTCCATTCTTTTCGAGTCCATTAAATGCAGTTCCATTCCATTCGAGTCCATTCCATTCCATTCCATTCGAGGCCATTCTATTCCATTCCATTCCATTCGAGTCAATTTCATTCCATTATATTGCATTCCATTCAAATCTAGTCCATTCCATTACATTCCTTTCCTGTTGAGTCCATTCCATTCCATTCCATTCCATATGATTCCTTTCTACTCCATTCTATTCGCGTTCATTCTTTTCTATTCTGTTGCATTCGAGTCGATTCCATTCCATTCCATTCCTTTCGTGTCTATTTCATTCCCTTACATTCCATTGCATTCGAATCCATTGCCTTCCATAACATTTCATTCCTTTTGAGTCCCTTCAATTCCATTCCATTACATTCAAGTCCATTACACTCCATTACATTCAAGTCCACTCCCTTCCATTCCACTCCATTTGAGTCCATTCTATTCTATTCCATTCGAGGGAATTCCATTCCATTCCATTACGTTTGACTCCATTTGATTCCTTTCCATTCCATTCCACTTGAGTTGATTCCATTCCATTCCATTCGAGTCCATTTCATTCCATTAGAATCCGTTCCATTCCATTCCATTCTTGTCCATTCCATTCCATTCCATTCCATTCTTTTTGATTCCATTCCATTCCATTCCAATCCATTCCATTCGATGCCATTCCATTCCAGACCATTCGAGTCCATTTCATTCCATTCCATTCGAGTCCATTCCTTTCGATTACCCTCCCTTCAATTTGAGTCCATTCAATTTCATTCCATTGCATTCGAGTCCATTCCACTGCATTCCATTAGAGTCAATTCCATTCCATTTGAGTCCATTCCATTCAAGTTCATTAAATTCTATTAATTCGAATCCATTCCTTTCCACTAAATTCTATTCCATTCGAGTCATTTCCATTCCATTCCATTCGAGTCCATTCCATTCTATTCCATTCGAGTCCTTTCCATTCCATTCGAGTCCATTCCATTCCAATCAACTCCATTCGAGTGCGTTCCATTCCAATCCATTCCACTCAAGTCCATTGCATTCCATTGCATTTGCATCCGTTCCATTCCATTCAATTCCAATCGAGTACATTCTTTTCCATTCGAGTCCATTCCTTTCCATTCCATTTCATTCTATTCCATTCCACTCCATTCAATTCCAATCCATTCGAGTCCATTCCCCTCCATTCCATTTTATTCGAATCCATTCCATTCCATTCAATTCCATTCCATGCTTGTCCATTACATTCCATTCGAGTCCATTCCTTTCAATTCCATTCCACTTGAGTCATTCCATTCCAATCCATTCCATTCCATTAGAGTCCACTGCATTCCATTCCATTCCGTTCCATTCACTTCCTTTACATTCCACTCCATTCCATTCAATTCCATTCCACTCGTTTCCATATCATTCCATTCCTTTCAAGTACGTTCCAATCCATTCCATTCTGGTCCATTCCATTCAATTCCATTCGAGTCAATTCCATTCCATTCCTTTGGAGTCCATTCCACTGCATTCCTTTCCATTCTTTCGAGACCATTCCTTTCCATTCCATTCGAGTCCATTCCATTCCATTACATTTGAGTCCATTAGTTTGCATTCCACTCCATTCGAGTACATTCCATTCTATTCCATTTGAATCCTTTCCATTCCGTTCCATTAGATTCCATTCCATTAGTGTTTGTAAAATTAAATTACATTCCATTCCTTAAGAGACAATTCCATTCCATTCGTGTCCATTCCATTCCATTTCTTTGGAATCCATTGGATTAATTTCCATTATTTTCCATTCAAGTCCATTCCATTCCAATCCATTCCATTCCAGTCCATTCCATTCCATCCCATTCCATTCGGGTCCATTCCATTCCATTGCACTCCATTACTTTCGAGTGCAGTCCATTCCATTTCAGTAAATTAGATTCCATTCCATTCCATTCGAGTTCCTTCCATTCCATTCCATTCCATTCGAGTCCATTGCATTCCATTCCATGCCACTCGAGTCCATTCCATTCCATATCATTCGAGTCCATTCCATTCCATTCTATCCCATCCAGGAACATTCCATTCCATTCCATTCGGGTCTATTCCATTCCATTCCATTCCATTCGGGTCTATTCCATTCCATTCCATTCCATTCCATTCCATTCCATTCGAGTCCACTCCATTCCATTCCATTCTACTCGAGTCGATTCCCTTCTATTCCTTTCCATTCGAGTCCATTCCATTCCATTCGAGGCCATTCCATTGCATTCAATTCAATTGCATTCCTTTCGAAAACATACCATTCCTTTCCATTACATTTCATTTTTCAATTCCATTCCATTTGATTCCTTTCCTTTCCATTCCATTCCATTCGAGTCTATTTCATTCCATTCCATTCCATTCCATTCGAGTCCATTCTTTTCTCTTACATTCCATTCCATTCGAGTCCATTCAATTCCATTCTTTTGCATTCGAGTCCAATTCACTCCATTCTATTCGAGTCCACTCCTTTCCACTCCATTCCTTTTGAGTCCATTCCATTCAATTCCATTCGAGTCCATTCCGTTACATTCAAGTCCATTCCATTCCACGCAATTCCATTCCATTCCATTCGGGTCCATTTCATTCCATTCCAATCGGGTCCATTCCATTCCATTCCACTCCATTCGAGTCCATTCCATTTTCTCCATTCCATTTGATGCCATTCCATTCCATTTGAGTCCATTCCCTTCCATTCCACTCCAGTCCTGTCCAGTACATTCCATTCCTTTGCATTCCATTCCATTCTATTCCATTCCATTCGAGTCCATTCCATTGCATTCAATTCCATTCCATTCCATATCTTTCCATTCTTGTCCACTCCTTTCCATTCCTTTCGAGTCTATTCCTTTCCATTGCATTATTTCCATTCGAGTCCATTCCATTCCATTCCATTCCATTCCATTCCATTCCAGTCCTTTCTAGTCCACTGCATTCCATTCGGGTCCATTCCGTTTTCTCCATTCTATTCGATGCCATTCCATTCGATTCCATTTGAGTCCATTCCATTTGAGTCCATTCCATTCCATTGCATTCTATTCCATTCGAGTCCATTCCTTTCCATTCGGTGTCATTCCATTCGAAACCATTTGAGTCCATTCCATTCCATTTCATTCATGCCCATTCCATTCCATTCCATTCTATTCCATTCGAGTCCATTCCTTTCTATTTCATTCCATTCGAATGCATTTCATTTCATTGGATTCCATTCCAATCCATTACATTGGAGTCCATTCCATTCCATTCTATTCCATTTGAGTCCATTCCATTCGAACCCATTCCACTCCAACCCATTCCATTTGAGTCCAGTCCATTCCATTCGATTCTATTCCATTTGATTCCATTCTATTCCATTCCATTCCAACTCATTCCATTCGAGTCCATTCCATTCTTTTCCATTCGAGTCTATTCCTTTCAATTTCATTCCATTCGAGACCATTCCATTACATTCTATTCGAATCCATTCCATTCCGTTCCATTTCATTCAAGTCATTAGATTCCACTCCGTTCCATTCCATTCCAGTCCATTTCATTCCCTTCCATTCCATTCGGGTCCATTCCATTCAATTCCATTCGAGTCAATTCCATTGTATTCCATTCGAGTCCATTCCATTCTGTTCCATTCCATTAGATTCCAATCCATTATATCCCATTCCATTTGAGGCCATTCCCTTCCATTCCATTCCATTCCATTCCACTCCATTCCATTGCAGTCCATTCCATTCCATTCCATTTGGGTCCATTGGATGTGAGTTAATTCCATTCCATTCTATTCCATTCGATTCCATTCCTTTCCTTTCCAATGCTAAAGAGTCGTTTCCAGTCCATTCCATTCAATTCCAGCCAATTCCATTTAATTCTCCTCCATTCCATTCCAATCCATTCGAGTCCATTCCATTGCATTCCATTCCGTTTTTTTCCATTCCATTCCTTTCGAGTCCATTCGATTCCATTCCATTCCTTTCGAGTCTATTTCATTCCATTCCGTTCCATTCTATTCCATTCCATTCGATTCCATTCCATTACAATCCTTTAGAGTCCATTCCATTCCATTCCATTCTATTCCATTCATGTCCATTCTATTCTCTTCCATTCCATTCCACTCCAGTCTATTCCATTCTATTCCAATCTACTCCATTCCATTCCATTCCACTCCACTCATGTGCATTCCATTCCATTCCATTCCATTCGAGTAAATTCGGTTTCATTCCATTCCATTCAATTCTGGTCCATTCAATTCCATCCCATTCACGTCCATTCTATTCGATTCCATTCCATTCGGGTCCATTCTCTTCCATTACACTCCACTCGAGTCGTTTCCATTCCATTCCATTCCTTTCTTGTCCATTCCATTCCATTCGAGTCCATTCCATTCCATCCCATTCGAGTCCATTCCATTCCATTCCATTCCTTTCGAGTCCATTTCCTTCCATTCCATTCCATTCGAATCCATTTCATTCCAGTACTTTTCATTCCATTTGACTCCATTCCATTCCAGTACTTTGCATTCCATTCGATTCCATTCCATTCTATTTCAATCGTTTGATTCGAGTGCATTCAATTCAACTCGGTTCAATTTGTGTCCATTCCACTCCATTCCATTCGAATCCATTCCATTCCATTCCATTTCATTCCTGTACAGTCCATTCCATTCCATTCCATTCCATTGTATTCCATTCCATTCCATTCCTTTCGAGTCCATTTCATTCCATTCCTTTCCATTCATTTCCACTCCATTCCATTTCATTCCATCCATTCGAGTCCATTCCGTTCCATTGCATTTTTTCCATTAGAGTCCATTCCATTCCAGTCCAGTCCATTCCAGTCCATTCCATGTCTTTGGATCCAGTCCATTCCATTCCATTTGAGTCCATTCCATTTAATTCCATTCCATTCGAATCCACTCCATTACATTATATTCCACTCTACTCGACTCCTTTCCATTCCATTCATGTCCATTCCATTCCATTCGAGTCCATTCCATTCCATTTGAGTCCTTTCCATTCCACTCCATTCCATTCTTTCGAGTCCATTAAATGCAATTCCATTCCATTGGAGTCCAGTCCATTCCATTCCGTTCGAGGCCATTCTATTCCATTCCATTACATTCACGTCAATTTCATTCCATTATATTGCATTCCATTCAACTCTAGTCCATTCCATTACATTCCTGTCATATTGAGTCCATTCAATTACATTCCATTCCATGCGATTTCTTTCTACTCCATTCCATTCGAATTCATTCCTTTCCATTCTATTTCATTTGAGTCTATTCCAATCCATTCCATTCCTTTCGTGTCTATTTCATTCCCTTACATTCCATTGTATTCGAATCCATTCCCTTCCATAACATTTCATTCCTTTTGCGTCCATTCATTTCCATTCCTATCCACTCAATTCCATTACACTCCATTCCGTTTGAGTCCACTTTCTTCCATTCCATTCCTTTCAAATCCATTCCATTCTATTCCATTCGAAGGCATTCCATTCCATTCAATCCGAGGCCATTCCCCTGCATTCCATTCGAGTCCATTCCATTCCATTACATTCGAGTGCATTCCATTGAAATCCATTCCATTCGAGTCCATTCCAATCCATTCCATTCCACTCGAGTCCATTCCAATCCATTCCATTCCATTTGGGTCCATTCTTTTCAATTTCATTCGAGTCAATTCCATTCTGTTCCATTCCATTCCGTTCCATTCCATTCCATTCCATTACTTTCCATTCCATTCTTTTGAGACAACTAAAATCTATTCAATTCCATTCCATTCCTTTCCATTCCATTCCTTTTGAGACAACTAAAATCTATTCCATTCCATTCGAGTCTTTTCCAATCCATTCGATTCGAGTCCGTTCATTTGCATTCCATTCCATTCATGTCCATTCCATTCTCTTCCATTCGAGTGCATTCCTTTCGATTCCATTAGATTCCATTCAATTAGATTTCATTCCATTAAATTCCATTCCATTCCATTCAAGTCCATTCCATTCCATTCTATTCCATTCCTTTCCAAGGCCTTCGAGTCCTTTCCATTCCATTCTATTCTATTCCATTCAACTGCATTCAATTCCTTTCCATTCCATTAAATTCCAATCCATTCCATTCCATTCCATAAGATCCCATTCCGGTCAATTCCATTCCATTCCATTCCATTCCATTCCATTCCATTCCAATCAGGTGCATTCTATTCCATTTCATTCCATTCCATTCGAGTCCATTTCACTGCATTCCATTCAAGAACAATTCATTCCTTTCCATTAACGTCCATTCCATTAAATTCCATTCTATTCCGTTGAAGTCTGTTCCATTCCATTGCATTCAATTCCATTGGTGTCCCTTCCATTCCATTCCATTCCTGTGTATTCCATTCCATTCAAGTCCATTCTATTCCATTCCTTTAGAGTCCAATCCATGCCATTCCATTCTATTCCATTCAAGTCCTTTCCATTACATACCATTCCATCCCATTCCTTTCCATTCCATTCCATTCCATTCAAGTCCATTCCATTCCATTCCTTTAGAGTCCAATCCATTCCATTCCATGCTATTCCATTCAAATCCTTTCCATTACATTCCATTCCATCCCATTCCTTTCCATTCCATTCCATCCAGGTCCATTCCATTCCATTCCATTTGAGTCCAATTCTTTCCATTCCACTACATTTGAGTCCTTTCCATTCCATTCCATTCCATTCGTGTCCATTGCATTCCATGCCATTTGAGTGCATTCCATTCCATTCCATTCGGATCCATTCCATTCCGTTCCATTCCATTCGAGTCCATTCATTTTCATTCTATTCAATCCCATTCGTGTACATTCCGTTCCAGTCCATTCGAGTCCATTCCCTTCCATTCCATACCATTCGACTCCATTCCATTCCACTTGAGTCATTTTCATTCCTTTCAATTCCATTCTTGTCCATTCCATTCCATTCCATTCCATTCGAGTCCTTTCCATTCCATTACATTACTTTCAAGACCATTGAATTCCATTCCATTCAATTCAATTCCATTCCTTTCTATTACATTCGAGTCCATTTCAATTCATTCCATTAGAGTCCATTTCTTTAAATTCCATTCCATTCCACTCGAGTCCATTCCATTCCATTCCATGCCACTGGAGTCCAATCCATTCCATTCTATTCAGGTCCATTCCATTCCATTCCGTTCCATTCCATTCGAGTCCATTCCTTCCCATTCCATTCCATCACATTCGGCTATACTCCATTCCAAACCATTCGAGTCCATTCCATTCCATTCCATAACATTCGACTCCAGTCCATTCCACTCGAGTAGTTTCCATTCCATTCCATTCCATTCGCGTCCATTCCATTCCATTCCTTTCCATTCAAGTCCTTTCCATTCCATTACTTTCGAGATGATTGAATTCCATTCCATTCAATTCAAGTCCATTCCATTCTATTCCATTCGAATCCATCCCAATCCATTCCATTAGTGTCCAATCCATTAAATTCCATTCCATTCCTCTCGACTCCATTTTATTCAATTCCATGCCTTTTGAGTCCATTTCATTCCATTCCATTTGAGTCCATTCCATTCCATTCCATTTGAGTCCATTCTATTCCATTCCATTCCATTCCATTCCAGTCCAGTCCATTCCATTTCATTCGATTCCATTCCATGCCATTCCATTCGGGTCCATTCCATTGCATTATATTCCATTCAATTCCCTTCCATTCTATTCCATTCGAGTACATTCCATTCCATCCCATTCAATTCGTGTCCATTCCTTTCCATTCTAGTCAATTCCATTCCATTCCTTTTCATTCGAGTCCATTCCATTCCATTCTATTCCATTCGAGTTCATTCCACTCCATTGCTTTGCACTCGAGTCCATTCCATGCCAGTGCATTCAATTGTATTCCATTCCATTCCATTCCATTCGAGACCATTCCATTCGAGTCCATTCCATTGCATTCCATTTCATTCGAGTCCACTCCATTCCATTCCATTCCATTCCACTCGAGTCGAATCCATTCCATTCCCTTTCATTCGATTCTATTTCATTCAATTCTATTCTATTCCATACTAGTCCACTCCATTCCATTCCATTCCATGCCATTCCTATCCATTCCATTCCATTCATGTCCATTCTATTCCATTCCATTCGAGTCCAATCCATTCAATTGCATTTGAGTCCATTCCATTGCATTCCATTCCATTCGAATCCATTCCCTTCTATTCAATTCGAGTCCTTTCCATTTCACTCCATTTGATTCAATTCAATTAGAATCCATTCAATTTAATTTCATTCGTTTCTTTGGTGTCTATGCCATTCCATTTGAATCCATTCCTTTACATTGCCTTCGAGTCCATTCCAGTCCATTCCTTTCCATTCCATTCCATTCCATTCCTGTACATTCCATTTCATTCCATTCTATTTGGGTACATTCCATTCCATTCCATTAGAGTCCTTTCCATTCCATTCGTGTCCATTCCACTCCATTCCATTCGAGTCCATTCCATTCCCTTCCATTCCATTCCATTCCGTTCAAGTCCCTTCCATTGTATTCCATTTGTTTCCATTTCATTTCAGTCCATTCCATTCGTTTCCATTCCATTTCATTCGAGTCAATTCCATTCCATTCCATTCCATTTCATTCGATTCCATTCCATTCCATTCTATTCCATTCGACTCCATTCCATTCCATTCCTTTGCACTTGAGTCCATTCCATGCCTTTCCATTCAAATGGATTCCATTCCATTCGATTCAATTCCATTCCTTTCGACTCCATTCCTTTCCATTTCATTAGAGTCCAATCCATTCAATTCAATTCTATTCCATACAAGTTCATTCCATTCCATTCCATTCCATTCATGTCCACTCTATTACATTCCATTCGAGTGCATTGCATTCCTTTGCCTTCGAGTCCATTCCATTGCATTGCATTCCATTCCAGTCCAATCCATTCTATTCAATTTGAGTCCTTTCCATTCCATTCCATTCAATTTGAGTCCTTTCCATTCCATTCCATTAGATTCTATTCAATTAGTGTCCATTCCAGTAAATTAAATTATATTTCTTTCGAGTCTATTCCATTCCATTCGACTCCATTCCATTCCATTACTTTCGAGTCCATTCCATTCCATTCCATTCCATTCCCTGTCATTCCATTCCCTTCTTCTCCATTCTACTCCATTCCATTCCATTCGAGTCCTTTACATTCCATTCCATTGCAATCGTGTCCATTTCACTCCACTCCATTCCATTCAAGTCCATTCCGTTGCATTCCATTCGAGTCCATTCCATTCCATTTCATTCTATTCCAATCTATTCCATTCGAGTCCATTCCATTCCACTAGAGTTGTTTCCTTTCAATTCCATTCCATTCGAGTCCATTCCATTGCATTCGAGTCCATTCCACTGCATTCCTTTTGAGTCCATTCCTATCCAATCCATTCCTTTCGAGTCCATTCCATTCTGTATCATTCCATTCCCTTCCCTTCCATTCCATTCCATGCCATTCCATTCCATTCCATCCCCTTCCATTCAATTCGAGTCCATTCCATTCCATTGCTTTTGATTCCATTCCATTTCATTCCATTCGATTCGAATCCATTCAATTCCATTCCATTCCATTCGAGTCCATTTCATTCCTTTCCATTCTATTCGTATCCATTACTTTCTGTTCCATTCGATTCAATCCCAATTCATGCCATTGGAGTGCATTCCATTCCATGCCATTCCATTCCACTCTAGTGCATTCCATTCCATTCCATTCCATGGGAGTCCATTCCGTTCGAGTCCATTGACTCCATTCAATTCGATTCCATTCCATTCCATTCCATTCCATTGTAGTCCTATCCATTCCACTCTAATCCATTCCATTCCATTCCTTTCCATTTCATTTCATTCCATTCCATTCTCTTCCATTCCATTCCCTTCCATTTCTTTCCACTCCAAGCTGTTCAAGTCCATTTCACTCTGTTCCATTCTATTCCATTCCGTTCCTTTCCATTCCCTTCCATTCCATTCCATTCCCTTCCATTCCATTGCATTCCCTTCCATTTCATTCCATTCCATTCCATTTGAGTACATTTCATTCCATTAGTTTCCATTCAATTCGAGTCCATTTCATTCCATTACTTTACGTATCTTTCGAGTCCATTCCGTTCGAGTCCATTCCCGTCCATTCTTCTCCATTAAATTCCATTCCATTCCATTAGATTCGAGTCCATTACATTGCATTGTATTCAAAACCATTCCATTCCATTCCATTCGCGTCCCTTCCTTTCCATTCCATTCTATTCCATTCGAGTCCATTCTATTCCTTTCCATTCCTTTTGAGTCCAATCAATTGCATTGCATTTCATTTGAGTCGATTCCATTCCACTCCTTTCCACTCGAGTAGATTCCTTTCCACTCCATTCCATTTAAGTCCATTCCATACCATTCGAGTCCATTCCACTCCATTCGAATCCATTCCATTCCATTCCATTTGATTCCATTCCTTTCGAGTCAATTCAATTCAACTGCATTCCATGGGGGTCCATTCCATTCCATTCCATTTCATTCGAATACATTCCATTCAATTCCACTCCATTCGAGTCCATAAAATTCGAGTCCATTCCGTTCCATTCTATTCGAGTCCATTCCATTCCATTCTTTTCCACTGCAGTCCATTGCATTCCATTCCATTAGAGTCCATTTGATAAAATTCCATTCCATTCCATTCGAGTACATTCTATTCCATTGCATGCCATTCGAGTCCATTCCATTCCACTCGTATCCATTACATTCCATTTCATTTGAGTACAATCAATTCTATTCCATTCAAGCGCATTCAATTCCATTCCATACATTCCATTCCATTCCAATCCATTCCGGTCCATTTCATTCCATTCCATTCCATTCCATTCATGTCCTTTCTTTTCCATTCCGTTCGAGTACAATCCATTCAATTCGGGTTCATTCCATTAC
The DNA here is from genome assembly GCF_000001405.40 of Homo sapiens. Lineage (NCBI taxonomy): Eukaryota > Metazoa > Chordata > Mammalia > Primates > Hominidae > Homo > Homo sapiens. The sequence goes on along the minus strand of NC_000010.11, from coordinate 38,498,038 downwards.
CTTCCATTCGAGTCCATTCCTTTCCATTCTATTCCATTGGAGTCCTTTTCATTCCTTTCCGTTAGAGTTCATTCCATTAGAGTCCAATCCGGAATATTCCATTCTATTGCTTTCGACTCAGTTCCATTCCACTCCATTCCATTTTAGTTTATTCGATTCCATTCAATTCCATTTGATTCCAATCCATTCCATTCCATTCTATTGCAATGAAGTTGTTTCCATTCCTTTCCTTTCATTGCATTCCACTCCATTCCATTCCATTCGGTTCCATTCCATTCCATTCTATTCCATTTGAGTCCATTGCATTCCATTTCATTCCATTCCTTTCCATTCCATTCCATTCGAGTCCATTCCATTTGGGTCCATTCCATTCCTTTCCATTCCATTCAAGTCCATTCCATGCCATTCCACTGGATTCCTTTCCATTCCATTCCATTCAAGTCCATTCCATTCCAACCCACTACATTCGAGTCCATTCTATTCCATGGCATCCCATTCCTGTCCATTCCATTCCATTCCATTCCATTTGGGTACATTCCTTTCCATTCCTTTGGAATCTATTACATTCATTTCCATTCCATTTGAGACCATAACATTCCATTCTATTCCATTCGAGTCCATTCCATTCCATTCCCTTTGAGTCCATTCCATTCCATTACAATCCTTTCGAGTCCATTCATTTCCATTCCATTCCATTCGAGTCCATTTCATTCCATTCCATTTCATTACATTTAGGTCCATTCCATTCGAGTCCATTCCATTGTATTACATTTCTTTCAAGTCCTATCCATTCCATTCCATTTCATTATGAGTCCATACCATTCCATTCGAATCCATTCCATTCCATTCCACTCGAGTTCATTCCATTGCATTCCATTCCATTCGAGTCCATTCCACTTTATTCCATTCGAGTCCATTCCATTCCATTCCAGTCTATGCGTGTCCATTCCATTACATTCGACTCCATTCCATTCTATTCCATTCAAGTGAATTCCAGTCCATTCCATTGCATTCGAATCCATTCCCTTCCATTCCATTCCACTCAATTCCACTCATGTCCATTCCATTCCATTCCATTCGAATCCATTCCATTCCATCCGTTTCCAGTCCATTCCATTTCATTCGAGTCCATTCCATTCCATTCCATTCTATATCATTCCATTAAATTCATTCCATTCCATTCCTTTCCATTCCATTCCATTCCATTCCATTCCACTGCATTCCATTCCATTCCATTCCATTCGTGTCCATTCCATTCAATTCCATTCCATTCGAGTCCATTCCATTCCATCCTATTCCATTGGATTCCATTTCATTCCTTTCCATTAGAATCCATTACATTAGAGTCCAATCCGTAAATCCATTCTACTGCATTCAACTCCATTCCGTTCCTCTCCTTTCCATTTGTGTCCATTCTATTCCATTCGAGTCTGTTCCATTGAATTCCATTCGATTACAATCCATTCCATTCCATTCTATTCCACTCAAGTCCATTCCATTCCATTCCATTCCATTCGTTTTCATTCCTTTCCATTCCATTCCATTCGTTTCATGTCCATTCCATTCCATTCAAGTCCATTCCTTTACATTCCATTCCATTCATTTCCATTCGAGTCCATTCCATTCCATTCCATTCCAATCCATTCGAGTCCATTCCATTCCATTCCATTCCATTCGACTTCAATCCTTTCCATTCCATTCCATTCGGGTCCATTCCATTCCCTTCAATTCGAGTCCATTCCATTTCATTCTATTCGATTCAAGTCTATTCCACTCCTTTCCATTAGAGTCCATTCCATTACTGTCCAATCTGGTAAATTCCATTCTTTTGCATTCTACTCCATTCCATTCCACTCCATTCCGTTTGTGTCCATTCCATTCCATTCGAGTCTGTTCCACTCAGTTCCACTCGATTCCAATCCATTCCATTCCATTCTACTCCATTCAAGTCATTTCCATTCCATTCCATTCCGTTGCATTCCAGTCCATTCAATTACATTCCAGTCCATTCCATTCCATTCCATTCCATTCCGGTCCATTCCATTCCATTGCGGTCCATTCCATTCCATTCCATTCCATTCCATTCGGGTCCATTCCATTCCATTCGTGTCCGTACCTTTCCATTCCACTCCATTCAATTCCATTCGATTCCATTCCATTCCATTACAATCCATTCGAATCCATTCCAATCCATTCCATTCCATTCGACTTCAATCAATACCATTCCATTCCATTTGTGTCCATTCCATTCCATTCTATTCGAGTACATTCCCTTTAATTCCATTCTATACCGTTCAAGTCCATTCCATTCCATACCATTCTATTCCATTCTTGTCCATTTCATTCCATTACATTACATTTCATCCATTCCATTCTATTCCATTTGGTCCATTCAATTCAATTCTATTGGATGCCATTCCTTTCCATTCCATTCCATTTGAGACCATTCCATTCCATCCCATTACATTTGAGTCCATTCCATTCCATGTCATTCCATGCAATTCCTTTCCATTCCATTCCATTCCAATACATTCAAGTCGCGTATTTCCATTTCATTCCATTGGAGTCCATTCAATTTAATTCAATTCCGTTCAAGTCCATCCCATTCCACTCCATTCTATTTGAGTCCATTCCATTCCTTTCTCTCCGTGTCCATTCCATTCCATTACATACCACTCGAGTCCATTCCTTTCTGTTCCATTTCATTCCAGTAAATACCATTCCATTCCATTCTCTTACATTTGGGTCCATTCCATTCCACTCCATTGCATTCCATAGAAGTCCATTCCACTCCATTCGAGTCCCTTCCATTCCATTCCTTTCCATTTCATTCCTTTCTAGTCCATTCCAGTCAACTGCATTCCATTCGAGTCCATTCCTTTCCACTCCATTCCATTCAATTCCATTAGAGGCCATTCCATTTCATTTCATTACGTTCGTGTCCAGTCCATTCCATTCCATTCAATTCAATTCCATTCGAGTCCATTTCATTTCATTCCATTCCCTTCGAGTCCATTCCATCCCATTCCATTCAACTTCACTCCATTCGATTCAATTCCGTTCGGTTCCATTCTATTCCATTCCATTCGAATACATTCCATTTCATTCCATTCTATTCCATTCAAGTCCATTCCATTCCATACCATTCCATTCCATTCCAGTCCATTCCATTCTATTCCATTCCATTCCATTCCATTCCATACCAATCCATTCTCTTCTGATCCCTTCCATTCCTTTCCATTTCATTCGGGACAATTCTATTCCATTCCATTGGAGCCTATTTCTTTGTATTCCATTCCATTCGAATGCATTCCATTCCATCCAATTACATTGGAGTCCATTCCATTCCATGCCATTCCATTCAATGGCTTTCCATTGGAGTCCATTACATACCAATCCATTCGACTCCTTTCCATTCGGTATATTCCATTCCATTCCATTCCATTGGAGTCCATTCCATGCCATTCCTTTCGAGTCCATACCGTTCCATTCCATTCCATTTGAGTCCATTCCATTCCATTCACTTCAAGTCCATTCCATTCTTTTCCATTACATTCGTGTCCATTACTATCCATTCCATTCTATTCGAGTCCATTCCACTCCATTTTATTACATTCGTGTCCATTCCATTCCATTCCATTCGAGTTCCATTCCATTGCTTTCCCTTTCACTCGAGTCCACTCCATTCCATTCCATTCCATTCCACTCCTGTCGAAACCATTCCACTGCATTCCATTGCATTCGAGTCCATTCCGTTCCATTCCATTCCATTCCATTCGAGTCTATTTCATTCCATTACCTTCCATGCCATTAGAGTCCATTCCATTAAATTCCATTCCATTAAATTTGAGTCCATTCCATTCCATTTGAGTCCATTCCATTCCTTTCCATTCGAGTACATTCTGTTCCATTCCATTCTTTTCCATTCCTTTCCAATCCATTCGAGTCCATTCCACCGCATTCCATTCCATTGGAGTCCATTCCATTGAATTCCATTCGTGTTCAGTCCATTCCATTCCACTGGAGTCCATTCCATTCAATTCCATGCCATTCGAGTCTATTCCTTTCTATTCCATTCCATTCTGGTCCATTTCATTCCATTCCATTTGAGTCCATTCCACTCCATTCGAGTCCATTTCATTCCATTCCATTCCATTCTATTCCATTCCATTCCATTCCTCTCCATTCCATTCCTATCGAGTCCATTCCTTTCAACGGCATTCCATTCAAGTCCATTCCTTTCCTTTCCATTCCATTCCATTCTTGTCCAATCTATTCCATTCCATTCCATTCGTGTCCAATCCATTCCATTCGAGTTCAATACCTTCAATTCCATTCCATTCGGTTGCATTCCATTCCATTCCATTTGAATACATTCCATTTCATTCCATTCTTTTCCATTCACGTCCATTGCATTCCATACCATTCCATTCCATTCCAGTCCATTCCATTCCAATCCATTCGATTCCATACCATTCCATTCCATTCCAGTCCATTCCATTCCAATCCATTCCATTCCATTCCAATCAATTCCATTACATTTCATTCTATTCCATTCGGGTCCATTCCATGCCATTCCAATCCTTTCAGGTCCATTCCATTCCATTCCATTCCATTCCATTCCATTCCATTCCATTGGAGTCCATTCCTTTGCATTCCATTGCGTTCGAATCCATTCCATTTCATCCTATTATATTTGAGTTCATGCCATTCCATTCCATGCCTTTCCATTCGAATCCATTCCATTCCATTCCATTCCAATCGGGTACGTTCCATTCCATTCCATTGGAGTGCACTCCATTCCATTCCATTCCATCACATTCGAGTACATACCATTCCATTGCATTCCATTCGAGTCCATTCCTTTCCATTCCATTCCACTCGAGTCGATTCCTTTCCATTCCATTCGAGTCCATTCCATTCCATTCGATTCCATTCCATTCCATTCCATTGGATTCCATTCCATTCCATTCCTTTCCATTCCATTCCTTTCGAGTCCTTTCCATTCAACAGCATTCCATTCGAGTCTATCCCTTTCCATTGCATTCCATTGCATTCGAGTCCATTCCATTCCATTCCATTCCATTTGAGTCCATTTCATTCCATTACTTTCCGTTCCATTCAAGTCCATTCCATTCCGTTACATTCTGTTCTATTTGAGTGCATTGAATTCCATTTGATTCCATTTGAATCCATTGCATTCCATTCCATTCAAGTCCATTCCATTCTATTCCATTCAAATCATTCCTTTCCATTCCATTAGAGTCCATTCCATTAAATTCCATCCCATTACATTCGAGTCCATTCCATTGTATTTCATTCGAATCGAGTCCATTAAATTCCATTCCATTTGAGTCCATTCCGCACCATTCCATTCCATTCCATTCGAGTTCATTCCTTTCCATTCCATTCGAGTCCATTCCATTCCACTCCATTCCATTCGTGACCATTCCATTACATTCGACTCCATTTTATTTTATTCCATTCAAGTGAATTCCAATCCATTCCATTGCATTCGAATCCATTCCACTCCATTCCTTTCGAGTCAATTGCATTCCATTCCATTCCACTCGAATGCATTCCATTGCATTCCAGTCTGGTCCATTTCACTCTATTCCATTCGAGTCCAATCCAATCCATTCCATTTGATTCGATTCCATTCCATTCGTTTCCATTCCATTCCATTTCATTCGAGTCCAGTCCATTCCATTCCATTCTATTCCATTCAAGTCCGTTCCATTCCAGGCATTCCATTCCTTCCATTCCACAATTCATTCCATTCCATTTCATTCCATTCATGTCCATTCTATTCCAATCTATTTGAGCCCATTCCTTTCCCTTTCATTAGAGTCCATTCCGTTAGAGTTCAATCTGGTAAATTCCGTTAGAGTTCAATCCGGTAAATTCCGTTCTATTGCATTAGACTCCATTCCATTCCACTCCATTTCGTTTGATTCCATTGCATTCCATTCGAGTCCATTCCATTATTTTCTATTGCATTCAAATCCTTTCCATTCTATTCCTTTTGAGTCCATTCCATTCCATTCCATTAGAGTCCATTCATTAAATTCCATTCGATTCCATTCGAGTCCATTACATTCCATTCCCTTCCATTCGTGTCCTTTCCATTGCATTCGAATCCATTCCATTCCACTCCATTCGAATCCATTCCATGCCATTGCATACCATTGGAATTGATTCAATTCCATTCCCTTCCATTCCATTCCATTCCATTCCGTTCCATTCCATTCCATTTAAATTTGGTCCATTCCATTCCATTCCTTTCCATTCCATTCGAATCCTTTCCATTCCATTCCATTCTATTCCATTCCGGTCCATTCCATTCGTGTCCATTCCCTTCCATTCCATTCGAGTCCATTCCATTCCATTCCATTCGAGTTCATTCCATTGCATTCCAATCCTTTCCATTCCTTTTGAGTACATTCAATTCAATTGCATTCCTCTCGAGTCCATTGCATTCCATTCCATTCCATTCCATTTGAGTCCATTCCATTCCATTCCGTTCCATTCGAGTCCTTTTCTTTCCATTACATTCCTTTCCATTCGATTCCATTGCATTCCATTCCATTCCATTCCATTCCATTTGAGTCCATTCAATTCCATTCCATTCCATTCGAGTCCATTTGACTCCATTCCAATTAAGTCCATTCCATTCCACTCCATTCCTTTCGAATCCATTCCATTCTATTCTATACGAGTCCATTCCATTCCATTCGAGTCCATTCAATTCCATTCCATTCCATTCGAGTCCATTCGACTCCATTCCAATTAAGTCCATTCCATTCCACTCCATTCCTTTCGAATCCATTCCATTCTATTCTATACGAGTCCATTGCATTCCATTCAATTCCATTCAATTTCATTCGCGTACATTCCATTCCATTCCATTCCATTCGAGTCCATTCCATTCCATTCGAGTCCATTGCATTCCATTCCATTCCATTCGACTCCATTCCATTTCATTCCATTCGTGTGCATTCCATTCCTTCCCATTCGAGTCCATTTAATTCCAATCCATTCCATTTGATTCCATTCCATTCTATTCCATTCGAATCCGTTCCTTTCCATTCCATTTGAGTCCATTCCATTTCATTCCATTCCATTCCATTCGAGCCCTTTCCATTCCATTTGAGTCCATTCCATTCCATTCCATTGCATTTGAAACAATTGAATTAAATTCGAGTCCATTCCATTGCATTCCATTCGAGTCCATTCCATTCCATTCAATTCCATTCGAGTCAATTCCATTCCGTTCCATTCTTGTCCATTCCATTGCATTTCATTCCATTCGATTCCTTTCTTTCCATTCCATTCGAGTACATTTTATTGTATTCCATTCCATTCCATTCCATTCCATTCGTGTCCATTCCATTCCATTGCATTCGAGTCCATTCCATTGCATTCCATTCCATTCTTTTCGTGTCCATTCAATTCCATTCCATTGCATTCGTGTCCATTCCATTCGAGTCCATTCCATTGCATTCCATTTCATTCGAGTCCATTCCATTCTATTCCATTCGAGTCCATTCCTATTCCATTCCATTACACTCCATTCCATTAAATTCCACTGAATTCCATTCTAGTCCATTCTATTCCATTGCATTTCATTCGTGTCCATTCCATTTCACTCGAGTCCATTCCATTAGATTCCTTTCTTTTCCATTCAAGTCCATTCCATTCCATTCCATTCCATTCCAGTCCATTCCATTCCATTCCATTCCATTCCATTAGTGTCCATTCCTTTCCATTGCATTCGATTCGATTACATTCCCTTTCATCACATTCAATTCCATTCCGTTCCATTGCATTCGAGTCCATTCCATTCCTTTTGAGTCCATTTCTTTCCATTACATTCCATTAGAGTCCATTTCATTGCATTCCATTTCATTTGCGTCCATTCTTTCCTATTCTATTCGAGTCAATTCCTTTCCATTCCATTTGATTCCTTTCCATTCCATTACATTACATTCCACTCGACTCAATTTCATTCCATTCTGTTCCTTTCATGTCCATTCCATTCCATTCCATTCCACTTGTGTCGATTCCATACCATTCAATTCCACTCGAACTCTTAACCTTCCATTTGATCCTATTCCATTCCAATCAAGTGCATTCCATTCCATTCCATCACTTTCCATTCCATTGCATTCCATTCCATTCCATTCCTTTCGAGTCCATTCAATTCCTTTCCTTTCCGTTCGAGTCCATTCCATTCAATTCCATTCTCTTCCATTCCATTCCATTCCATTCAGTTCAATTCGGTTCCATTCCATTCCATTCCATTCCGTTCCATTCCATTGCATTCGTGTCCAATCCATTTGATTCCATTACATTACAGTCGTGTCCTTTCCATTCCATTCCATTCGAGTCTGTGCCATTCCATTCCATTCAAGTCCATTCCTTTCTATTCCATTCTATTCCATTCGAGCCCATTCTACTACATTCGAGTCTGTTCCATTCCATTCCATTGTACTACATTAGATTCCATTCCATTCCATTCCATTCAAGTCCATTCCATTCCATTCCATTCGTTTCGAATCTATAACTTTCCATTCCTTTTGAGTCCAATCCATCCCATTAAATTCTATTCCATTCAAGCGCATTTAATTTCATTCCATTGCATTCCAGTCCATTTCATTCCATTTGATTCCATTCAATTCCATTCGGGTCCATTCCATTCCATTCGAATCCATTCCTTTCCTTTCCATTCCTTTCAAGTCGATTCCTTTCCATTCCATTCCACTCGAGTCCATTCCATTCCATTCTATTCCATTCCACTTCATTCGAGTCCATTCCATTCCATTCCATACCATTCCATTCCATTCCATACCATTCCATTCCATTCCATTCCATTCCATTCGAGTCCATTCCATTTCATTCCATTCCTTTCAGTTCCATTCAATTCCATTACTTTACATTCCTTTCAAAACCATAACATTCCATTCCATTTGAGTCCAATCTATTCCTTTCCATTCCATTCCCTTCCATGCGTGTACATTCCATTCCATTCCATTCCAATCCATTCCATTCCATTCCATTCCGGTCCATTCCTTTTCATTCTATTCGATTCCATTCCATTGGATCCATTCCATTACATTTTTGTCCATTCCTTTCCATTCCATTTCATTCGAGTCCATTCCTTTCTATTCCATTCCATTCGAGTCCATTCCATTCTATTATATTACATTTGACTGTAGTCTTTTCCATTACATTCAATTCCATTCGAGTCCAGTCCATTTTGTTTGGGTAAATTCCATTCCATTCCATTCGAGTCCACTCCATTCCATTCCATTCGAGTCCATTCCATTCTGTTCCATTCCATTCGAGTCCATTTCATTCCATTACATTCCATTCCATTAGAGTCCATTCCATACCATTACATTCCATTCTATTTGAGTCCATTCAATTCCATTCCATTCTATTAGATTCCATTCCACTCCATTCCATTTGAGTCCATTCCATTCCATTCCATTCCACTCCATTACATTCGAGTCCATTCCATTCCATTCCATTCCATTGCATTACAGTCCATTCAAGTCCAATCCTTCCTATTTCTTTCGAGTCAATTCCTTTCATTTCCATTTGAGTCCATTCCATTCCATTACATTCCATTCCACTCAAGTTGATTTCATTCCATTCCATTCCATTCGAGTCCATTCAATTCCTTTCCATTAGAGTCCATTCCATTCCGTTCCTTCCATTCCACTCGATTCAATTCCGTACTATTCCATTCCATTCGAGTTCTTTCCCTTCCATTGGAGCCCATTCCATTCCATTCCATTCTGTTCCTTTCCATTCCGTTCCATTCTAGTCCATTCCATTCCTTTCCTTTCCATTCTTATTCTTCCACTCCATTCCATTCATTTCGATCCCATTCAATTCAATTCCATTCCGTTCTAGTCCATTCCATTCCATTCTATTCCATTCCCTTCCATTCCATTACATTGCATCCCACTTGATTCGGGTCCATTCCATTCCATTCCTTTCGAGTCCATTCCATTCAATTACATTCCATTTGAATCCAGTCCATTCCATTCCATTACTTTCAAGTCCATTCAATTTGATTCCATTACAATACATTCGGGTTTATTCCGTTCCAATCTAGTCCATGCCTTTCCATTGAAGTCCATTCCTTTCCATTGCATTCTATTCCATTCGAGTCCATTCCTTTCCATTCCATTCCATTCGAGTCCATTCCATTCCATTCCATTCCATTGGAGTACATTCCATTCCATTCCATGCCATGCCATTCCATTTCATTCCTTTCCATTCTATTCCATTCCAGTACATTCCATTGCACTAGAGTTGTTTCCTTTCAATTCCATTCCATTCGAGTCCATTCCATTGTATTCGAGTCCATTCCACTGCATTCCATTCGAGTCCGTTCCAATCCAATCCATTTCTTTTGATTCCATTCCATTCTATTTCATTCCATTCCATTCCCTTCCATTCCATTCCATCCCATTCCATTCCGTTCCATTCTATTCCATTCCATTCCATTCGAGTCTATTCCATTCCATTGCATTCGAGTCCATTCCATTCCATTTCATTCCATTCGATGCGAATCCATTCAATTCCATTCCATTGCATTCGAGTCCATTCCATTCCATTCGATGCGAATCCATTCAATTCCATTCCATTCCATTCGAGTCCATTTCATTCCATTCCATTCTATTCGTGTCCATTACTTTCTGCTCCATTCGATTCAATTCCATTCCATGCCTTTGGAGTGCATTCCATTCCATGCCCTTCAATTCCACTCTAGTTGATTCCATTCCATTCGTTTCCATGGGAGTCCATTCCATTCGAGTCCATTGACTCCATTCAATTCGACTCCATTCTTTCCATTCCATTCCTTTCGAGTCCATTCAATTCCATTCCATTCCATTGTACTCCGATCCATTCCACACTAATCCACTCCATTCAATTCTATTCCATTCCATTCCATTCCTTTCCATTCCATTTCATTCCATTCCATTCCCTTCCATTCCGTTCCCTTCACTTCCCTTCCCTTCCCTTCCATTCCATTCTATTCCATTCTATTCCAATCTGTTTGAGTCATTTTCATTCCGTTCCTTTCCATTCCATTTGAGTCCATTTCATTCCATTTCTTTCCATTCAATTCGAGTCCCTTCCATTCCATTCCATTCCCTTCTCTTCTCTTCCATTCCATTCCAATCCGTTCGAGTCCATTTCATTCCGTTCCATTCCATTCCATTCCATTCCATTCCATTCCATTCCATTCCATTCAATTTGAGTCCATTTCATTCCATTAGTTTCCATTCAATTCGAGTCCATTTCATTCCATTACATTACATACCTTTCGAGTCCATTCCGTTCTAGTCCATTCCAGTCCATTCTTCTTCATTAAATTCCATTCCATTCCATTATATTCGAGTCCATTACATTGCATTCTATTCAATACCTTTCCATTCCATTCCATTCGAGTCCATTCCATTCCATTCGAGTCCATTCCATTCCATTCTATTCTATTTCATTCTAGTACATTCCATTCCATTCCATTCCATTCGAGTCTAATCCATTCCATTCCATTCTATTCCATTTCATTCGAGTACATTCCAGTCCATTCCATTCTATTTCATTCAAGTCCATTCCATTCCATTCCATTCTATTCCATTCAATACCAGTCCATTCCATTCCATTGCATTCGTGTCCATTGCATTAAATTCCTTTCGAGTCCATTCCATTCCATTCTATTCCATTCGACTCCCCTCCATTCCATTAGACTCCATTCCAATAGACACCAAACCATTAAATGGCATTCAATTCCATTCGAGTCTCTTCCATTCCATTCCATTCCAATCGAGTCCATTCCAAACCATTCCACTCCATTCCAATCCATTCTATTCCATTCTATTCCATTCAAGATCATTCCATTCCATTACATTCCAATCCATTCCCTTCCATTCAATTCCAATCTGGTCTACTACATTCCTTTGAATTCGAGTCCATTCCACTCACTGCGAGTCCATTTCACTCCGTTCCATTCGAGTCCATTCCATTCAATTCCAGTCATTCAATCCATTCCAATCCTTTCCGTTACTTTCGAGTCCATTCCATTCCATTAAATACCTTTCAATTCCATTCATTCCATTCGAATCTTTTCCATTCTATTGAACTCCATTCGGGGAAATTCCATTCCTTTACACTCGATTTCATTCCATTGCATTTAATTTCATTCGAGTCCATTTCATTCCATTCCATTCAACTTGAGTCGATTCCATTCCATTCCATTCCACTCGAGTCCATTCCATTCATTTCCATTCCATTCGAGTCCATTCCATTCCATTCAATTCCATTGCATTCCATTCCACTCAAGCCGTTCCCATTCCATTCCATTCCATTCCATTTGAGTTCATTCCATTCCATTCCGTTGCATTCAAATAAATTCCAATCCATTCCATTCCATTCGGGTTCATTCCATTCCATTCCGTTGCTTTCGAATCCATTCCATTCTATTCCATTCATGTCCATTCCATTCCATTCCATTCGAGTCCATTCCATTCCATTCGAGTAATTTCCATTTCATTCCATTCCATTCCATTCCTTTCCATTCCGTTCCATTTGTGTCCATTCCATTCCATTCAATTCGGGTCCATTCCATTCCATTCATGTCCATTCCATTCCATTTCATTCCATTCGAGTCCATTCCATTCGAGTAATTTCCATTTCATTCCATTCCATTCCATTCCTTTCCATTCCATTCCATTCGTGTCCATTCCATTCCATTCAATTCGGGTCCATTCCATTCCATTCCAGGCCATTCATGTCCCTTCCATTCCATTCGAGTCCATTCCATTCCATTCCATTCCATTCAAATTTATTAAATTGCATTCCATTTCATTCGAGTCCATTTGATTCCACTCCATTCCACTTGAGTCGATTTCATTCCACTCCATTCCATTAGAGTCCATTCCATTCAATTCTATTCGAGAACATTCCATTCGAGTCCATTCCTTTCCATTCTTTTCCATGTTAGTCTTTTGCACTCCATTCCATTAGAGTCCATTCCATTCCTTTCCATTCCATTTGAGTCCATTTCTTTCCATTCCATTCCGTTCCATTCGTGATCATTCCATTCCATTCCATTCTACTCCATTCCTTTCCTTTCCATTCCATTGAAGTCCATTCCATTCCACTGGAGTCAATTCCATTTGACTCAATTCCATTCCATTCCATTTCATTCCATTAAAGATTATTCCAACTCTTTCAATTTGAGTCCATTCAAGTCCACTCAATTCCAATCGAGTCCATTCTATTACAATCCATTCGAGTCCATTCCAATGCATTCAATTCCATTCGTGTCCAGTCCATTCCATTCGAGTCCATTCCATTCCATTCAATTAGAGTCAATTCTATTCCATTCCATTCCATTTGAGTACATTCAATTCCATTCCATTCCACTCGAATCCATTCCATTCCATTCCATTCGAGTCCATTCCATTCCATTCCATTCCATTTGAGTACATTCAATTCCATTTCTTTCCACTGAAATCCATTACATTCCATTCCAGTCCAGTCCATTCGATTTGAGTACATTCAATTCCATTCCTTTCCACTCAAATCCATTCCATCCCATTTCATTCTATTCGATTCCATTCCATTCCATTCGTGTCCATTTCATTCCATTCGACTACATTCCATTACATTACATTCGAGTCCATTCCACTCCATTCCATTCTATTCCATTTACGTCCATTCCATTCCATTCGAGTCCATTCCATTTCATTCCACTCCATTCCATTCCGTTCCATTCCATGCCATTCGTTTCCCTTCCATTCCATTCAAGTCCTTTTCATTCCATTCAAATCCATTCGAGTCCATTCAATTGCATTCCATTTCATTCGAGTCCATTCCATTTCACTCCATTCCACTCGAGTCAATTCCACTACACTCCATTCCATTCTAGTCCATTCCATTCCATTCGTGTCCATTCCATTCCATTCTATTCAAGTTCATTCCATTCGAGTCCATTCCTTTCCATTCAATTCGAGTCCATGTCCTTTCCTTTCTTTTCCATTTCAGTCTTTTCATTCCATTCCATATGTGTCCATTCCATTCCTTTCCATTCCATTTGAGTCCATTTCTTTCCATTTCATTCCATTCCTTTTGTGATAATTCCATTCCATTCCATTCTAGTCCATTCCTTTCCTTTCCATTCCATTCAAATCCATTCTAGTCCATGCCTTTCCTTTCCATTCCATTCAATTCCATTCCATTCCACTCGAGTCAATTCCATTCAAGTCAATTCCATTCCATTCCATTTGAGTCCATTCCATTCCAATCCATTCCTTTCCATTCCTTTCCATTCAATTCCATTGGAGTGAATTCCATTCCATTTCATTTGAGTCCATTCTATTGCATTCCATTCTATTCCTTTCGAGACCATTCAATTCCACTGCATTCCATTCGAGGCCATTCCATTTCATTCCATTGCAGTCCTTTCCATTGCATTCCATTAAATTCAAGTCCACTCCTTTCTATTCCATTCGAGTCCATTCTTTGCATTCCATGAGATTCCTTTCGATTAGAGTCCGTTCCATTAAATTCCATTCCATTCCATTCGAGACCATTCCATTCCATTTAAGGGAACTGCTAGGGTTTAGATATTTGACCACTCCAAACTCATGTTGAAATGTGATCCCCATTGTTGGAGGGGGGGCCTAATGGGAGGTGTTTTGGTCCTGAGTGTGGACCTCTCACGAATGTCTTGGTGCCATCCAAGTGAGTTCTTGCTGGCTCTTTTTTTTCTTTTTGAGATGTAGTTTCACTCTTGCTGCCCAGGTTGGAGTGTAGTGGTGCGATCTTGGCTCACTGCAACCTCCACCTCACGGGTTCAACCCATTCTCCTGTGTCAGCCTCCAGAGTAGCTGGGATTACAGGTGCCCACCACTATGCCCAGCTAATTTTTGGTATTTTTAGTAGAGACGGGGTTTCACCATGTTGGCCAGGCTGGTCTCAAACTCCTGACCTCAGGTGATCCGCCTGCCTCGGCCTCCCAAAGTGCTGGGATTACAGGCATGAGCCACCGTGCCCACCTAGTTCTAGCTCTCTTAATTCCCACAAGAGCTGGTTGTTAACAAGAGCCTGGCACAAAACCCTCTCTCTCGCCATGTGATCTCTGCACATGCCAGCTTCCCTTCCCCTTCTGCCATGAGTGGAAACAGCCTAAAGCCCTCACCAGAAGCAAATGGTGGCACCATGCTTCTTGCACGCCTTCAGAACTGTGAACCAAATAAACCTCTCTTCTTTAAAATTACTCAGCCTCTGGTATTCCTTTATAACAACATACACACACACACACACACACACACAAGCAAAAGCAGACTAAAACAGGAACTAATTAGAAATGGTGATGCACCGAGGGATTGGCACCGAGGCTCCCCAACAGGAACTGAGGCCATGGATAGAAGGACACATTCATGTTATTTTTTTCTAATGGTTAAGTAATTATTTGCTCTTACTCTCAAAATTTCTGCCAAGGCCTCCCATGGACCAAACTCAACTAGAATCTAGGAAGCAGATAACCTGAGTGTTGCATTCAGCAGAAGTCAGCTTCCTAGGGAATCTTGCAGGAAGGGTGAAGGTAGAGAATCTTGTGGGGAAGCAAGCAAATGCCCATCACATGCACTTTCCTCCAACAGAACGACTCAGATGCTATAAAACTTGCTAACTCAGTCTCAGGGTCTGATCACAGTAACATACAATCCAGGTTTTAATCATCAGAAATCACAGTCCTATTGTCTTCTGCACAGACCCAAACACACTTGGAGGTCATGTTCAATATGAATACCTCACAGAGAAGGAAATTTACACACGAGAAGTACATCTGCAGAAAGCCAGCTGGCATGTCAACCATTCAAAAACTCAGGGTGTTCGGGATAAAGAAGACTCAGGAAGACAAGTATGAAGCATAATCTGTGACATTCCATGCGGCAGACGTTAGACACATACAAGAGAGTTGTTGGAAAGCGGAATTTATCTTCATATAAACAACACTGAGCTAAATCTCAATATTTCAGATCTCTAGAACTATCCATCAGTGAAATGGATTGCAAATAGAAAGAGTAATACCATGTCACTTAAGAATACAATCATGGACAAGGCTGCCACCTGCTGTTGGGGGCCACTGCAGAATAAATTCCAGAACACTGGACTGGAGAGCACCACACTTTCCTTACTGCTCTAAGTTTCTGACTCAGTGACCTGATTCAGTACCATATACACAAAGACCCACTTACACAAATGACTGTTCTTCACACTAGGCCCATGGAGACAGGGATAAAATTCTGAATTTGCTCAGATACCTTCTCCGCTACTGACATCTAGGCATTACACAATTCATTTCTTCATACTTAACCTTTGAAGTTTGCTACTTCTCAGAGAGACTAATGAGTAGTGAGCAAATATCCTGAAGCTGAGAATGCTTCTACCTCCTCTCAAAACAACAGAATATTCATCAAAACACAGCAGTTCTGCACTTAACTTTAGGCCTTTTCTAACACCTCGTTTCTTGGCAGTAACTGTGGCCAGAATAGCTCTTTCCACAGAGAAAGGACCTTTTGAAAGGATAGGGTCTCTAGATAGAAAAGCAAATGCCTCATTCCAGAAGGTCTTCAAGAAGAAAATGTTGTGGTGATAACAAACATAACTGATTATAATCTATTCTGTGAAAAAAGCTTATGAAACAGTAGATGTGTGTATCTAGTACATAAGAGCTGAATGTCAATATATATATATATATATAGATATATACACACACTCAAATAAATAATAGTTATCTCTAACTAGAGAAATTCTAGTTGCCTTATATTTTCTTCTTTTTCCTTACTATATTTTCTACAATAAACATGTGTTTTTAACAAGAAAAGTCTTTTCTGGTGTGCTTTTTAATTTTCTTTGTTTAAGTGAGAGTGAGACTACATAACTACATGGCTAGGTAGACTTTTAGAAAACTTGGCTGCTCTAGAAAATTGACATATCCTGATTTCTTCCATAGCTTGGATCTTGACCTAGAGGGAAATATAAAAATGTTGACTTGAACCTGAGGGGCGCCATTTTCACTGCTGAAGTAGTTTCATGGATCATGAATTGGAGAAATGACTTCAGCAACACGGATGTTAAAAACAGAAAGCACAATTGACCCACAACAGATGATGGAGAACAAAGAGCAAGCTGGGAAAAGCAGTGGCCTTTAATACAGAAAAGAAGAAGTATAGCCACAATAAATATTAGGCAGACAGCAGTTCAGCAGTTTATACTATTAAGCTGTTGTTTAGGGGAATGGTAAACCGACATGACCCTTGAGGTAGGTATATATAGGTAAATTCTATGTGTCCCTTGAAATAGGTGTATGACACAACTTCTGGCATCTACATGGATTTGGTCACTCTAAAGTAGCCATGAGGCTTAAGATAGTTCAGCTGTTTGGGGATAAGCTAAATCATTTGCAGTTGTCTTTCTGCAATTTGCATATCCTACAGCTATCATTGTCATTACTGAATGGCACAGAGAAAAATTCTGGTCTAAAGTGGTTCTCAAACCTGGTTGCTGGAGGGCCACCCTCAGTGATGATGATTTAATCTGTAGAAGAGTAGAACATTGATAGTTTTTATATATCTCCAGGTAATTTTAATATATAACTGGGGTGAGAATCATTGACCTAATTGTAAGAGGATAATATTCAAGAAATGTGGAGATAAATAATTTTCTTCTTGACATTAAAAAAATCTAATAAAAAGTTTTATCTTTTGCCCTAACTCAGGGTCATCAGCCTTCAAACTTCAGTTTCTGTGTGTTCACAGGTGCTGCAAACACATGCATCACTACTAATATCCCACTTCAGTGCTATTGCTGCTCCCAAAACTCCAGGTATTTTTAACCTTATAAACCTCCAGAATAATGAGACCACTGGGTTCAGTAAATTGCTTTGTTTTGAAGCAGTGTTAGACAAAGTGGGAGACTAGAAGATAAATCTGTCAATGACATGTCCTTTAAGACTACTTAGATTTAGTTGAATTTGTGGATCATTCCTTACTTGAGCAAATGGTAAATTAACTCTCTCTTTTCTCTCTCTCTCTAGCTGGCACACTTTTTCCAGTAGCCATTCTACTTGGTATGCTTACTTATCAGCTGTCCTCCAGGGGCCTCACATTAGATGCTTCTCTTGACTAACCAAACATGACACACAGCTGAAGTCAGAAAAACCAGATTGATAATTTCACTCAAAGTATTTTCCTTCATTCTAACAATTTACGGGAGTACACAATTATGACTATTTTTAGCCATAGGAACTCATAGAAAGACCAACTTCATTAGACCCACAAAATCAAATTGTGTAACAGTATATGTAGTATGTGTAGGAATAAAAAGTATTTCTCAAATATGCAGTACTGGATTTTGCAAAAGCACCTTACACTTAGCTATAAAGGAGTGGAAAACACAAAGATGAGTAACTGCACCTTTCAAAAGACTAGAGCTATACCAATAATACAAATGTGTAAACAAATAATGATGAGATGACAAAGGCTGAGTGTTTTCTATTTGGAAGCTATGTTGTTGAATTATTTATGTACATAATTTCGTGCAATCTTCATGTTATAGGGGTGTTCTAATCCACTGTGACTCTGTCCTTAAATAAAAGGGAGATTTGGACATAGAGACAGGCACACGGGGAGGATGCCATATGAGAATTGACACTGTGCTGTCACAAGCCAAGGAACTACTGGAAGGAGAGAAAGAGGACTGGAACAGTTCATTCTTTAGCATCTTTTCAGGCAGCCCAGCCCTGCCAGCTTCTTGATCTGGACTTCTCACCTCTAGAATTGTGAGGCAATAAATTTCTGTTGCTTAAGTTACCCAGTTTGTGGTACTTTATTACAGGAGCCCTAGGAAAATAATTCATTATATAATCTGCTAAGGTAGATATGATCATTGTCTCCAATTTCCATATGAAGAAACTATGCCTCAGGCATTGTGTCAATTGTCCAAAATCATACATTCCTGACTCACTTCAACGAATTCTTCATTCAGCAAAATTTTTAAGGTACCTTAAAAAATTATGTTAACTCTTAGGTCCTTGCTTTAAAGCTTTAATGGGCTTTTCCTTTGCAAAGAATAAAATCCTAATACTTAAGCATAGCTCTCTTTCCTGGCTATGTTTCTGACATCCTCTTGTACCATCCTCCTCCTTAATCATTCTGGGGTTACATCTTAAGTCTTTTCCCCTTGCCATTCCCACTTCTTGGAATACTTTCCCATCAACTCTTCAAAGAACTGGCTTCTTTAAGTATTTGGTCTCAGTTCAAATGTCACTTCCCTGTAAAAGCTTCCTGGCCATCAAGCCTTCTTTACACACTCTATTTTATTTTTTCATGGTTCCTATAACAACCTAATATATTCTCAATTGATTAACTGTTTTGCTGACTACTGCCTTCCATAAGAATGGAAAGAAAATGTGGCCAGGTGCAGCGGCTCACACCTGTAATCCCACCACTTCAGGAGGCTGAGGCAACATGGCAAAACCTTCTCTTCAAAAAATTTTTTAAAAGTTAGCTGGATGTTGTGGAGGCAAGAGGATCACTTGAGGAACACTTGAGTCCATGAGTTCAAGGCTGCAGTGAGTCATGTTTGCACCACTGCACTCTAGCCTAGGTGACAGAGCTAGTCCCTATCAAAAAAAAAAAAAAAGAATGGAGAGAATGCTACATGAGAGAAAGGATCTTATTTATCATGTTCACCTCCCAAGAGGTGAACATATCCCCCAAAGCCTGATAGAGAGAAGATGCTCATTAATATTTAATGCATGACCATGTGCAGACTTGGGAGGAAAAATATGCCTCAGCCTATCAAAATTGGATCCTTAATAAACAAGGATGCTTCTCCATCATTTCCCCACAATACCAAACAAATGTGGCTCACTGTGGATGTTTAAGCAAATGCATTGTTTTTCCAGTTATATATCTGGTAGAGATGAGGTCATTGATAGGAATGGGAAGACGATCTCCTTTTATTTTGATGACCCAGCATGGCTGAACACTCAGTGACTACCACTGCACTTTGTTGTACTTTCAGCATTAGAGATGCCAGCCCTGTAGGATATAAAACAGGGACATCTAGTCCTCAATTATATTCAGAATTACTCAAGTCTTAGAAGCACCACTTGTCTTTTTTCAAGGGAGAGAAATGCTCAAGTGATGGGCTGAAGTGAAGGGAGGGAGTCACTCACTTAAACGGTTCCCTTAGGCTGTGTGGATGCAAACAGCATTAGACAATGACGCTGACAGTGGGAAATGCACTGGAGATGATGATTGGCAAAGCCCTCCTTTTCTCCCCATCCACTTTAGATACTGACAGCAAAGGGTTTGTCACAATGACAACTATACACTCCCAATATCACAGAAGAAGGAGGAATAAAAGGGTATATTATGAGTGACTGAAGTTTAGAATAAATCAATAAATATTATGTCCCTCATCCATAGAAACCACAAAGGTCTAGTAATGTTAAGGATATAACAAGAAAATAATATGAATATTTGCTTCCCCTTCCTAGTGTAATAGAGTAAGTTACAAATGGCTTCAGGAAGGGGAAAGAGGAAGAAGAGTGGATGAGATACGTAAGAGTGCCTGAGGGCTAATTTTATGAAAGCTTTGGGAAGTTTTAAGAAAAAGAAAAGCTATTTTTCAAGGTACATGTGTGTATGCGTGTGTGTGTGTGTGTGTGTGTGTGTGTGTGTGTGTGAAAGACAGAAGAAAGAGGGAGACCTAGGAAGACTATGAGACACTAAGAGAAAAATTAAGGTAAAAAAGACACACACTTAGAAAAACACACATAGGGAGGAGGGAGGAGGTTAAGACATTTTACTATGTGCTGTGAATGGAAACTACAAACCATTTTTCATATATGCAATATATATACATATATACACACATATACATATGTATTTAAAGATTTAAATTACATTTTCTCTTTTTTTAGAGATGTGGTTTCACTATGTCACTCTGCCCAGGCTGCAGTACAGTGGTTGTTCACCGTCATGATCATAGCACATTATAGCCTTGAACTCCTGGGCTCAAGCAATCCTCCTGTATTAGTCTCCCCAGTAGTTGGGATTACTAGCATATGCCACCATGTCCACCCTTATGGATTTTAAAGTGAAAAACCATACTAAGAATGAGGCACCTCAACTTAATAATAAAAACATTTCGAATGTAAAGAAATTTACAAAAGAAAAACAATCAATCCCATTAAAATTGGGCAAAGGGAATGAACAGACACTTTTCAAAAGAATACATGCATGCAGCCAACAAACATACAAAAAAAAATTCAACACCACTGATCATTAGAGAAATGCAAATCAAAACCATAATGAGATACCATCTCACACCAGTCAGAATGGCTATCATTAAAAAGTCAAAAAATAACAGATGCTAGTGAGGCTATGGAGAAAAGGGAATGCTTATACACTGTTGGTGGGTGTGCAAATCAGTTCAATCATTGTGCAAAGAATAGTGATTCCTCAAAGAGCTAAAAGCAGAGCTACCATTCGACCCAGTAATCCCACTACTGGGTATATACCCAGATGAATATAAACCATTCTACCATAAAGACACATGCATACAAATGTTCATTGCAGCACTGTTCACAATAGCAAAAGTATAGGATCAACCTAAATGCCCATCAATGACAGATTGGATAAAGAAAATGTGGTACATATACACCATGGAATACTATGCCGCCATTAAAAAATGATATCATGTCTTTTGCTGGAATATGGATGGACCTTCTATTATCCTTAGCAAACTAATGCAGGAACAGAAAACCAAATACAGCATACTCTCAGTTATAAGTGGGAGGTAAATGATGAGAACTAATGAACACAAAGAATAAAACAGACACTGGGGTCTACTTGAGGGTGGAGGGTGAGAAAAGGAAGAGAAGCAGAAAAGATAACTATTGGGTACTAGGTTTAATACCTGGGTGATGAAATAATCTGTACAATAACCCCCTGTGACACCAGTTTACCTATGTAACAAATGCCCCTAAACTTAAAATAAAAGTTAAAAAAAAAAGAAAATTAAAATCATCTTATCATCTACCTGGTAATATGAAAAACACATATCTTTCATTCATTCCTTTCAACTGATGAGGAAACTGAGGCATCGGGAGTTAGTAAAAGTCCACATTGAGATATGAAACCCACCACTGGCTGGAGGCAGTGGCTCACACCTGTAATCCCAGCACTTTGGGAGGCCGATGCTGGTGGATCACCTAAGGTCAGGAGTTCGGGACCAGGCTGGCCAACATGGTGAAACCCCCATCTCTACTAAAAATACAAAAATTAGCTGAGTGTGGTGGCAGGCACCTGTAATACCAGCTACTAGGGAGGCTGAGGCAGGAGAATCACTTGAACCCAGGAGGTGGAGTTTACAGTGAGCCAAAATCACGCCATTGCACTCCAGCCTGGGCAACAAGAGCAAGACTCTGTCGGGGAAAAAAAAAAAAAAAAACCACCACCATCATTTTGCAAGTGTTACCACTATTGTGTGTTAATATTGTAGAGGTATTCCTAATTATGATTTCTTTGTATTCCTAATTGTAAAAGCTTTGTATTTGAAAAATTATTGATTCATACTCTATATGTTATTATTTTGTATGCGATGACAACAGAATATATTATCATGCTCCTTTTGTGAATCTCATTCATAATATAAAGTATAAATTTGTGATTTTGCTTTAATTTGAAATATTAATTTCAAATATGTTATCACAATTTGATACAAACTATTGACAATAAATCTGTGGATTAAGTAATGTCTTAGTAGGTATTGGGAAAATTTGAAACTAGTAACATGGAGGACTATTGTCATTGTTTATTTCAAAGCCAGTTAAAATTCTGCAAAGCAGTGTAAATAAAAATAATTTCAAGAAATTTATAAAATACCGAGATTATGGTGTAAAAACAATCTCTAGATTCTTTGTTTAAGAAATTCTGCCAGTTTGTAATATATGCTTCATTCAAAGTAGCTAAGGGCTGTACCTGGCTAATGGTAGGCACCTAATATTTGTTGAAAAAGAATACAGAGTAGCTGGGACCTCCTGAGTAGCTGGGACAACACACATTTAACCTGTATTTATAAAATTACTGTTTAGAGAAAAACATTTGATGGAATCATGCTTTTACTTTCTGCTTATGACTCAATTGTTTGTACTGACATTAACATCCCAAATCCTTAGCATGGCCTACAAGGCCCTGAGCAATGTGGCACCTGCTGAAGCCTGCTGCCTCATTTAATAACTTTTTGTCTCCTTCCCAGATCCAGCCACTCTAACATTTTTTAATTCCTGGACCAAGACAAGCTCTTCCCAGAACCTGACCTTTGTACCTGTTCTTTATTCCTGGAGTATTTTTCCCCTGACAAATTACTTATCATCTATCATAATTCAGGTTGAATGGCACTAACTCAGGGAAGGCTTCCCTAACTGCCTCCCTTCTCCAACCAAATTAGGAACAATTATATGGCCACATAGTATCGAATCAAGTTTATAATTTTAAAATAATTGGGAGATTTTGTTGTTTAACACTTGTTTTCACTATAAGACTGTAATTACATACAAGTAAGAACCATGCCTGTTTGTTCACTCCTGCCACAGTCAGAATAGTGCCTGGAATATGCAGTAAGGGCTGAACAAACACTAAATAAATGAACAAATGAATAAATGGATATTGTTTCATTTTTAGAACAGAGTACTAAATGGATCATGAACACTATCTGGTATGTCACGTAGGTAATTTACAACGGATACAATTTCAGCTCAGATTTACCTTTTCCTGGATACAGGTCTTGATAGGTCTCTTGATATCATTTCACTTCAGATTCTTCTTTAGAAAACTTGGACAATAGCATTTGCTGTCTTGTCCAAATTGTTACTAAGAATCAAGAGAGATATCTGACATGAAATGACATTGGAAAACATTAAACACGATTGAAATAATGCTAGCCAATATGGTTATTATTAGAAACCAATTACATTTTCAACTTAAAAATAGTAATACTTATTGCAGACTCAAATGTGCTTATTCTAAAACAAGTAAATGTTTGCCTATGGTCTGAGATTCTACTCCACGGAGTTCATTCTAATCCACATTCAACACTATCATGTACCAGTAGGCCTCATAACCCACCTAGCCCTGTGATTTTTCAGGTTCACTCTTCTAAACTTGTGAATTAAATATTTATTTTCTTCGTTCAGAAGAGGGAAAAAACTCTTGTAATTGTTGCCCATTTCAGGAGAAATCTTGCATATGAAAACAAGAGATAAATATACACAACTGAGGGCTGTGGTTTAAACAAAATCTTGAGAATGTTTTTTGACCTTATACATTTGTGCTTTAGTATAACAAAATGATATAGACAAAGGTAACTTTTAATAGAACCAGTCACTAAATTAAAAAAAATGAAAAATTCTTCTGCTTAGCTAAGCAACAGAGAAGGTAAAATACTAATTCAATTCATCAATTTAAGCAATACTCATTAAGAGCCAAGTATGTGCTTACTGAATAAGCTGCTAAGGTTTGGTGGTTACAGAGTGTGCGGTGAAATGATATCTACATCACAGTCCAACATTCACAGAGTTTAGAAGCCTACCAAGAATCAAGACAGACACAAATACCTAACATAGACATTTGTATGTGATAAGAGAGCCAGAGTACAATTTAGGAGAAGAAATTGTATGGAAGGAAGGTTTACTTCCATTAGACCAGAAAAGACGGCACATTTGAAGGCCTGAATAAGAAATATTCTGGATAAGATATTGTGGCTGCTACCAGAATGGCTCTTGATGATCTCTACCTCTTGGTATTTATACCCTTATATAAGTATAAGCTGGTCCTATAGTATAAGCTGGTCCCAGGTACTTGTTTCTATTGAATAGAATAGAACAAAAGTAATGAGATGCCACTTCTGAGATTAGATTATAAGATACTGTGAATTTCATCTTGTGCCCTCTCCCTCTCTCTCTTTCTCTTGCCCTCTCATTTGAATGAAGCCAACTGGCATGCTGTCAGTGGCCCAGTGTAAGTCCTGTTAGAAGAAATTGATGATTGCTTGTAGCCAACCCTAAGTGAAGAACTGAGGTCCTCAGTCCTACAAATGGAGAGAAACTGAATCTAGCTAAGAACCATGTGAGTGAGCTGGGAAGAAGATCCACCCTCAGTCAAAATTTAAGATGACCATAGCATCAGCAGACATATTGAGACACATTGAAAGTAAGAGAGCAGGAGGAAACAAAACCAGGGTCATACAAAGAACACAACTGATTTTGAGATTCTCACTTAAGTATTACACCTTCAGTGAGCACGTGTACTAGAAATTAAAAAAATAAATAAAATAAACTTGAAAAGAGAGCTAGCAAATAAATTTACCTATGGTCTCAGCTCTGAGTGGAGAGAGAAAATGTTCCCTGTAGAGTTTATAGCCAGAATCCAGCTCTCAAACAGGTTTCAGCCTGAACTCACACAATCTGTGTGGCTTCCAAATTTGCAAGCTGAGAATTTAATTCAAAGTGGTCTCAGGTTGATAGCAGTCCAAAATGCCAGGTAGGAAAAAAAATCCTCTCTGGACAAATAAATCATCAAAGCAAGCTCATAAGAGCAGGTTTCAAAGGTCATGAGCTTCTAACACACACACACAAAAATCACACACACAAAATGGGGGCAGCAGCAACATGGGTAGCATATTCAAATTTGAAAAGACTTCAAATATTTGTATTATTAGATGTAGATTATGAAACACATATTTTAATGTGGTTAATTTTTTTAAGGAATCAAAACTATAAGTAAAGACCAAGAAAATTGTGCTGGATGGCCACTTCCACCATGGCTCCCCTCCTATTTAAGTCTGGGTACTGTGTCACCCGAAGTCTTCAGGCACATTGTTCCAGGTTTGGGTTTGCCTATGAAGGAAACTCATGAGAGCTGGAAGTGAGGAGTGAAGAGGAGGTCTTCACATAAAGCAGGCTTAAGGATTAGACACAGCAGGTTTGACAGATGTGATGGCTTGCAGAATTCTTTATGAGCTCCCACTGTCCATCTGGATAAGATTTACAGACCTTTCAGAAATTCCTATAAGCTTGGGTTCTGTGCCCACACTCTAGACTGTCAGACTAAGATCTCTGATATAAAGCAGACCTCTTCTGATTTTGTCTAGCTGCTTTTCTAATATCTATTCACCAAGCTCTTCCAATAATAACATAAGGCCCTAATTAATATTAAACTTTTATCATTATAATACATAGGATGTCTTCTGTTTTCCTGATCAAATTCTGACTATTATTAAAATATAAAGAATTGTCCAGAAATATATAAAAAAAGAATCACACATTGATCTTCTTTAAATGAAAATATAACAATTGTATGGACTAGGATGATTACAGTTGTTCAGTTCTGACTGTTATTTGGAGAAAAAAGCAATAAGAAGCCTCAGCAACTTAACAGAAGGAGCTGCCATTTACTAGGAGAAAAAGATTGTGGATGAGAGTGTAGCAAAGGTCAGAATTCTGTGAAGCTTGAGATGTCAATTATAATGAATTATCTTTTATACTCACTACAATTTCCTAACAATTTTGGGGTTTATGTTTTTGAAAGAGATATACCTTTAATTTTCTTTCTTTGTACTATTGTTAGGTAACTTTAATGTGCAGATTATACTACAGTGAAAGTTGCCAATGACAAGGCAAAGTCACTTACATCAGACCCAAAGCAAAGTGGAGCCGGGTCATGAAAAAGGGGATCTTGTGTGTCCACAATAAGCACTATCACAAGGACTTTCTATAAACTCACATTCTGTTTGTCCAGCTCATCCTGTAGGTGTCTTTATAATAGGACCTATCATAAAAAATTCCTCAAGACTGCAGCATTTCAGATAAGCCACCCTCACAAGAACACTTGCCTAGCAATGGCTGTTTCTGCCAGTAAGTTAACACCAGCTCCTGCATCAGGCCCTGTGACCAATGATGTTTGTTTCAAAACAGCTTGCATAGACTTCTTTTTGTCTTTAAATATTTTCCTTACCTCAACCTCTTGGGATGCACCTATGATTGATCATAGCACAAATATCTCAGATTATAATCCTTGTTTATTTCCAAATAAATGTATTTCTTTGGAGATCCTCTTTTTCTGTTATTATACATTGACATTGTTATCATGAAATTAGTTGGGTGATGTGTCTTATTTTCTTTTCTCCAGAAGAATTTCTGTAACAGTGCAATTAAACGTTCTTTGCATGTTTGCTAGAACTCACCTGTAAAATTGTCTGAGCAACCAAAGCCTGGTTTTTGTGTTTAGTTTTTCTTTTGTGATTGGGGAGGGGGGGTTATTGTACTGATTCAAGGTGTGAAGGTAACATCATTTTGATTTTATACATCTTCTTCAGTCCATTTAAGCATGTTACATAGCGTTGTTTGTTCTTTTCATGATATTCTTTACAGTAGCCTCCTAAATGTTCCCTCTGCTTCTGCCATGAGCCCCTACAATCTATTTCAACTCAGAAGCTATAGAGTTTGTTTAAAACATGTAACATATTATGCCACCTTTCTTACTGTAAAACATCCCATGGTTTCTCATAGTATTTATAGTAAAAGTGAAATCTTTATGATGGCTTGAGAAACTTTTCCCATTAGATGCCCAAATGCTGGTCTGGTCTGATCTTCTCATCTTCCCTTGGGTGATTCTGTGGCAGTCACACTAGCCTCCTTGCTGCTCCACAAAAACTCCAGCATGATCCTACTTCAGGATATTTGCCATTGTTACTGCATCTGCCTGGAACCTTTTCTCCCATATAAACATAGAGATTGCTCTTGCCTGTCCTTCAAGTCTATTCTTAAATGTCCCATTCTCTGTGAAGCTTTCCTGCCCACCCTATTTAAATTACAGACTTCACTCCCAATTCCCCATCTACTTTAAGAGTCTTCATTTATCATTCCTTGACAAACTGTAAATATACATGTTCACTTTTTTATCGTCTGTCTCCAAATACTGGAATGTTAAGTTCTGTAATGTCAGATATTTCTGTTTGGTTCACTGGTGTATTCTTAAGGCATGTTACATACTAGGTATACTCAATGAATATTTGTTGAATAAATATCACATTGGGCTTATTCCAGAAATTCAAGCTTGTTTCAATAGTTAGAGCAATCTACAAATGTAATTCATTACATTAACTAATTAAAGGAGCTAAATCACATCACCACCACAATAATGCAGAAAAACACATTTGATACAACTCAATATTCATGCATGCCTAACAAACATCTCATGATACTAGGAAAAAAGGAAGGGATATATTATTTTCATGTATAAAACACTAACCATTGTAGCATGGCAATATACTCAAAATTCAATGAAATTCCTATCAAAATCTTAGCACTCCTCTTAGTCCTCAACAAAGCATTTCTAAAATGTGTATAGAAGACCAAAGGGCCAAAAGAGTCAACTTCTGAAGAAGTGGAAAAAGAAAGTTGAGGAAATCTTAAAACATGTTATTGAGCTTAAAGTTGCAAAAATAAACTCATGTACCATAATTCATGAGTAGAAAAATAGACTAGTGGAATAACATAAAAATAAAAACAATGCTTACATAAAATGTTGTAACTGATTTGGATGTCATTAGAAATCAGTAAGTAAAGAGATGGACAATGTAATGAAAGATGCTAGGCAAATAATGTGGTAGGGAGTATAATGGCCCTCAAAGATCCCCATGCCTAACCCTGGAACCTGTGAATATGTTACACTGAATGCAATAAAGGCTTATCAGATGTGATTAAGAATGCAAACCAAGATGGAGAGATCTTCCTGGGTTATCCAGATGGGCCCAGTCTAATCACATGAGTTCTTAAAAATGGAGAACCTTTCTTAGCTGAGTCCAGAGAGAGATGTGACAATGAAAGAATGGTCAGAGAAATGTGACATTCCCAGCTTTAAAAAGAGAGAGGAGAGGCAACGAGAAAAGGAATGCTGATGTTCTCTAGAAGATAGAAAAGGCCAGGGTATGGATTCTACCCTAGCCGCCATAAAGAAACATGCCTGTCGACAACTTGATTTTAGTTCACTAAAATTCATGCCTGCTTTCTGACTTGTGTACACTGTAAGATGATAAGTTTGTGTTATTTTAGGTCACTTAGTTTGTAGAAATTTGTTACAGCAGTAATAGAACAAGTGGTTATCCATATGAGGCAAATTAGATTGGATACCTATCTCCAATAGAAATCAATTCAAGGTGAATTCCAGGAAAATACTTAAAACATTTAGATTAAAAATAAATGAGAATTTTTGTTACTTTTGGTAGGTCATAGAACCAAGAAAAACAAACATTAAGGAGGAAAAATGAACATATGACTACATCAAAATATAAAGCTTCTCTATTTGGATGATATCATAAGGTGACAAATCATAAACTGTAATACTTGCAACATATATATGAGTGAATAAATATACATTTAGAATATATATGAACTCCCAAAAATCAACAGGAAAAATAAGACATAGAACAAGCAAAATGCATAAACAAAAGAAGGCAAAACAAAAATAATGACTCATAATTATATGAAAAGAAGCTCATCTTCATAGATGAGCAGATAAATGCAAATTAAAACCACCCTGAGATGCTTTTTACATCCATGAGCCTGATAAAAGTTAGAGTCTAAAAGTAATAATTAACAAAGATGGGAAGTAACAGAAAATCTTGTCCATTACTGGTTAAAGTATAAACTGATACAGCTACTTTATAGAATATTACATTATAGAATAAAGTTGTGAGTATGTATATGCAGTGACTCAGCATCTTCATTGCTAGTATGTACTCAAGAGAAACTTACAGGAGTGGACTAGGAAGTAAATACAAAATGATTACAACATTGTTTGTTATATCAAAAAATAAAAAAGACACCCAATTTTCCAGCAAAAAAAAATAAGTAAAAATAAATCCTGGTGTATTCTAACAATGGAATAATATATAGCCATTAAAATAAATCAACTATTACTGTACATATGAATGTAAGTATCAGCAAAACATATTGTTTAGTGAAAAAGTAAGAAGCTGAAGAAGAATATATACAATATGGTTACACTTATATGAAGTCCAAAAGCTTGCAAAATAAAGAAATGTATTTAGAAATAGATTCACATGTGAGAAAACTAGAAGAAAATTAATGAAAGGATAAAAGGGATAGCAGTAATTCTGAGTAGTTGAGGGGATTTCAATTGGAAAAAAATAGTATCATATTCTTTAAGTCAGGTAGTGGGTATTAGCATTTGTTTTACCATCGTTCTTTATTCTTATAGCTACATTATATATTTTCTATGTATTTAATGTATTTTTTGCATAATTAAATATTATGCAATAAAAATGAGAAAACAAAAAAGTAGAAAATGATAAATAACTTACAATAAAGAAATGGAGAAAAAATTATAATCTAGTTGAGTAATGGTATATTACATAGCTATTTTC
The DNA here is from genome assembly GCF_000001405.40 of Homo sapiens. NCBI lineage: Eukaryota > Metazoa > Chordata > Mammalia > Primates > Hominidae > Homo > Homo sapiens. The sequence goes on along the minus strand of NC_000010.11, from coordinate 38,467,492 downwards.
CTAAGTAGATGTATGTACATGATGTATGCACGATTGTACATAAATGTTCTTAATTATATATAAATATATATGTACATATTTTTAATATAAAACACTAAACAAAGTACACCAAAATATTAGCTCCTATATTAGTGAGATAATGTTTTGTTTTTTTGTATTTTAAGTTTTACATAGTAGGTGTATTTGTCTGTTTTCATACTGCTATAAAGAACTGCCCAAGACTGGGTAATTTATAAAGGAAAGAAGTTTAATTGGCTCACAGTTCAGTACAGCTTGGGAGGCCTCAGGAAATCTACAATCATGGCGGAAGACAAAGGGGAAGCAAGGCAGCTTCTTCGCAAGGAAGCATGAAGAAGTGCCGAGCAAAGGGGAAAGAATCCCTTATAAAACCATCAAATCTCGTGAGAACTCACTATCACAAGAACAGCAAAGGGGATTACCTCCACCTGGTCTCTCCCTTGACATGTGGGGATTATGGGGGCTATGGGGATTACAATTCAAGATGAGATTCAGGTGGGGATACAAAGCCTAACCATATCAGTAGGCATATGTTGAATTTTAAACTCAGAGAAAAATACTAGTGTTTTTATAGGATTCTTACTAAAGAAAAACCAGAAAGTAATAAACCATCTACGCTAAGACATAAAATTCAGTTGTTTAGTTACAAGATAGAATGTGGCCTTGTAAGAAAGCAAATTAACTTCTAACATACAAAGCCTTAGAGAAGATTCAAGTGACTGACGGATCATAAACAGAGCTATTATTACAACTCAAACTGCAGTAAAATATCCTAAGCAACATAGATGTGTGTGTTTCACTAGTCAGAGCAATACAAATTTAATGAAACTCCATTGGTGGTGTTTTTAATCAGACAATTTCTGAAGATGTCCTGGCTTATTCATAGATGCAAGCCAAATCTCTAGAAGAGTACCATAATAAGAAAAAAAAGAATACAGGCAATTGAGAGCTGTTCCAAAGTTTAGGTAGTTTTTGTAAGGAATTAATAAATAAAAATGTTCTTGAAAGAGAAAATTAATATGCAGTTCATACTGCCAGAATTGCAGGCAATTTATCAAAGTCCCCTAATCCTCCAAAATCGCTATTTTTTTGACACACACTTTACAGTACCGAAGAAAATGTCTCCAGCAATAAATCACAAATTTAAAATTACCTAGTCTACAATTAACTAGACAGTGATGGTAAATCATTTTCTACCAAAAGAAAGAAATATATTGTCTATTCAGGTTCTGCTCTACTTAAAAGTTTTCCTTGTTGGCGAGCAAGTGGTTAGAAAATCATATTTTATACGTACATTCAGCTTAACTATCATTCAGCTCAGGAAGATGACTCAGGGCCTTATCCATACCTTCAAGTTTGCTCTTAGCAAGTAATTGTTTCAGTATGTATATCAAAAATGGCTTAAGTCTGCAACATGTTTCTGAATGATTAACAAGGTGATAGTCAGTTCTTCATTGAATCCTGGATGCTTTATTTTTCTTAATAAGAGGAATTCATATGGATCAGCTAGAAAAAAAATTAAGAGGAAAATCACATGGAAAGTTATTATATATAATATATCTATTATATATATATTATATATCTATTATATATATAATATTATATATCTATTTTATATATATTATATATTATATATCTATTATATATATAATATTATATATTATATATCTATTATATATATAATATTATATATTATATATCATTTCCAAATTCCCCAGCATTCATATTTGTCAGTGCAAGTAAAGAGCCTTAGTGCTGATTAGGTTTGAGGTATGACCATTTGGCCAGAATTTATGAACTCTACATGTCGCTTGATGTGTGCTTCAGGGTACACATTTTTTTTTTTTTTTTTGAGACGGAGTCTTGCTCTGTCGCCGAGGCTGGAGTGCAGCGGTGCGATCTCAGCTCACCGCAAGCTCCGTCTCCTGGGTTCACGCCATTCTCCTGCCTCAGCCTCCCGAGTAGCTGGGACTACAGGCGCCCGCCACTATGCCCTGCTAATTTTTTGTATTTTTAGTACAGACGGGGTTTCACCGTGTTAGCCAGGATGGTCTCGATCTCCTGACCTCGTGATCCACCTGCCTCGGCCTCCCAAAGTGCTGGAATTACAGGTGTGAGCCACTACGCCCGGCCAAGGTACACTTTTAAGCAGAGACACTACTTTGAAGGTCATAAAAAATATAATAAGAGATAAGGCTAATTTCCTTTAATAATAATAATAATAAATTCCTTTAATAAAAATATAAAGGAATAATATAATAATTTTCTTTAATAAAATATAATAAGAGATAAGGCTAATTTCCTTTAATAAAACATAGTAACTACATACCAACAGAATTCCAAAAAAAGAAATGGAGAGGAAGGGAGCATGGGTCATTAATCTTGTCAAAAATATAAAATTATATACGAGGAATTCCTAGAAACTGTTTTCCTTGTCTGCGGCCATTGTGCTGCTGCTACACAACTACCGCAAGCAGCCCTTCACGCCCTCCTCCCAGTACAAAGCTAATTGACTTGTGAGAAATGTTAAGCTTGGAAGAGTCAGCATCGCTGCACTTATTTTTTATTCTACTCTGACATTAGAATAATCCTTGAGTGGGGGAAAGGTTAAAAACCCCCCTGGATAAGTGTTACTAATTAATGATGATTGTTTTAAACAATGTTTGGATAATTTTTCCTTGTCCCTTGACATAAACTTGATAAATAACTGAGAAGTGAGAAGGAGATTAGTGGGTTGATTAAATTCCATTCAGGTACTTAAAGTTAGCTCCAAAAATTTAGCTATTTATAAATTGTCATGCATTGTTAATGTATAAGAGATGTAGATTTCATTTATCTTTGGTGGAGCGAGATGAAGCAGTGAATCATTGAAGACTGAAAGAAAGAAAAAGGTCTTTTCCCTTTTCTTTAAGAAGCATCATTAGTTAAAAACATGTTAGTTGATACCAGAGAACTATATTTAAAGGGACAGCAATAAGCAAATTGATTACTCTGGTGATTATTGGAGTGACATTGCCTTTTAGTTGTACTTTCACAAAAATTCACAATATTTGCCAAAGTCAAGTTATCCATTACACTATTAATTTGTCATTCTTTTGTTTATATACTCAATATCTCTATCTCAATTGGATCTATCTCAACTGCTTCTAAACAAGCCACCATAGTCTCTCCCATTTCAACAATCTCTTCCAAGTACCATTTCATTTCTTCTTTTCATATTTTTGAAAACTTTTGAAAAACTACCTATTTTCCTCCTCCATTTCTTGTTCATTCCATTCTAGTGGACATGGAATCTGTTCCTCCTCCAAAACGGAATTTGGTAACCCTTAAATTACTAAACCCAAAACAATATGTTGTTTTTATCTTTACCTCTCTGTGGCATTTAATGATAAGACCACTACTTACTTCTCTTTTACCCTTCTTTCTTGAATTCAGTCAAACAATGTACTTACATTTTTCGTCTTATTCTCCATCTTAGAAACCACCTCAGCTTTCTCCATTCAGCCATAAAATTGTGCTTTTCCTCGAAGATTAATCTCCCTCTCCTCTCACTCTATACTATCTCTGTTAGCTAATTTTATTTGTGCACATTGCTTATACTGGGCATTATATACACATATGCATGTGTGTACATGTGCACACACACACTGTATGTGGACATGTATATATATGTGTGTGTGTATATATATATAGAATATATATAAATTACAATAACATAAAGGTGGCATTTTAAATTAGTGGAAATTACCCTGATTTGATCATTACACATTCTATACATGTAAAGAAATATCACTCTGTATCCCAAGAATATGTACAATTATGGTTTGTCAAATGAAAAAGTTCATACATTGAAAAATTTTTGATAAATATCAAACTTTCTCTGAAACTGTAACTGTAAAATGTAAAAAACAGTAATTGCTATATTGCTTATTTCTGAGTAGAAGAATATGAGACATTTCCCTAATCATTATGTGTAATTACAATTACATATATATGTTTATATATTACATACATATATATATGTAATTGTAATTACACATAAATGATTAGGGAAATGTCTCATATTCTATATATATAGACAGAAAGAGAGAAAATATAGGATAGAGAGAAAGAATCTTTCCATCTCCTTTGAGTTCCACGGTGTTGAGAGTCACGACAACTACAATTGCTTCATCATGCCTGCTTGCAATTATAGGGCTTTTGAACCATTTGTTCCCTCCTTAGATATCCTCATTTTTTTCAGATTCTTGCTTAGAAGTCACTCCTCCGTGGACCTCCTCTGACATATTAAACATTGCAGTCCATTATAAGCTGCAAGAGGACAGGGATTTTTGCCTGTTTTATTCCCTACTGTATCACCAGGGGCTACAGCAATATCTGACAAACAGTGGGCATGTAATGAATATTTGTTAAGTGAAGTAATAAATTCAATCAAATCACATCACCCGTTTAGAGCACTTCATTGGCTTCACATTGCACTTAGAAAAAAGAGAAATTCTTTTTATACAATATAAGTTCCTGCAGAATGCAGACACTTTCTACTTCTCCAGTCTCTTTTCAACTCCTCTCCTACTAGCTTCTGTATTTAAGCCACATTAGACCTTTCTTCAGTTTTTTATATAGACTTTGTTGCATCACACCTCAGAGATTCTGTGCATGTTCTTCCTCCTGCCTAGAAAGGATCGTCCCTCCACTTTCACCAACTAATCCCTCCTCAACTTTTCATCTCAGCAGGAGGCCCATTCTCTTTGGCAATCCTCTGGCCTCTAGCCCATTTATTATATGCTCACATGTCAACATGTACTTCGTACAGCATGTAACACAATTGCACTTTTATATTTTAAAAAATTATATTTCCCATATTGAACTGTAAGTCTCTTGAAAGGAGGAATTTTGTTCTTGCTCATCATCAATTTTTTCAACATCCAGTGCACCATTTAGAACTTAGATGTAGTCAATACAGGTTTGTGGAATGAAAGAGGAAAAGAAAGAATTAATATTCCTTTAAATTAGGATGGCAAAGATCGTATATAGAAAATTGGCTCAGTTGTGGTCCATTCATGTTTGCTCCCAATTAAGGAGCACAGCTATGAAAAGGAAGGCTTCAAATTAATAACCAATAGATTTTTTAAAAAAGAAAACTGGCCAGGTACTGTGGCTTATGTCTGTAATATCAGCATGTTGGGAGGCCAAGGCAGGATTACTTGAGCCCAGAAATTCCAGACCAGCCTGAGAATTTGGCAAAACTCTGTCTCTATAAAAAATACAAAAATTAGCCAAGTTTGGTGGCATGTGCCTGTAGTACCAGCTACTTGGGAGGCTGAGGTGGAAGAATAGCTTGAGTCTGGGAGGTCAAGGCTGCAATGAGCTGTGATCGCACCACTGCACTCATGCCTGGGTGGTAGAGTAAGACCCTGTCTCAAAAAAAAAAAAAAAAGAAAGAAAACTCACTAAGCAAAATAAGACATGTGAAGGATCATGTCAAAGGTAAGAAAAATTAGGGGAACATTAAAAGCTTTCTTCCCAAGCCACTAAATCAACTTGACTAACAAAATTACCACTTGATTTAGCATTAGAAAATTACATTACATATCAAACATAAACCCATTAATCAAACACTAAAGAAATTTCTGAGTTAAATGGTATAATGTTAGCTTATGCCAGAGCTGACCTTGAAAGATTGTTCAAATATGGCTCAGTGTGATTGAAAGTTCTGTGTGAATATGTTTTTGGAAAGATCCAACAGCAACACCTTAGTGTATGTTTCTGAAATAAAATGTATCTGAGTAGCAGCAAAGTTATTCTCAAATTTCCATTTTATAGCTGGAGATGTTATACCGTGACATATATGATAGGACCCAATATGGATTAATCCCTTTTAGAAGTCAATCAGGAAGAGGGGAGTAGTTAAAACAGTTGCTTGGTTTACAAACAGTAGAACAATTTTCTTATTCACACCATCTGATTATTGTATTTTATTTTTTCCCCAATGTTTAGACTACACAATGAGTTAAGAATGATAAAAATAAGCTCACCAATATACTATGTACATATTTACTAAAATCTGTGCATGCCTATACATATAAACACAGCTGATAATTTGTTAGGCTCATTTGTAATTTTTGTCACTATAGGCCAGTTTTTTATTTAAATTGAAGATTAGTATACATTTTAAATGATTAGTCAAAATAAAAAATCTAAAATGTGCTCTAAATACCTCCTAGGTAAGAAAAAAAAAAGTCAAAACTAGAATATAGAGAAATTAAGAAATGCCCTAAATTTCTAATCTGACAAAAATTCATACAAGATTTAAATATTTTAATGGAAAATAGAACAGAACTAATCATTGAAGAAATTATAGAAAGGAAACAAAATAAACAGATTATATGGAGGATTTTTAGAAGATAAGTAAATAAATTAATATACTAGGAAAAAACAAGGGAAATATAATTGATAAATAAATACAGGTAAGAGTTCTTTTGAAATAATGATAAAATAGAAAATCTCTGTCAAAACTAAAAGGAAAGATGCATAAATATATAAATAAATGATAAAAAGATGTTGCATACATATATGACTTTTTCAGAATCAAAAAATTTAAATTTCTGTAATAAAATTTAAATGTTTATAAATTTAAAAAACTAGAAGAATGTTGACTGTTCACAATACAAATAAATGACAAATATTTGAGGTGATGGATATGCTAATTATCCTTATTTGATCATTGGACATTGTATACATGTATCAAAATATCACTCTGTATCCCATGAATATGTACAAATACTTGTCTCAAACACAAACAAAAAAAAGATAATGGGAGAATGTTGAAAACTCAGAGAGAAGAGCAACTCTCACAGATAGGGATCCAGATAACATTAGCAGCTGATTTCTCGGCAGAAACCTTGAAGGCCAGTAGGCAGTGGATTATATATTTAAAATAATGAAGAAACCTGTCAATTGAGAAATCTATAGCTGGAAAACTTATCCTTCAAAAATGAGGAAGAAATTAAGACATTTCTGGATTTTTTTTTAAAACTGAAAAAAAATCCATTTATCCCTGAATTTGCCATTCAAGAAGTGTTAAGTCCTTCAGGTTGAAATAAATGAACTCTAGGCAATAACTATATAAATAAGCAAGCTGTATGAATATACAAAGCTCTCTGGTAAAGGTAAATACATAAACAAATATAAAAACAGTCCTATTATAATTTTGGTTTGTAACTCTGCTTTTTATTTTCTACATAATTTAAAAGGCAAATGCATAAAATGTAATTGTAAATCTGTTAGCTGGTATACAATGAATAAAGATATAATTTGTTACATCAATAACATAAAAAGAGTAGAGCTATATATATAGCAGTAGAATTTTGGTATGTGATTGAACTTAAGTTGAAATAAATTCAAATTAAAATGTTATAACTCTAGGATGTTATATGTAATTCTCATAGTAACCAAAAATGAAATATACATAGAATATAAACAAAAGGAAATGAGACTAGAAACAAGATGTGTCACTACAAAAAAATCAACTAAAGATAAAAAAGAAATAATTGAGAAAATGATAGGCAAAAATCAGTAACTCTGACGTATTAAAACTTTCCATGCTACATAAATCTGAAAACTCTATTTCACATAAAACTGGAGCTGAAAGAGACAAATATTTACCTATAAAGTTAAAAGTTATATAGGGAACAAACACTAATTTTTTTTTAGAAAAAATTATAAAAAGAGTAAAAATATGCCTTATACTACCCTAATTTCATGTTTTACAGCTCTGGGAAAATAGAAAATAAAATGTTCTGTTAGCATGAATACCTCTGTGCCCCCAAAAAACCCTATGGATTGCATCATTATTACCTAAAAAGTCTATTCTCAAATGCAGCAGAGTGATATTTTTTACAGGGTAGATATTAATTTTAGATATGGAATAATATTGGTGATTTCAATTTTATAACACTGGGTTAAGATGAAAGAATGAGAAGATAAAGGTCCCTCAGCAATATAACTCACAAACATGTTCAGAAGCAGTAAGAAGTTACATTAATTATCTTTTGAAAGTCGATAATCTACATCTTTAATGTATGCATATAGCATAGGTAATGTACTATCGCTGGGTCCATTTATTCAATGAATAATTGCCGCTATGTGTCAGACATTTTTCTAGGCCTAGGAATAGATACATAAGTGAACAAAGCAAAGATTCTGGTTCTTGTAGAGTTTCCATTAAAAGACCATTTAGTAAAACTTTTCTTCCCCCAAATTATAAAATCTGTAAGATGACTTAACAACTTGTGTAAAAGTCATTGTGGGCCAGGCACAGTGGCTCATACCAGGTGTGGTGACTCATAGCACTCTGTCACCCAGGCTGGAGTGCAGTGGCACAATCTCTGCTCACTGCAACCTCTGCCTCCTGGGTACAAGCGATTCTCCTGCCTCAGCTTTCTGAGTAGCAAGGACTACAGGTGCACACCATCACGCCTGGCTAATTTTTGTACTATTAGTACAGACGGAGTTTCACCATGTTGGCCAGGCTGGTCTTGAACTCCTGACCTCAAATGATCTGCCCACCTCGGCCTCCCAAAGTGCTGGAATTACAGATGTGAGCCACAATGCCCGGCCTTATTTTCTACAACTTTGGTAACTTTAGCATATACCCCAAATCTGTAAGACATAATATTATAATTCAAACGCAACTCATGGCTTCTCATTGTACTCTTTCTCTAGCTTTTGAATTATTTATTCTAATACCAGTTTTAATTCTGACACAAAAGCATGGGAGTTCTAATCAAAATCCAACCTTTTATCATAAAAACTATGAAGAAATTATGAGTAGAATTTAAAAAGGAAAATAGGCCTATTAATTAGATTTGTCTTTGTAGCATTTAACTCTATAATAAATAACATAATATTTTATGCCTATGAGTCCCAACAAAGCCTCCAGCTTCTATTTAGATATAAAATGTAAAAGTCACTACTGGATCCACAAGCAAGACTATGGTAAAGAAATTTCTCCACCTAACCATCTTCTTTTACATGATGTTACATATTTCTTTTGTTTTTTCATTTTGGCAAATATTGATTGTCATCTTCGTGTTTGTCTATGTCCTAAGTGCTGGGATACAGAATCTGAAAAGATGGACACAGGACCTGCCTTCAAGTTCACCCTTTTTTTTTTTTTTTTTGAGATGGAGTTTTGCTCTTGTCACCCAGGCTGGAGTGTAATGGTGAGATCTCTGCTCACTGCAACCTCCACCTCCAGGGTTCAAGTGATTCTCCTGCCTCAGCCTCCCAAGTAGCTGGGATTGCAGGTCCCAGCCACCACGCCTAGCTAATTTTTGTATTTTTAGTAGAGACAGCGTTTCATCATGTTGGTCAGGCTGGTCTCGAACTCCTAACCTCAGGTAGTCGACCCATCTTGGCCTCCCACAGTGCTGAGATTACAGGCATGAGCCACCACGCCCTGCTAGGAGTTCACGCTTTAGTTGGGGAAAATATACAATAAGCAAGCCAATTTTTAAAATGAGAACTGCAATTAGAGTTAAATGCTACAAAGACAATCTCACAGGAAGATGGGATGTAGAATGATAAGGCTCTCAGAATAGTAAGAGAAACTATTGCTTCTTACGATGTTTGTCTTTCTTTGTATCAGTGCTCAGCTGAGTCTGCAGTGCTTCAGAGGCAGCTTTCATTTTATAAAAATCTATGATTTCTCCTTCCAGTTGTTTTTTCTCTTCCTCGAGCTTCCTTATCTCCTCCTGTTGAATCATTTTAAGATGCTCGAACTTGTCCTCCAGCTTGAAACCAATGTGCAGTTGTGACACCAAAGCAGTGTGGCTGAACACCCAAAAGAATATGCTTTTTTCTGATTATCAAACAAACCCAAATCATCACAGTAGAGCACGATCTTAATAGCAATCTCAAAAACTCAGGAGTAAACATTCAGATATGGAATTTTTCTTTTCTTTTTTCCTTTTATAAGATGGAGTCTCACTCTGTTGCCCAGGCTGGAGTGCACTGGTGCAATCTCAGCTCACTGCAACCTCCATCTCCCAGTTCAAGTGATTCTCCTGCCTCAGCCTCTTGAGTAGCTGAGACTACAGGCATGCACCACCACTACAGGCGTGTGCCACCACACCTGGCTAATTTTTGTATTTTTAGTAGAGATGGGGTTTTGCCATGTTGGCCAGGCTGGTCTCGAACTCCTGACCTCAGGTGATCCTCCCGCTTTGGCCTCCCAAAGACTTTTTTTTTTTTAAATATAGAGACAAGTTCTCAGTATGTTGCCCAGGCTGGTCTCAAACTCCTGAGCTCAAGTGATCCTCCCACCTCAGCTTCCCAAAGTGCTGGGACTGACTGGATGCAGTGGCTCATGCTTGTAAACTCAGCACTTTGGGAGGCCAAGGTGGGAGGATCGCTTGAGCCCAGGAGTTCAAGACCAGACTGGGTGATATAACACAATAGTAAACTTCAACAGGAGAGAGAATCTGTAAACTTGAATATAGATCTTCTGAAATTATCCAGTCAGAGGACAAAGAAAAAAAGAATAAAAAAGAGAAAAGAAGGCTGGGCGTGGTGGCTCAAGCCTGTAATCCCAACACTTTGGGAGGCCAAGGCAGGAAGATTAAGAGGTCAGGAGTTCAAGACCAGCCTGGCCAACATGACAAAACCCCATCTCTACTAAAAATACAAAAATTAGCCGGGTGTGGTGGCACACACCTGTAGTCCCAGCTACTTGGGAGGCTGAGGCAGGAGAATCGCTTGAACCCAGGAGGCGGAGGTTGGAGTGCAATGTGAGCCGAGACCACACATTGCACTCCAGCCTGGGTGACAGAGCACGACTCTGTCTCAAAAAAAAAAAAAAAGAAAAAAAAAGACAGAGAAAAGAAAGCCAACAAGACACCATTAGGCAAACCATTGTCAGGTTATGGGAGTTTGAGAAGGAAAGTAGACAAAGGAAAAGAAAGCTTATTTAAAGAATGGCTGAAAACTGCCTAAATCATGGGAAAGATTTAGACATCTAAATCCATGAAGCTTAAAGATTCCTAAAGAGGTTCAAACCAAATAGATACTCACCAAGTCACAATATAATCAAATAGTCAAAAGTTAAAGAAACTTTGCAGGTCAGGACAGAATCGAATAATACATTCAAAGTGCTGAAAGAAAAAAACTGCCAGCAACTAATACTATGTCTGACAAAGCTGTCCTTCAGAAAGAAAGAAGAACTAATGTGTTTCCTCGACAAACAAAGCTGAAGGCATTCAGGACCACTAGGTCTACCTTAAAAAAATGCTTAACGGAGTTTTTCAAGTAAAAATGAATGAAGTTGGGAGCGGTGGCTCATGCCTGTAATCCCATTTTGGGAGGCCGAGGTGGGTGGATCACCTGAGGATGGGAGGTCAAGACCAGCCTGGCCAACATGGCAAAACCCCACCTCCAGTAAAAATACAAAAAACTAGCCAGGTATGAAGGCCACTGAGATCGTGCCACTGCACTCCAGCCTGGGTGAAAAGAGTCAAACTACATTTCAAAAACAAAAAACAAAACAAAAAAAAAATAAAACTTGAGGCCTGGCCTTCTGCTCCTCTCCAACCCCCCCTTCTCTGGGCCCAAGCCACCTTGGCTGAGGAGGGGGCGAGGAGGTGTGAGCCCCTGCCAGGAACCCCCTGCCCGGACCAAGTACTCGGCCCCCAGGCCTGCGTTCAGTGAGGCCTCCCGTGGCCTCAGCATGTTTGTGTGGAGGAATGTGGAAGGTCACTCTGTGGCCGTGTTCCCCTGGTACTCCATCCCCTTCCTGACCCCTCCCTGCAGCCACACGAGGCCCAGCAACCTGCCAGTCACTCAGTGGCCTCCAACCAGAGAAAACAACCTGCCAAGTTGGCAGCTGTTGCTCATGAGCATCCACCAGGTGGGACGGGGAGTGTTGACCCTGGGTGGCTCCCTGGAGCCACCTGCCCTGAAAGCCCAGGGCCCGCAACCCCACACATTTTGGGGGTGGTGGAACCTGGTAAAAGCTCACCTCCCACCATGGAGGAGGAGCCCTGGGCCCCTCAGGGGAGTCCCTGCTGTACAGTGAGACAGAGAATGACCATGATGATGCTTTCCTCTCCATCATGTCTCCTGACACCCAGTTGCCTCTACCACTCAGATGATGTCAGGCCCAGTCCCTCAGTGCCCTGCGCAAGGAACAGGACTCATCTTCTGAGAAGGATGGACGCAGCCCCAACAAATGGGACAAGGACCACATCCAGTGGCCCATGAGTGGCGGTCATGATCTTCAGCAAGCGGCACCAGGCCCTGGCAGGGCACACCAGGGTCACCCCAACCAGGATAACCGGACTGTCAGCCAGATGCTGAACGAGTGGTGGTACACCCTGGGGCCCAATGAGACACAGAAATACCACGACCTGGCCTTCCAGGTGAAGGTGGCCCACTTGCAACAAGGACCGAAAGAAGTCCAGCTCAGAGGCCAAGCTCACAAGCCAGGGGCTAGCAGGAGTGTAACAAGGGCTCGTGGGAGTGGAGCATATCAGAGACGGGCACTGCCACTGCCCCTGGGGTGTCCTCTGAATTCCTGTCAGTTGCAGCCCAAACACTCCAGAGCTCGGATACCAAGGAGCAGCTTCTGTGGGGCAGAACGGCTGCACACAGTCAGGGAACCTAGCTCAGCCTGGCCCAAGCCTTCTCCCACAGGGGGGTACACAGCCTGGATGGCAGGGAAATAGATCATCAGGCACTACAGGAACTGACACAGGTGGTGTCTGGCAATGCATCATACTCTGGCCCAAAGCCTTCTACTCAGTATGGAGCTCCAGGCCACTTTGCAGCCCCTGGTGAGGGAGGTGACCAGTGGGCAGCCCTGCTGCTGCCCACCTGAGCTGCTCATTCCCAGCACATGGCCAGTGAGGACATAGCGAGTGATGAGGCGCACACGATCATCCATGAGGAGGAGGGGGTGATGATGTCATTGCTGATGATGGCTTTAGCACCACTGACACCGATCTCAAGTTCAAGGAGTGAGTGACCGACAGAGTGGGGACAACTCTGGGGAGGAGCCACAGGGCAACAAGGGCTTTGGTGGGAAGGTATTTGCACCTGTCATTCCTTCCTCCTTTACTCCTGCTGCCCCTTGCTGGATCCTGAGCCCCCAGGGTCCCCCGATCCACCTGCAGCTTTTGGCAAAGTCTATGGTCCCACCCTGTCCTCCTCCTACACATACTCGGATGCTTCCTCCTCAACCTTGGCACCCACCTCCTTCTTACTGGGCCCGGGAGCCTTCGAAGCCCAGGAGTCTGGTCAAGGCAGCAGAGTGGGCCCCCTACGGCCCCTACCCCTGGGGATGGGGGCCCAGGGATGCCTTCCAAGGCGACCTGTTTCCTCCCAATGGATCCCGCCACCTTCTGGTGCAAGAGACCTGAAAGTGTGGGCGACCTGGAGCTACCAGGCTCCTCAGTCATCAGGGTCCCTCCCAACACTAAGGCTTTCCTAGGCAGGAGCTGGGCTGAGCCACCCGGGGGGCAGATCCTGAAGAGAAACTGACTGGTCTTTCGGGGTCGGGGCAGAGGGAACCCCACGGACATGGATCCCACACTGGAAGACCCCACCACGCCCAAACGCAAGATGAGAAGATGCTCCAGCTGCAGCCCAAAGCCCAACACCCCCAAGTGTGCCATGTGTGATGGGGACAGCTTCCCCTTTGCCTGTACAGGTGGAGAAGCCGAGGACAGGCTCAGGGAACCGGAGACCGAGAAGGCACTGTCCTCTTCACTGCACGCGCCCTGGACCAGTGCCGGCCCTGATCATGCAGCTCTTCCAGGCCCACTGCTTCTTCCTGTCCACTAGGCCACAGCCACCCTCCAGGCCCACTATGCACACATCTTCCACTCCAAGGTTTGTTCTGCCCCTGCCCTGACTCCCAGCCCTGTGGGGGTCCTGACCGGACCTCACCTGGCTCAGACTTTTGACGCTGCCGTGGCTGCCCCACCACTGTCTCTGCCCGAGAGTCACATGAGGCTGAGAGTAGGGGCAGGGGCAGCAGTGGTGCCAGTTGGGGGGCGGTCCAGTGGGAGGAGCCTCAGCCTCGCGGGCTGCTCCGTGGGACTGATGACTGCATGATCTTCTGGGCACCTCACGGATCTTCAACTGCAGGTGAAACGGATGCTGGTGGTGGCTGCAGGGCCGCTGGGAGCCACTGCATGGTTCCCAGAGGCTGGACTGGGGCAGGTGCCAACTGAAGCTGCTGGGGCAGCATGGGCAGGATATTCTGCACACAAACCTTGGAGAAGATGATGTGTGCATAGCGGGTCCACTGCTGCTGCCCCTGCCCTGACTCCCAGCCCTGCCTGACCCCACCTCACCCTGCTCAGGCTCTGGGGCAACCCTGGCTGCCCTGCCACTGCCTCTGCCCCAGAGTTGGGGCCTTGACAGCCTGGTTGGAAGGGGACACCCCAGCCCTGCCTCAACACCTGGGGGTCTCCATAACTACCACAGGCACGTGGCTGACCCGAAAGAAGATCCCAGGACTCACAGTACCCCCTGAGAACATGGACAGTATGTGGGGGTAGCAATGGAGGGCAGGATGGTTATCTTCTCCCAGGTAAAGAGTTTAGGACGGAATAAGGCCTGCCTCTTTTTTTTTTTTTTTTTGAGACCGAGTCTTGCTCTGTCGCCCAGGCTGGAGTGCAGTGGTGCGATCTTGGCTCACTGCAACCTCTTCCCGCCGGGTTCACGCCATTCTCCTGCCTCAGCCTTCCGGGTAGCTAGGATTACAGGTGCACGCTACCACGTCCGGCTAATTTTTGTATTTTTAGTACAGACGGGGCTTCATCATCTTGGCCAGGCTGATTTCGATCTCCTGACATCGTGATCCACCTGCCTCCACCTCCCAAAGTGTTGGGATTACAGGCGTGAGCCACCACGCCTGGCCAAGGCCTGCTCCTCTTATCTATACCCCCTACCCCTGCAGCTGTGCCGGGGGAAAACTGGGCAGTTTCCCTCCTCTGAGCCCCTGTACATACCATGAATTGTGGGACCTTCAGAGCTTTTCACTTTTCGGAAAATAGCTCCTGCTGGGGCTACAAGATGGAGTGTGAAGAGGGCCTTGGGCCACATGGAGGCGCCTGTGGACTAGGGGGAGTTCATGCACCCCTTCTTTCCCCAGAGGGGCTGGACTCAGGTGAGTATGGGGGTGGGGGCTCCTGCACTTCGACACAGGCAGCGGGAGGGTTTTCTCCCCATTCCCTCTGCACTCCCAACTTGAGCTATACTTTTTAAGAAAGTGATTCACCCTGCCTTTGCCCCCTTCCCCAGAACAGAACACATTAATCATGGGCGATATTTTTCATTGTGCCAAAAAGTTGCCATGACCGTCATTAAATCTGTTTAACACCAAATAATAAGGAAAATAAAATAAAAAATTCGGGCATGGTGCAGAAACTAACTCCAAATAAATTACCTACCAAAATATTCATATAATGGTGGAAATATTCCAAAATTCCATATTTTGGGATTTATACACAAAAGATAAACAAATTAGAGGCCAAGAGGCTGCCAGAAGGGAAAAACGGGGCCTGGGAAGACCATTGTGAGGAATGAGCTGGGCCTAAAGAGGCCACTGGCAGGCAGGAGCTGGACCTGCCGAAGCGGCCGAAAGGCAGGAGCTTTGGACTGGGGAGGCCGCAGTGAGGTGAGAGCTAGCTGGGCGTGGAGAGTCCGCTGTGAGGCCGAGGCCGAGGCCGGGCCTGCAAAGGTCCACTGGAGGGCAAGTTCTGGGCCTGAAGAGGCCGCCAAAAGTCAAAAGCGGGGCCTGGGAAGGCTGCCGAGAGCCATGAGCTGGGCTGGGCTGGGCTGAAAGAGGCCACTGGGAGGCAGGAGGAGCTGGGCCTGGAGAGGCTGACTCGAGGAAGTTTTGCACCTGGAGAGGCCGCCGAGAGGATGGAGCTGGGCCCGGAGAGGCTGACTTGCTGCTCTTCCAGGCCTAATTCCAGGCCGACTTGAGGACGACTTGGGCCTGCAAAGGCCGCCAGGAGGCCGGAGCTGGGCCTGGAGAGGCCAACTTCGGGACGTTTTGGGCCTGCAGAGGCCGCCGGGAGGCCCAAGCTGGGCCTAGAGGAGCCCACCGACCGGAGGCCATTTGGGGCCTGCAGATGCCATCGGAGGGCAGGAGCTGAGCCTGGAGAGGCCACCGTGAGGCCTGAGCTGGGCCTGGGGAGCTTGGCTTCAGGAAGTTGTGGGTCTACCAGGGCCGCTGGGAGCTGGGCAGGAGCTGAGTCCAAAGACGTTGTTGGGAGGCCAGAGTCGGGCCTGGAGACGCAGCCGGGAGGAAGAGCTGGGCCCGGAGAGGACGCTGGGAGGCTGCAAGTGGGTCTGGAGAGGCCGACTTGAGGAGGCCCGGCCTCTGCCTCCCACATGGGGGCCTCTTCAGGCCCAGCTGTTCCTCCTGGCTGCATCTCCCGGCCCAGCTCCTGCCTCCCAGCAAACAAGCTCTTTTGGCTCAGCTCCCGCCGGCCTTTGTAGACCCCGAAGTTTCTGCAACCAAGCTCTCAGGCCCACATCCCGCCACCAGTAGCCTGAACAGTCCCAGCTCCGGCTGGAGAAGAGCATCTGCAGGCCCCGCTGTTGCCTCCCAGGGGTGTCTCCAGGCCCAGCTCTCGCCCCACTGTGACCTCCCAGGCCCAAGTCCCTGCCTGCCTCCCAGCAGCCCGCGTGCAAGCCTGCTCCTCCCTCACGGTGGCCTGTTGAGGCAGGGGCTCACGCTGACCTCTCTCAGCGTGGAAGGGGCCGATGTGAGGCAAGGGCTCACGCTGACGTCTCTCAGCGTGGAAGGGGCCGGTGTGAGGCAAGGGGCTCCCGCTGACCTCTGTCAGCGTGGGAGGGGCTGGCGTGAGGCTAGGGGCTCCCGCTGACCTCTGTCAGCGTGGGAGGGGCCGGTGTGAGGCAAGGGGCTCACGT
This sequence comes from Homo sapiens, assembly GCF_000001405.40. Classification (NCBI taxonomy): domain Eukaryota; kingdom Metazoa; phylum Chordata; class Mammalia; order Primates; family Hominidae; genus Homo; species Homo sapiens. Next base: position 38,450,527 of record NC_000010.11, on the reverse strand, counting down.
TGACCTCTCTCAGCGTGGGAGGGGCCGGTGTGAGGCTAGGGGCTCCCGCGGACCTCTGTCAGCCTGGGAGGGGCCGGTGTGAGGCTAGGAGCTGAGGCTGACCTGTCAGCGTGGGAGGGGCCGGTGTGAGGCAAGGGGCTCAGGCTGACCTCTGTCAGCGTGGGAGGGGCCGGTGTGAGGCAAGGGGCTCACGCTGACCTCTGTCAGCATGGGAGGGGCCGGTGTGAGGCAAGGGGCTCCCGCGGACCTCTGTCAGTGTCGGAGGGGCCGGTGTGAGGCTAGGGGCTCCCGCGGACCTCTGTCAGCCTGGGAGGGGCCGGTGTGAGGCAAGGGGCTCCCGCTGACCTCTGTCAGCGTGGGAGGGGCCGGTGTGAGGCAAGGGGCTCAGGCTGACCTCTGTCAGCGTGGGAGGAGCCGGTGTGAGGCAAGGGGCTCCTGCTGACCTCTGTCAGCGTGGGAGGGGCCGGTGTGAGGCTAGGGGCTCCTGCTGACCTCTGTCAGCGTGGGAGGGGCCGGTGTGAGGCAAGGGGCTCAGGCTGACCTCTGTCAGCGTGGGAGGGGCCGGTGTGACGCAAGGGGCTCAGGCTGACCTCTGTCAGCGTGGGAGGGGCCGGTGTGAGGCAAGGGGCTCAGGCTGACCTCTGTCAGCGTGGGAGGGGCCGGTGTGAGGCAAGGGGCTCCCGCTGACCTCTGTCAGCGTGGGAGGGGCCGGTGTGAGGCAAGGGGCTCACGCTGACTTCTGTCAGCGAGGGAGGGGCCGGTGTGAGGCAAGGGGCTCAGGCTGACTTCTGTCAGCGTGGGAGGGGCCGGTGTGAGGCAAGGGGCTCACGCTGACCTCTGTCAGCCTGGGAGGGGCCGGTGTGAGGCTAGGGGCTCACGCTGACCTCTGTCAGCGAGGGAGGGGCCGGTGTGACGCAAGGGGCTCAGGCTGACCTCTGTCAGCGTGGGAGGGGCCGGTGTGAGGCAAGGGGCTCAGGCTGACCTCTGTCAGCGTGGGAGGGGCCGGTGTAAGGCAAGGGCTCACGCTGACCTCTCTCAGCGTGGGAGGGGCCGGTGTGAGGCAAGGGCTCACGCTGACCTCTCTCAGCGTGGGAGAGGGCCGGTGTGAGGCAAGGGCTCACGCTGACCTCTCTCAGTGTGGGAGGGGCCGGTGTGAGGCAAGGGGCTCATGCTGACCTCTCAGCGTGGGAGGGGCCGGTGTGAGGCAAGGGCTCACGCTGACCTGTCTCAGCGTGGGAGGAGCCAGTGAGAGGCAGGGGCTCATGTCTCTGGGCAGGGTGCCAGAGGCATGAGTTGGGCATCAACAGGCCACTGTGAGAAGGAGCTGGGCCGCATGCGGGCTGCTGGGAGGCAGGCAGGGACTTGGCCCCGGGAGGCCGCCGTGGGGGCAAGAGCTGGGCCTGGAGAGGCCCCTGGGAGGCAAGAGTGGGGCCTGCAGAGGCTGTTCTCCAACCAGTGCTGGGCCTGTACAGGCCACCGGGAGGCAGGAAGTAGGCCCGAAGAGCTTGGCTGGAGAAAGTTCGGGGCCTAGAAAGGCGGTTGGGAGCTCGGCAGTAGTTGAGCCAAAAGAGCTTGCTTACTTGCTGGGAGGCAGGGCCGGGAGAGGCCGACTTCAGGACAACTTGGGCCTGCAGAGGTCGCCAAGAGGCCCAAGCTTGGCGTGGAGGAGCCCACCGACTGGAGACCATTTGGGGCCTGCAGATGCCATTGGAGGGCAGGAGCTGAGCTTGGAGAGGCCACCGTGAGGCCTGACCTGGGCCTGGGGAGCTTGGCTTCGGGAAGTTGTGGGTCTACCAGGGCCGCTGGGAGCTGGGCAGGAACTGGGCCAAAAAAGGCTGTTGTGAGGCAGCAGTTGTGCCTGTAGACCCAGCCAAGAGGAAGAGGTGGGCCTGGAGAAGCCCCCATAAGGCAGAGGTTGGGCCTGTAGACGCTGACAGGAGGCAGGAGCTGGGCCTGTAGAGGTCAACTTGAGGAGATTTTGGGCCTTCATAATCCACCAGGAGGCAGCAGTTGGGACTAGAGAGTCTGACTTTAAGTTTTGGGCCCGGAGATGACGTCCTGGGACAGGAGTTGAGCCTGGAGAGGCCACCGTGAGGCATGAGCTGGATGTAGAGAGGCCAGTGTGAGGCAAGACCTGGGCCTGTCTAGGCTGCTGGGAGACAGGCAGGAATCTGGCCAGGGAAGGTTGCCATGAGACAAAAATTGGGCCTGGAAAGACCCTTGTGAAGCATGAGCTTGGCCTAAAGAGGCCACTGGGTGGCAGGAGCTGGGTGTGTAGAAGCTGCTGAAAGGTTGGGAGCTTGGCTTGGGGGGTCCACAGTGAGGCAGATGCTGGGCCTGAAGAATCTGCTGTGAGGCAGATGTTGGGACTGTAGAGGCCGACGGGAGGCAGAGGCTGTGCCTGGAGGGGTCACCAAGATGCAGGAGCTGGGCCTGGAGAGGCTGCAAAGAAGCATGAGCTGGGCCTGGTGAGGTCGACTTGAGAAAGTTCAGGGCCTGGAGAGAAGGCTGGGAGGCAGGAGCTGGGTCTAAAGAGGCCATTGTAACGACGGAGCTGTGCCTGTGGAGGCTGTTGTGAGGCAGTAGGCTCATCTGCGGAGACTGCCGTGAGGTAGGGTATGGGCCTAAATAGGCCATTGTGAGTCATGAGCTTGGTCTGTAGAGGCTGACTGGAGAAAGTTCTGGGCCTGGAGATGCTGCCGGGAGGTAGGAGCTGGGCCAAAAGATTTAAGCACGTTTACATTTATTAGGCACTTTATTTCCATTATTACACTGTAATATATAATAAAATAATTATAGAACTCACCATAATGTAGAATCAGTGGGCATGTTAAGCTTGTTTTCCTGCAACTGGATGGTCCCACCTGAGCGTGATGGGAGAAAGTGACAGATCAATAGGTATTAGATTCTCATAAGGACAGCACAACCTAGATCCCTCACATGCACAGTTCACAACAGGGTGCGTTCTCCTATGAGAATCTAATGCTGCTGCTGATCTGAGAAGGTGGAGCTCAGGCGGGAATGTGAGCAAAGGGGAGTGGCTGTAAATACAGACGAAGCTTTCCTCACTCCCTCACTCGACACCACTCACCTCCTGCTGTGTGGCTCCTTACGGCTCCATGGCTCAGGGGTTGGGGACCCCTGCTCAAGTGCATCCAAAGCGACCCTTCCCACACCAGTCTTCATAGTGGTCAAGGGCAGCAACCACTTAGCTCCCAAGGCATGTGCCTCAGCTGGCATTTCATCACAATCAACAGTAAGTGGTAGCTTGAGTCACTGTGAGGTCACTTCCTGGAAATCACCAGCATCCCATTTCCCACTGGCAAAGAGCTCAGCACTGCCCCCTGGGAAACCAAACCTATGCCCAAATCCCATGTGTGGGTTTATCTCCTGGGACCCTTCCTAACATATTAGTCAGAGTCCAATCAGGAAGCATAAAACACTCAAGAGTTTAAAGTGGTAAAATTTAATATGGAGAATTATTCATTAGAACAGGTGAACAGCATAATGAGAGATTGGCTAGCACAAAGTAAAGAAAACTCTAGAGAATACAGGACTAGCCCAGGCCAGGCATGGTGGCTCATGCCTGAAATTCCAGCAATTTGAGAAGCTAATGCAGGAGGATTGCTTAAGGCCAGGAGCTAGAGACCGGTCTGGACAACACAGTGAGACCCTGTCTCTATCCAAAAAAAAGAAAAAAGTTAGCTGGGAGTGGTGGTGCACACTTGTAGTCCCAGCTACTCAGAATGCTGAAGTTTGAGCCTGGGAGGTCAAGGCTGCAGTGAGGTATGATTATGCCACTACAGTCCAGCCTGGTGACAGAGCAAGACCCTGTCTCAAAGAACAAAACAACAATCATTTACAGACAGAAAAGAAATACAGCTAATAAGCTAAGGAAAGATGTTGAAATGAGACAAGTAAAGTAATATGAGGTCTTTTATCTATTTAAAATAATCAAACAAAAAATGACTTACTAAATTATAATACCCTGTGCTGGCAAAGGTGCAGTGAAATGGGCACTCTCTTATACTATGAGGGGTGTTTAAATTGTGTATAAGCCTTCCCGGGTAAAGCTTGTCAATTTTTTAAAATAATGGAGACAGGGTCTCACCATACTGCCATACAGCCTCCTCCAACTCTTGGCCTCAAGCAATCCTCCTCTCTTAGCCTCCCAAAGTGCTAAGATTATAGCTGGGAGGCACCCAAAACCCTGTCAATTTACATCAAGGGTAATGAGAATGTCCATTCACCATGTCTCACAGTAATCTTACTTCTGGGGAGACAATTCAATCTAAACAAAAGGTCATCTGTACAAACACAGTAAAAATCTGGGAGTAACTGAAGACAGAGTTGGTAAGTGAAATAAGAAGCAGTTATAAGAAATTAAACTATGATATCAATAGGCACCTGGTATAAAAGGTCAGTTGATGTTAGCTGCTACTTTTTTGTTGTTTTCAGACAGGGTCTCACTCTGTCACCCAGGCTGGAGTGCAGAGGCCTGATCATGACTCACTGCAGTCTCAGCCTCCCTGGGGTCAAGTGATGTTCCCACCTCAGCCTCCCAAGTAGCTGGGACTACAGGAACATGCCACCACACTAGGCTAATTCATGTATTTTTCTGTAGGGATGGTGACTCCCTCTTTGTTTCCAAGGCCTATCGCAAACTCTTGGCCTCAAGCCATCCTCCTGCCTCAGCCTCCCAAAGTGTTGCGATTACCAGTGTGAGCCACCACACCTGGCCAGCTGCTACTTTTATCAATATTATTATTCCACTCAATTAAAAATTATTATTTTCAAGGCTATGCAACAGTATGTATCCTACAGCGTAATTGTAAAAACATATACAGTCGCCGTCCCTCAGTATACAGAATTAGTTCCAGCCCCCCATCTCTGCATATACCAAAATCCATGCTTACTCACGTTTTGCTGTCACCCCTCTGGAATCCACGTATACGAAAATTCCAAATATTAGTTGGGCATAGTGGCAAGCACCTGTAGTCTCAGCCACGTGGGAGGTTGAGATGGGAGGATCGCTTCAGCCTGGAAGGTTGAGGCTGCAGTCAGCTGCGATAGCACTACTACACTCCAGCCTTGGACAACAGAGGGAGACCCTGTCTCAGAAAAAAAAAAACAAAATAAAACAGGTTAGAAACTGTAATGAGGTCTGTTGGGCAAAATTCCATATAACCAAAGTATAAATTAATAAAGCAAATCGTGATAAATTAGTACGATTGACTTTCTGGAGTTTCCGACAATAAAAGTAAGGAAAATGCAAAACACAAAGACAGAGAGTAAAAAGAGAAATTAGGAAAGCATTCTACATGTTTAATAGGAAGACACTGGCCATGTTCGTGCAGCGGCAGTATGTCGTGACATGACATACCTTGGAGAGAAGTTAACAGATGAGGAAGTTGATAAAAATCATCAGAGAAGCAAAATACTGGTAGCGACACTCAAGTAAACCACGAAATTTCCATAACTTATGTCAGCAAAGTGGGAATATTGTACAGTGTGTGTTGAAGTTCCTACACAACATTGTTTATCTGCCTTTTGTTTGTTTGTAAGGAATGTATATACTAAAAGTTCTTCTTGCTGTCAAAAGAATATGTGTGAATAAGTCATTTTAACTTATTCTTCTGTTTTTCTTTTATCTTCCTGCCATCATCCCACAGCCTTACTTTAGAAATTTTTTCTTTAGAAAATTGAACAAGTGCTCCTTGTGGTGGCACATACCTCTAGGATGGGAGGCAGGGGTGGAAGGGTCACTTGAGGCCATTAGTTTGACACCAGCCTGGCCAACAAAGTGAGACCCCATGTCTACAAAACAATTTAAAAATTAGCCAAGTATCGTCATGTATACCTACAGTCCTAGCTATTCAGGAGGCTCAGGTAGGAGGATCCTTAGCCCAGGAGTTCAAGGCTGCAGTGAGCTGTGATAGCACTATTGTACTCAAGCCTGGGTGACAGGGTGAGACCCCATCTCCTAAAATAAAAAACAAAGAAAAAAAATAGTTCAAGTAGCAAGTTGTATGTGGCTTACTCTGAATATTTCTAAACTAGAAATTCTCAATCTTTTGGGGTCTAACATCCCTTTACCTTTTTTAACTTTATTGAAGATCTCTAAGACTCTTTCTGTAGATAATTATATTAAAACCAGAAAATAAGACACAATTTTTAAAATATTATTCATCACATATTAAAGCCATTACATGTTGATATAAAATTTTAAAAATATTTAGTATTCATTACATATTAATAATAAAACCATTACATGTTGATATAATACTTTTTTTTTTTCTTTGAGACAAAGTCTTGTTCTTTTGCCCAGGCTGGAGTGAAGTGGCTCAATCTCAGCTCATTGCAACCTCCGCCCCACAGGTTCAAGCGATTCTCCTACCTCAGCCTCCCAAGTAGCTGGGATTACAGGCGCCCACTACCATGTCCAGCTAATTATTGTATTTTCTTAGTAGAGAAGGAGTTTCGCCATGTTGGCAAGGCTGGTCTTGAACTCTTGACCTCAGGTGATCCACCTGCCTGGGTCTCCCTAAGTGCTGGGATTACAGGTGTGAGCCACCGCGCCCACCCCGATTAATATATGTTTTAAAACACTGATTAGTCAGGCAACAACACCGGGCAGGGGTCTCCTCATTCCCAGCAACGCAAACCCCACTGCACGGCTGAGGGGTTGCAAGGGCTGCAGAGCCAAAAGGCTCTGACTTGAGGTATTATTTTACTTGTATTTTTATTTGTATTGTGAGACAGGTCCTGCTCTGTCACCCAGACTGGAGTGCAGCTGTGCACTTACAGCTCGCTGCAGCCTCGACCTCCTGGGCTCAAGCCATCTTCCTGCCTCAGCTCCCCAGTAGCTGGTAGTACAGTTGAGTATCACCATGCCTGGTTTTTTTAATTTTTTTGTAGAGTGAGGGGTCTTGCTATGTTGCCCAAACTGGCCTCAAACTCCTGACCTCAAGAGATCTGCCCACTTCAGCCTCCTGAGTAGCTGAAACTACAAGTACACATCACCATGCCTAGCTACATTTATTTAATTTTGAAAAATATTTTTGTAAAGAGCAGATCTTGCTGTGTTGTCCAGGCTGGTCTTGAACACCTGCCCTTAAAAGATACTCGCACCTCTGCTTACCAAACAGCTGGTACTACAGGCATGAGCCATTGCAATGAGCCTGAAGAGATTTCTTTAATCTAGCATCCCATACTTGGTAGGATTGGGAAAGGCAGTAGTGTTTTTTAAAATTACTTAATAATTTCAGTAACAATCAAACTCAACCTTGACCCCTGCCTTCTCTCACACCCCATATCCAGTCTGTCAGGAAATCCTGTTGATTGTCTTCGACATCTACTAAAGATCCCCACCCAGCAACTCCCTGGCCTCCTCCCCTACTTCTCCCCTCTGACCATCTCTCAACACCACCACGACCCTGGTCAGGACCACCATCATCTCCCGCCTGGATGTTGCCAAAGCTTGGCCCCCATGCTTCTATCACATCTTCCCACAGTCTTTCTCAACTCAGCAGCCAGAGAATACTTTTAAATCGGGAGACAGATGATGTCACCTCTCTGCTCAGAACCCTCCCGCAGTTCCCATCTGAGTCAGAGTAAAAGCCAAAGCCCCACCAATAACCTCCCAGGGCTTATGTGATCTGTACTGATCCCCACCCAGCAACTCCCTGGCTCCCTCCCCTAATTCTCTCCCTCTCTCCATCTGCTCCATGGGCCTCCTTCCAGAGCCGGAGACACACCTCAGACAGTTTATTCTATTGTTTCTGCCTACAATCCTCTTCCCTCAGCACCTTGGCCACCTCCTTCCCCTCCTTCAAGTCTTTACTCAATTTTCACTTAGGCCACCCCTGACCATTCTATTTAACATTGCCATCTGTCCCCATGCCCACCATGCTCATTTCTTCTTTCTTTACTTTCTTCTTTCTTTTTTTCAAGATCTCACTGTCACCAAGGCTGGAGTGCAGTAGCGAAATCACAGCTCACTGCAACCTCAAATTTCCAGGCTCAAGCGATCCTCCCACCTCAGCCTCCCGAGTACCGGGGACTCCAGGTTCATGCCACCATGCCTGGCTAAATTTTTTAGTATTTTATTTTATTTTATTTTGAGACAGAGTTTCACTCTTCTTGCCCAGGCTGTAGTGTAACGGTGCGATCCCGGCTCACTGCAACCTCCACCTCCCAGATTCAAGTGATTCTACTGCCTCAGCCTTCCAAGTAGCTGGGATTACAGGTGCGTGCCACCACGCCCAGCTAATTTTTGTATTTTTAGTAGAGCCGGGGTTTCACAATGTTGGCCAGGCTGGTCTCAAACTCCTGACCTCAGGTAATCTGACCGCTTAAGCCTCCCAAAGTGCTGGAATTACAGGTGTGAGCCACCACACCTGGCCAATTTTTTCATTTTTTGTAGAGACAAGGTCTTACTATGTTGCCCAGACTGGTCTTGAACTCCTGGCCTCAAGTGATCCTCCTGCCTAAATTCCTAAAGTGCTGGGATTACCGGCATGAGCCATCATGCCTGGCTTCATGTTCATTTCTTCTTGCTGCTGCAACGTAGTTTGCAGTTTCCTATATTTAGTGGCTTAAAACACCACAAATCTACCATCTTACAGTTCTAGGGGCCAGACACCCAAACTAGGTCTATTAAGGCTAAAGTCAAGGTGTCAGCAGGGCTGCATTCCTTCTGGAGACTCTAATATGTTCCCTTGGCTTTTCCAGCTTCTAGAAGCCACCCCCCATTCCTTGGATCACGGCCCCTGATTCCATCTTCAAAGCCAGAGGTGAAGCATCTTCAAATCTCCCTCTCTTACCTCTGCTTTCATCACCACATCTCCTGCTCCAATTCTGAATCTCCTACTCTCTTTCTTTTATAAAGACCCTTGTGATTGCTGGGCATGGTGGCTCCCACCCAGAATCCCAACACTTTGGGAGGTCAAGGCAGGAGGATCACTTGAGGCCCAAAGTTTGAAACTAGCATGAAAAATACAGTGAGACCCCCACCTCTAGAAAAAAATAAAAATAAATATTAGCCCGACATGGTGGTATGCGCCTGTAGTCCCAGCTACTTAAGAGGCTGAGGTGAGACAATCGATTTAGCCCAGGAGTTTGAGATCAGCCTGGACAACATAACTAAATCTTATCTCTACAAGGACGAGGTGGGAGGATCACTTGAGCCCAGGAATTTGTGGCCAGCCTGGGCAACAAAAGAAGACCCCATCTGGCCAACATGGCCAACCTGGCCACCATGGCGAAACTCTGACTCTACAAAAATGAGCTGGGCATGGGTGACATGCATGTGTAGTCCTAGCTACTTGGGAGGTTGAGATGGGAGGATTGCTTGATCTCAGGAGGCCAAAGCTATAGTGAGCTATGATCACATCACTGCACTCCAGCCTGGATGACACAGAAGATTCTGTCTCAAAAAAAAGAAAAGAAACATATATTTAATCTCTGTCCCTGGTTCATGGCATAGAGCTTCTAAAGCTCTTACAAAGACCTCAGTGATAGATGTGACAGGAACATCTTTTGTTTTAATATTTGGTCTTGGTCCCAGGTTTCTAACACAAGAGCCTCTAAGAACTTTGGGATCTCCAACATGGTAAGAATGCATTTGGGGATGTTGTTGAGATGACTGGGTGACTGCAAGCTCCTAAATTTCTTCAAGAGGAGGGCTGATTACCATGCAACCACATGGTAAGAGGCTTGGGACTTTCAGCCTCATGCACTGAACTCCAGGAGGAAGAGGGGCTGGAGACTGACTTAATCACCAACAGCCAAAGATTTTATCAATCATGCTTGCATAATAAAGCCTCCATAAACACCCTGAACGGGGTTTGCAGAGCTTTCAGGGTTGCTGGACACAGGAGATGCTGGGAGGGTCCGCATGTTCAACAGAGGGCATGGGAGCTCTGTGCCCCTCCGAACTTAACTTGCCCTGAGTATCTTTCTTTTTTTTGAGACAGGATCAGGCTCTTTTGTCCAAGCTAGAGTGCAGTGGCACAATCTCAGCTTACTGTAACCTAAGCCTCCCCAGTCCCCAGCTCAAGGTATCCTCTCATCTCAGCTTCCCTAGTAGTTGGAACTCTAGGTGCACACCACCACACCGGTTATTTTTTTTTTTTTTAATTTTTTATAGAGACAGGTTTTCACCATGTTGCCCAGGCTGGTCTCAAACTCTTGAGTTTAAGCGATCCTCCCACCTTGGCCTCCCAAAGTGCTGAGATTACAGGCATGAGCCACTGCATCCAGCATGCACGTCTCTTTCATTGACTGTTTCTGAGATGTATCCTTCACAATGAACCAGTAATAAGAAATGAACTGGCCAGATGTGGTAGCTCACATCTGTAATCCCAGCACTTTCAGAGGCTGAGGTGGGAGGATCACTTGAGACCAGGAATTTGTGGCCAGCCTGGCCAACACAACAAGACCCCATCTATACAAAAAATAAACTAGCCAGATGTGGTGGTGCAGGCATGTAGTCTCAGCTACTAGGGAGGCTGAGGTGGGAGAACCACTGGAGCCCAGACAATCAAGGCTGCAATGACCTATGACTGCACCATTGCACACCAGCCTGGGCAACAAAATAAGACCCTCTCTCTCAGAAAAAAAGAAAATAAACTGTTTTTCTGAGTTCCGTAAACTGTTCTAGCAAATTATTAAACCCAAGAAGACAGTTATGGGAACCCCCGATTGGTAACAGGTTGGTCAAAAGTATGGTGACAACTTAGGACTTGCCATTGGCATCTGAAGTGAGGATGGCCTCATGGGACTGAGCCCCTAACTTGTGGGGTCTGTGCTAACTCCAGGTAGTGTCAGAATAAAGTCATGGGATACCCAGTTAATATCCAGAGCACTGAAGAATTTGGTGTAGAAACTCCATACATACATTCAGTCGGAAGTGTGTGAGTAGAGACAAACATGGGCTTTTCTGTCACCTACCTGCTTAACTGCATAGGAGAGGCAATATGTGGTGCTCATGAACAAAGCAAACATTAAAATCAGACCAAACCCAACATTTGACTCAGTCTTAATATCCAGGTGAGCTTGGGCAAATCTTTCATTATTCCTAAGGCTTCATCACTCCATTCATAAAATGGGGATAACTGTGACACCTACCTGTGATTCTGTGAGAATTAACGAAATATTACGCTTGGGGTTATTGTGATCATTATACCTATTCCAAACTATTTGACAAGGACAGTGATGGATGATGACATCAAAAAATCAGAAACTGCAATGAGGTCTCTCAGGCAAAATTCCATACAAGCAAATTACTGTGTCTACAAAGCATTCCTGCCACACTTAATTCACCATTCCCTGAACAAAATATGCCATCTTTGTTGTTCAGGTCTGTACAGTGCTGGTTTTCCTTCCCGGGCAGTTTGCGCTATCCCATCCCAGCCCACTCCCCATCCCTCCACCTCCCCCTTCCCTCCACACTCTCATGCAACTCTTCCTCATCTTTCAGGACTTGGCTTCAATGTCACCTTAACTGGAAGCTTATCTCACTCTCCAGAAGAGCTTCCCATTGCACTTGATGCATGCACTATTATTTGATCATTTTTAAGTTATAGTCCAAATCTTTTTGTACCTGAATAACATGTTGCCCAGTCAGTCTCTCTTCCTGGATTCAGAAGTCTTTCATGGTAGATCCAGCTGGAAGTGACAAAAAGACATCTTTTGACATAAAGGGATGACACAGATAGACATAAGTTCTTAAATGTCTTAAATGTTATGTGAAAATTAAACAGAATTCAAAGACTTGTGGGGAACACTTAGGAGGGAAAGTTACTGGGAATGTCATAAAGGGTTAATTTGTATTTTATTTTATTTTATTTTATTTTATTTTAATTTTATTTTATATTTTATTTTTTTATTTTATTTTATATTTATTTTATTTTATTTTATTTTATATTTTATTTTATTTTATATTTTATTTTATTTTATATTTTATTTTATTTTATATTTTATTTTATATTTTATTTTATTTTATATTTTATTTTATTTTTTTTATTTATTTTATTTTATTTTATTTTATTTTATTTTATTTTATTTATTTTATTTTATTTTATTTTATTTTATTTTATTTTATTTATTTTATTTTTTGAGACAGTCTCATTCTGTCACCTAGGCTGGAGTCGTGGTGCAATCAGGCTCACTGCAGCCTTGACCACCTGGGCTCAAGTAATCTCACTTAATTTTTATTTGGTTTAAGAAAGTCTTGGTTGAGGGTGGTGGCTTATGCCTGTAATCTCAGCACTTTGGGAGGCTGAGAGAGGTATATTACTTGAGGCCAGGAGTTTGAGATCAGCCTGGGCAATATATTAAGACCCTGCCTCTACCAAAAAACAGAGTGAATGTGTGGAAGACAATTTTTCCACAGACTGGGAGTAAGGGAATAATTTCAGGATGATTCAAGTGCATTACATATATTGTGCACTTTATTTCTATTATTACTACATAGTAACATATAATGAAATGATTCTACAACTCACTATAACGTAGACTCAGTGGGATCTCTGAGCTTGTTTTCCTGCAACTAGACTGTCCATCTGGGGTGATGGGAGACAGTAACAGAATATCAGGCATTAGATTCTCATAAGGAGTACACAACCTAGATCCCTCGCATGCACACTTCACAACAGAGTTTGTGCTCCTATGAGAATCTAATGCTGCTGCTGATCTGACAGGACATGGAGCTCAGGTGGTCATGCAAGTGATGGGAGGGGCTAGAAATACAGATGAAGTTTCCCTTCACTCACCTGCTGCTCACCTCCAGCTCTGTGGCCCTGTGGTTGGAGACCGCTGCTCAAGTGCATTCGAAAGGATCCATCCCACGCCATTCTTCAGAGTCATCTTTACTGCTGCAGTGGTCAACTTGTAGCACCCCTAAGCTCGCAGGACATATGCTTCAACTGGCATTTCACAATCAACAGCATGTGGTAGCTTGAGTCATTGTGAGGTCACTTCCTGGAAATCATCAGCATCCCATATCCCATTAGCAAGGAGCTCAGCACTGCTCCTTGGATAACCAAACCTATTCCCAAATCCCATCTGTGTGCGTCTATCTCCTGGTACCCTTCCTAGCATCAATTCTGTATTTGTAGGAGTCCAATCAGGAGACACAAACCACTCAAAAGTTTAAACTAGAATGAGCAAGATGGCTCACATCTGTAATCCCAGCACTTTGGGAGGCCAAGGTGGGTGGACTGCTTTGAGCTCAGGAGTTTGAGAACAGTCTGGGAAACATGGCGAAACCTCATCTCTACAAAAAACACAAAAATCAGCTGGGTGTGGTGGCACTTACTTGTAATCCCAGCTACTCGGGAGGCTGAGGCAGGAGAATTGCTTGAGCCTGGCAGGTGGAGGCTGCAGTGAGCAGAGGTTGTGCCACTGTACTCCAGCCTGGGTGACAGTGTGAGACCTGGTATCAAAAAGAAAAAACGTATATATATGTAAATTTAATATAAAAAGTATTAATTTTGGCCAGGCACAATGTCTCATGCCTGTAATCCCAGCACTTTGGGAGGCCAAGGCAGACAGGTCACCTGAGGTCAGGAGTTCGAGACCAGCCTGACCAGCATGGAGAAACCCCATCTCTACTAAAAATACAAAATTAGCTGGGCATGGTGGCACATGCCTGTAATCCCAACTACTCGGGAGGCTGAGGCAGGAGAATCGCTTGAACCCGGCAGGTGGAGGTTGTGCTGAGCCGAGATAGCGCCATTGCACTCCAGCCTGGGCAACAAGAGTGAAACTCCATCTCGGAAAAAAAAAAAGGTATTACTTTTTACAGAGGATCAGCACAATGAGGGACACACTAGCACAAAGTAAAGACAACTCTAGAGAATACGGAACTAGCAGAGGCCAGGCATTGTGGCTCATGCCTGTAATCCCAGCAATTTGGGAAGCCTAGGCAGGAGGATCACTTGAGGCCAGGAGTTGGAGACCAATCAGTGCTAAATAGTGAGACCCTGTGTCTACCAAAAAAAGAAACATTAGCCAGGTGTGGTGGTGGTGCACACCCGTAGTTCCAGCTACTTGGGAGTCTGGGGTGGGAGAAATCCCTTGAGCCTGGGAAGTCTACACTACAGTGAGCCAAGATTGTGCCACTGCACTCCAGCCTGGGCGACAGAGTGAGACCCTGTCTTAGAAAGAAAAAAGAAAAGAAAGTGTTAATCCCCCTATGGGAATCTCCTCTTCTCCTGCCCTCTCTGGAACCTCACTTGTCAGTTCTTCCTCCCACTTCCCTGTATCTTTAACCTATCCCCCACTTTTAGCTCCTTCCCATCATCATTTAAATTACTCAAACTTCTTCTGTTTTAAAAACCTCTCCCTAAACTCAGTGAGAGGTCTCCTGCACACCCATTGAGCCATCTGCTCTCCCTGGTGCCTTCTCTACAGCAGCCTGAGCCATGTCTCTAATCCATGAATCTCATCATGTTACTCCATTTACATCACTTCTCCTTGCCTCAGGGATTAAGTCCAAACTCCTTAACAGCCCCTGCTCTGCCCTGCCTTGCAAGGCAGCCTTACTGCTTGCCCCTCTCCATTTCATCTGCTATGAAGTCCAACTGAGCCTCATCTGCCCCTTCAACGCACACTCTTTCTCCTCTGGGAGTCTCTGAAGTGGGTAATATCCTCTGCTTATAATATGCTTCCCCTTAAACCTCTACTCTCTTCCTAGCTAGCTTTGACTCCTCTGTCACTTGTCTGCTTTGGCATCACCTCCTCATAGAAGACTTCTTTGACTCCTGAGATTCTCAGGAGCATGGCAGGTGAGGTGCTCCTCCCATGAATGGATGGAGATTAGGGAGTGTGTGTTATTCATGCTTAATTCACCAGTGCTTAGCTGAGTACCTGGCATAAAATAGTTACTGTGGTGGCCAAAATAATAACCCCCACTGCCAGCAATTGCTCATGTCCTATGTTACACAGCACAATTACATAGGAAGGGGGAATTAAGAGTGCAGATAAAATTAATGTTGCTCATCAGCTGACCTTAAAACAAGACTATCCTGGAGTATCTAGGAGAGCCCGTGTAATTACAAGCATTCTTTAAAACTGGAAGAGGGAGGCAGAAGGTTAAGAACCAGAGACGGTGGGCACAATGGCTCATGCCTGTAATACCAATACTTCGGGAGGCCAGGGCAGGAAAATCCCTTGAGTGCAGGAGTTCAAGGTCAGCCGTGGCAACATACTGAGGTCCCATCTCTACAACAAAATAAAAACAAAATTCACTGAGTGTCACGATGCTTACCTGTAGTCCCAGCTACTGGGAAGGCTGACATGGTAGGATTGCTTGAGCCTGGGAGTTTGAGGCTATAATGAACCATGATAGGACCACTGAACTCCATCCTGAGTGACAGGGCAAGGTCCTGTTTCTAAAGAAAAAAAGGACATTGGAATCAGGGTCCTCTCCATCCTGAGGTGCCTACAAGGCATCTCTCTCTGCAAACGAGTAAACATCACCCTCCAACTCCTTACAGAGTGGAGCAGCAGGAAAACTCCTTCACCTCATTTCTGTGCTGCTTGGGAGGCCTGGACAGCCCAATAACCAGGTCCTTGCTGATGAAGCAATCAGGAAATGGCTCGAGTTGAGCTAAGGAGAATTTGGATCCTTCTTTTGGTTCTCAATAGGCAGGGTAGGGGCCAGGCATGGTGGCTCATACCTGTAATCCTTGCACTGTGGGGGGCCAAGGTGAGAGGATTGCTTGAGGCCAGGAGCTCAAGACCAGCCTGGGCAACATAGCAAGACCTGGGTGGCATACAACTGTGGTCCCTACTACTTGGTAGGATGAGGTGGGAGGATTGATCACTTGATCCCAGGAGTTTCAGGCTGCAGTGACCCATGATCACACCACTGCACTTCAGCCTGGGTGACAGAGCCAGACCATGTCACAAAAAGAAAGAAAAAAAAAGAGAGAGAGGGAGAGAGACTATACACAGGCACCACCACATTTGGCTAATTTTTAAATATTCTGTAGAGACAAGGTCTTGCTAGGTTGCCCAGGCTAGTCTAAAACTCCTGGCATCAGGCTGGGCATGGTGGCTCATGCTTGTAATCCCAGCACTTTGGGAAGCTAAGGCAGGCAAATCACCTGAAGTCTGGAGTTCAAGACCAGCCTGGCCAACATGGTGAAACTCTGACTCTATCAAAAATACAAAAATTAGTTGGGCAGGAGTGGCATGTACCTGTAGTCTCACCTACTCGGGAGGCTGACGCAGGAGAATCACTTGAACCTGGGAGGTGGAGGATGCAGTGGACCCCATCACTGCACTCCACCCTGGGTGACAGAGCGAGACTCTGTCAAAAACAACAACAACAACAATAACAAAAACAAAAACAACAACAACAAAAAAAACTCCTGGCATCAAGACATCTTCCTGTCTTAGCCTCCCAATGCCCTGGGATTATACTGTTTCCTATAATTGAAGACACTTGTTCTTATACTGCTTTAAGGTATAAAGGAAGAAAAAAAAACAGATAATGGCAAATGTTGGTGGAGGCCGGGCATGGTGGCAGCCTGTAATTCCAGAACTTAGGGAGGCTGAGGTGGGCAGATCACTTGAGGCCAGGAGTATGAGACCAGCCTGGGCAACATGGTAAAATCCCATCACTACAGAAAAATATAAAAATTAGCCAGGCATGGTGGCATACACCTGTAATTTTCAGCTACTCAGAAGGCTGAGATGAGAGAATCACTTGTGCCTGGGAGGTCAAGGCTGCAGTGAACTGTGATGGCATCATTGCACTGCGGCCTGAGAGACAGAGCAAGCCCCTATCTAGAAAAAAAAAAATGTCAGTGAAGATGTGGAGGAATTGGAACCCACATACATTACTGGCGGGAACATAAAATCGTGTAACCATTTTGTTTGGGTATTTCTTTTCTTGTCATTTTAATTGGATTTTTAAAAAATCAAGACAGGGTTTCACTATCTTGCCCAGGCTGGTCTTGAATTCATGGGCTCAAGCCATCCTCCTAGCTGAGCCTCCTGAGTAGCTGGGATTACAGGTGTGAGCCATTGTACCCAACTGGTGTAGCCATGTTAGAAAACAGTCTGGCAGTTTCTCAAAAGGCTAAATGTACAGTCATCTTATAATGCAACAATTTCACTCCTAGGCATATATCCCAGAAAAATAAAAATATATGTCCACACAAAAACTTGTACAACAATCTTCATAGCAGCATTATTCATAATGACCAATACATGGAATACATGGAAACAACCCAAATATCCACCAACTGATGAACAGATAAACAAAATGCAGTGTGTCTCTACCATGGAATACTGCCATAGACGGAATGAAATATTGATACACACTATGACATAAAGGAACTTTGAAAACACTGTGCTAAGAGGGAAAAAAAGCCACAAAAGATCACATATTGTACAATTCTATTTGTCCAGATTAGGCAAATCTATAGTGACAAAAAATTAATCAATGGTTGCCTAAGGCTGGGGCGAAGGTAGGTGGGGAGAGTAGGAGGTAGTGGCTAAGGGGTATGGATTTCTCTATAGGGTAATGAAAGGTTCTAAAAGTGACTGTGGGTGATCGATGCACAGCTCTGTGAATATTCTAAAACCTACTGAATTGCAGATTTCAATAAATAAAGTGAATGGTATGTGAATATTTTAATAAAGCTATTATTTATAATAATAATAATAGGGGGCTGGGCACAGGTGGTCATGCCTGCCTGTAATCCCAGCACTTTGGGAGGCTGAGGCAGGAGGATCACTTGAGGTCAGGAGTTTTGAGCCCAGTCGGAGCAACGTGGCAAGATCCCGTCTCTATGATAAAAAATTAGCTGGACATGGTGGCACATGTCTGTAGTCCCAGCTACTTGGGAGACTCAAGTGAGAGAACCGCTTGAGCCCAGGAGTTTGAGGCTACAGTGAACCATGATCATGTCACTGTACTGTAGCCTGAGCAACAGAGCAAGACGCTGTCTCTGAAAAGGAAAGAAAACAAATGCAAGTTTTTATCACTTTGTGAGTGTAGCCAAGTTGGAGGAGAAATAGACAATAATAAAAGAGCACTGAATAATGACGGTGAGTGGCTGGTTAGGCTCAGTTGCTAGCTAAATGGCTTCTAAAAAATTCAATAAAGTTACAGCTCTGGGGACAGTCATGTAGTCAAAGAATGAACCCTAAATTCATTACAAATGCCCATGGTCTTTATTTACATGCCTTCTAGTGAAAAATTCCTAAGTGCCTAAATAGCAAGTCTGCAATGATAGCAGCTGTTTATTAAAGACTACAAAAAAGAAATGGAGGCCGGGCATGGTTGCTCACATCTGTACTCCTTGAGTTTTGGGAGGCTGAGGCAGGCAGATTGCCTGAGGTCAGGAGCTCCAGAGGAGCCTGGCCAACATGGTGAAACCCCATCTCTACTAAAAATACAAAAATTAGCTGGGTATGGTGGCGGGCGCCTGTAATCCCAGCTACTCGGGACGCTGAGGCAGGAGAATTGCTTGAACCCAGAAGGTGAAGGTTGCAGTGAGCCAAAATCGCACCATTGCACTCCAGCCTGGGTGACAAGAGAAAGACTCTTAGCTTAAAAAAAAAGAAAAAAAAGAAATGGCATCTTCTTCAAGAATTACATCGTGTTTCATGATAAAGAAACTCTAATTTTGCATTTGTTCAAGTATTGATGAGATTTAGCCAATATGACACCCATCTTGGATAAAATGCAAACAACACAATTTCATTTTCTCATTAACAAAACCGATTAAGTAGTCTAATATCAATTCTGATCTTATTAAAAACTGATCAGATTTAAAAAATTATGGAATTATGGAGCCAATAAGATGTTACAACCTGTTCCAAGGGGAATTCCAAAATCCACACATATCTGAGACCATCAAGTATGATGAAATATATTTGATTACTATATTGAAAAATAAACTGATTACATAGCCAACAATTGGACAGGGGTCTCCTCATCCACAGCCACACAAACCCGATCATGCAGCTATGTGGTTACAAGGCCTACATAGCCTAGAAGGGACTGGTCTGACTTGAGATTTCATTTGTATTTGTATTTTGAGACAGGGTCCCACTCTGTCACCCAGGATGGAGTGCAGTGGTATAATCATAGCTCACTGCAACCTCGACCAACTGGGCTCAAGAGATGCTCCTGCCTCAGCTGCCCCCATACCTGGGAATACAGGCAAGTACCACCATGTCAGGCATTTTTTTCATTTTTGTAGAGAGAGAAGTCTTGCTATGTTGCCCAAGCTGGCCTCAAACTCCTAGAATCAAGAGATCTGCCCATCTCAGCCACATGAGTAACTGGGGCCATAGGTACATACCATCATGCCTGGCTATATTTATTTTATTAAATTTATTTTTTTTTATTTTTGTAGAGACGAGGTCTTGCTGTGTTGCCCAGGCTGCTCTCAAACTCATGGCCTTAAAACATACTCCCATCTCTGCCTCTCAAACTGTTGGAACTACAGGTGTGAGCCACTGCACCTGGCCTGACTTGAGATTTCTTTTATCTAGCATCCTTTACTTGGTAGGATTGGGAAAGGCAGTAGTGTTTTTTAAAATTACTTAATAATTCAATCAGAATCAAAGTCAACCTTGACCACTGCCTTCTCTCACAGCTCACATCCAGTCTGTCAGGAAATCCTACTGACTGACTTCAACATGTATCCAGGCTCTGACCATCTCTCACCACCACCGTGAACCCAGTCAGGATCACTATAATCTCCCACCGGGATGTTGCCACAGCTTGGCCCCCATGCTTCTACCCAAATCTTCCCATAGTCTTTCTCAACTTGGCAGCCAGTTCGTGCTTTTAAATCAGGAGACAGATCACATCGCCTCTCTGCTCAGAAGCCCTCGGTGGTTCCCATTTTAGTCAGAGTAAAAGCCAAAGCCCCAGCAATAGCGTCCCAGGGCTTACACAATCTGTACCAATCCCAGCCCAGCAACTCCCTGGCCTCCTCGCTGACTTCACTCCCTCTATCTCTTTGCTCCACTGGCCTCCTTCCAGAGCCTCAGACACACCAGAGAGTTTCCTTCTAATGCCTTTATCCTGTTGACTCAGCCTACAATGCTCTTCCCTCAGCACCTTGGCCAGCTCCATCACCTGCTTCAAACTTTTGCTCAATATTCACTTATGAGGCCAACCCTGACCACTCTACTTAACACTGCCATCTGTCCCCATTCCTACCATGCTCATTTCTTTCTTTCTTTTTGAAACAAGGTCTTGCTTTATTGCCCAGGCTGGAGTACACTGGTGCAATCACAGCTCACAGCAACTTCAACCTCCCAGGCTTAAACAATCCTCCCGCCTCAGCCACCCTAGGAACTGAGACTACAGCTGCATGCCACAACACATGGCTTTTTTTTTTTTTTTGAGACGGAGTCTCGGTCGCCCAGGCTGAAGTGTAAGGGTGCCATCTTGGCTCACTGCAATGTCTGCCTTTTGGGTTCAAGTGATTCTCTGCCTCCCGAGTAGCTGGGATTACAGGCACCCACCACCACACCTGGCTAATGTTTGTATTTTTAGTAGAGATGGGGTTTCACCATCTTGGCTAGGCTGGTCTTGAACTTCTGACCTCGTGATCCACCCTCCTCGGCCTCCCAAAGTGCTGGGATTACAGGTGTGAGCCACTGCGCCTGGCCTTTTAAAAAAATTTTTTTTAGACATGAGGTCTCATTATGTTGCCCAGGCTGGTCTTAAGCTCCTGGGCTTAAGCAATCCTCCCACCTCAGCCTCCTAAAGTTCTGGGATTACAGGCGTGAGCAACTGTAACATGAGGTCCCAGCTTCATGTTCATTTTTTGTTGTTACTACAACAAAGTACCCTACATTCAGTGGCATCAAACACCACAAATCTACCATCTTACAGTTCTGGGGGCCAGAAGCCCAACTAGGTCTATTAAGGCTGAAGTCAAGGTGTCAGAGGGGCTGCATTCCTTCTGGGGGAGGCTCTAGACAGAATGTGCTCCTTTGCCTTTTCCAGCTTCTAGAAGCCACCCCCATTCCTTGACTTACCTCGTGACTCCATATTCAAGGCCAGAAGTGCAGCATCTTCAAATCTCCCTCTCTGACCTCTTCTTCCATTACCACATCACTTTCTCTAATTCTGACTCTCCTACCTCCTTCTCTTATAAAGATCCTTGTGATTGGTGGGTATGGGGGCTCCCATCTGTAATCCCAACATTTTGGGAGGCCAAAGAGGAAGGACTGCTTGAGGCCAAGAGTTAGAGATCAGCCTGGGGAAAATAGGAAGACCCTGCCTTTACAAAATTAAAATTAAAATCAGCTGGACATGGTGATGCATGCCTGTAGTTCCAGCTACTGGAGAGGCTAAGGTGGGAGGATTGCTTTAGCCTAGGAGGTCAAGGCTGCAGTGAGCTATGATCACATCACTGCACTCCAGCCTCAGTGGCAGAGTGAGACTGAAAAGAAATATACATTTGGTCTCTGCCCCTGGTTCCTGGCATAGAGCTTCCAAAGCTCTTATAAAGCCCTTCGTGACAGAGGTAATAGGAGCATTTTCTGTTTTGATATTTAGTCTTAGTCCCAGGTTCCTGACACAAGGGCCTCTAAGGTCTTCCAGAACTGCAGCATGGTAAGAATGCATGTGGGATGCTGTTGAGCTAACAGGGTGGCTGCAAGCTCCTAGACTGCTTCAGGAGGAGGGCTAGCTGCCAGAGAAAGCAACCACATTTTTCTTTTAAAATGGAGTTTGGGTCTTGTAGCCCAGGCTGGAGTGCAATGGCACAATCTCAGCTCACTACAACCTCCACCTCCCAGGTTCAAGCAATTCTCCTGCCTCAGCCTCCCGAGTAGCTGGAATTATAGGGATGTGCCACAACGCCTAGCTAATTGTTGTTATTTTTAGTAGAAACGGGGTTTCACCATGTTGGTCAGGCTGGTCTCAAACTCCTGACCTCAAGTGGTCCATGTGCCTCAGCCTTCCAAACTGCTAGGATTACAGGAGTGAGCCACCGCACCTGGCCCCAGCACATTTTTTGAGGCTTGGAACTTTCAGCCTCACCTGCTGAACTCCAGGAGGCAAAAGGAACTGGAGATTGACTTAACTACCAATGGCCAATGATTTTATCAATCATGCCTCCATAAAAACCCAAACAGCAGGGTTTGGAGAGCTTCTGTGTTGCTAAACACAAGGAGGTCCTGGGAGGGTAGTGTGCCCAACAGAGGGCATGGAAGCTCTGTGCCCCTCCCCACTTACCTTGTCCTGTGCATCTCTTTCATTGGCTGTTCCTGAGATGGAGCCATTACATTGAGCCAGTAATAGAAAATACGGTGGCCAGATGCGCTGGCTCATGCCCATAATCCCAGCACTTTGGGAGGCAGAGGTGGGCAGAATCACTTGAGCCTAGGAATTTGAGACCAGCCTGGTCAACATAAGAAGACCCCATCTATACAAAAAATAAAAGAAATTAGCCAAATGTGGTGGTGGGAACCCTGTAATTCCAGCTACTTGAGAGGCTGAAGCAGGAGAATCACTTGAGCCCTGGAGGTTGAGGCTTCAATGAGCTATGATTGCACCACTGCACACCAGCCTGGACAACAGAGCGAGGCCCTGTCTCTTAAAAAGAAAAGAAAAAAACCTGTTTTTCTAAGTTCCGTGAGTTGTTCTAGTAAATAATTAAACTCAAGAAGAGGGTCATGGGAAACCCTGATTTCTAACTGGTTGGTCAAAATACAGGTGACAACCTAGGACTTGCAACTGGCATCTGAAGTGAGGGTGGTCTTGTGGGACTGAGCCCCTAACCTGTGGGTTCTGCGCTAACTCTAGGTAGTGTCAGAATGGAATTGTGGGATACGCGGTTGGTATCCAGAGAGTTGGAGAACTGGTGTAGAAACTCTGCACACACATTTGGTCAGAAGCCTGTGAGTAGAGAAAAACGTGTTGCGGGAAGTCAGGGACCCCAAACGGAGGGACCGGCTGAAGCCACGGCAGAAGAACATAAATTGTGAAGATTTCATGGACATTTATTAGTTCCCCAAATTAATACTTCTATAATTTCTTAGGCCTGTCTTTACTGCAATCTCTGAACATAAATTGTGAAGATTTCATGGACACTTATCACTTCCCCAATCAATACCCTTGTGATTTCCTATGCCTGTCTTACTTTAATTTCTTAATCTGGTCATCTTCGTAAGCTGAGGATGAATGTCCCCGCAGGACTCTGTGATAATTGCGTTAACTGCACAAGTTGTTTAAACAATATGAAACCTGGGCACCTTGAATAAAGAACAGGATAACAGCAATTTCAGGGAACAAGGGAGATAACCTTAAACTTTGGCTGCCTGTGGGCCGAGTAGAACAGAGCCATATTTCTCTTCTTTCAAAAGCAAATAGGAGAAATATTGCTGAATTCTTTTTCTCAGCAAAGAACATCCCTGAGAAAGAGAATGCATCCCTAAGGGGAGGCCTCTGAAATGGCCGCTTTGGGGACGGCTGTCTTTTACAGTCGTAGATAAGGGATGAAATAAGCCCTGGGCTTGCGTGGCACTCCCAGGCTTATCAGGACAAGGAAATTCCCGCCTAATAAATTTTGGTCAGATGGGTTTTCTGCTCTCAAACCCTTTCTCCTAAGATGTTACCAATGACAATGCGTGCCCGAAACTTCATTAGCAATTTTAATTTCGCCCCGGTCCTGTGGTCCTGTGATCTTGCCCTGCCTCCATTTGCCTTGTGATATTTTATTACCTTGTGAAGCAAGTGATCTCTGTGACCCACACCCTATTCGTACACTCCCTCCCCTTTTGAAAATCACTAATAAAAACTTGTTGGTTTTGCAGCTTGCGGGGCATCACGGAACCTGCCGACATGTGATGTCTCCCCTGGACACCCAGCTTTAAAATTTCTCTCTTTTGTACTCTTTCCCTTTATTTCTCAGATCGGCCGACACTCAGGGAAAACAGAAAAGAACCTACATGAAATATCAGGGGTGAATTTCCCCCGATATCACACGGGCTCTTCTCTCACCTGTCTAACTGCTTAACTGCATAGGAGAGGCAATGCATGGTGCTCATGAACAAGGCAAGCATTAAAGTCAGACCAGACTAACATTTGATTCAGTCTTAATATTCAGGTGAGCTTGGGCAAATCACTCATTAACCCCAAGTCTTCATCATTTTGTGCATATAATGGGGATAACTGTGGCACCCACCTGTTTTTGTGAGAATCAATGAAATATTATGCTTGATGTTACTGTGATCATGATACTATCTGACAAGGGCAGTGATGCATGATAACATCAAAAAATTAGAAACTGTAATGAGGTCTCTTGGGCAAAATTCCATACAAGTAAATTACTGTCTCTACAAAGCATTTCTGCTACACTTAATTCACCATTCCCTGAACAAAATGTGCCATCTTCATTGTTCAGGTCTGTATAGTGCTGGTTTCCCTGCCTGGGCAGCTCACTCCATCCCATCCCAGCCCAATCCCCATCCCTCCACCTCCCCCTTCCCTCCCCACTCTCATACAATTCTTCCTTATCTTACAGGACTTGGCTTCAATGTCACCTTAACTGGAAGCTTCTCTCCCTCTCCAGAAGAGCTTCCCATTGCACTTGATGCATGCACTATTATTTGATCATTTTTGAGTTACAGTCCAAGTCTTTTTGTACCTGAATAACATGTTGCCCAGTCAGTTTCTCTTCCTGGATTCAGAAGTCTTTCATGGTAGGTCCAGCTAGAAGTGACAAAAAGACATTTAAAAAAAAAAAAAAAAGAGGGATGACACAGACAGACATCAGCACTTAAAAGTTTTAAACGATATGTGAAAAACAAAATTTAAGGGCTTCTAGGAGAAATGTAGGAGGGAAGGTGTTACTGGGAAATATGATAGAAGGTTAATTTTTATTTTATTTTTAGAGAAAGGGTCTTGCTCCATCACCTAAGCTGGACTGCAGTGGTGCAATCACAGTTAACTGCAACCTCAACCTCCAGGGCTTGAGCAATATTCCCATCTAATTTTTATTTTGTTTAAGAAATGCAGTCTTGCTCTTAGCAAAGCTAAAGTGCAATGGTGTGATCATAGCTTACTGCAGCCTCAACCTTCTAGACTCAAGTGATCCTCCAGTCTTAGCCTCCCCAGTAGCTGGGACTACAGGTGTGCACTGCAACGTGTAGCTCATTTTTTTTTTTAATTTTTAGTAGAGACAAAGTGTCACTATGTTGACCAGGTTGGTGGTGATCTCCTATACTCAGGCAGTTCTCTCACCTCAGCCTTCCAAAATGCTGGGATTACAGGTGTGAGCTGCCACACCTGGCTGAGGGGGTTAATTTTTAATTATATAAAGAGCTCAAAGCAAATATTAGAAGGAGCCTAAATGCCTCCAGCAGTTG
This sequence comes from Homo sapiens, assembly GCF_000001405.40. NCBI lineage: Eukaryota > Metazoa > Chordata > Mammalia > Primates > Hominidae > Homo > Homo sapiens. The sequence goes on along the minus strand of NC_000010.11, from coordinate 38,425,162 downwards.
ACTGGTACTGGTAAATTGTGATACATCCATATAATAAAATATTATGCAACCATGAAAAGGATTAAGATAGATCAATTGGTATTGGCACAAATGTCCACGAAATATGAAAATATGAAGTGATGTTCAATCACCATGTACGTATCTTGAAGGATATGGCCCATTTTCTCAATTGCAATTATTTCCTGAGATAAGATTATGGGTCTAAAGAGTGAAGGACATTTTTCACTTATTTAAAAGTATTTATTATTTTTATAATTTAATAAAAGATTAAACAGATCATTGAATTAGTAAAAGACAAAGTAACTCTATAAATAAATGGAAAAGACACAGATACCCCAGGCATGGTGGCTCATGCTTATAATACCAGTACTTTGGGAGGGGGTGGTGGGGGGATTGCTTGAGGCCAGGAGTTCCAGACCAGCCTAAGAAACAAAGCAAGACCTCCTCTCTAGTAAAAATAAAAAAATAAAAATAATTGGCCAGGCATAGTGGCATGTGCCTATAGTCCCAACTACTGAGGTGGAAGGATCACCTGAGCCTAGGAGGTCAAGGCTGCAGTGAGTTGAGACTGTGCCACTACACTGAAGCCTAGGAGACAGAGCGATACTTCATCTCAAAAAAAAAAAAAAAAAAAAAAAGGACAATAAAGAAATAAAGCTAATAAGCTAACATAAGGAAAGATAAAATATGTGACAAATAGGCTGGGCACATGGCTCACAGCTGTAATCAAGCACTTTGGGAGGCCAAGGCGGGTAGATCACGAGGTCAGGAGTTCGAGACCAGCCTGATCAACATGGTGAAACCACATTTCTACTGAAAATACAAAAATTAGCCAGGCATGGTGGCATGTGCCTGTAATCCCAGCTACTCAGGAGGCTGAGGCAGGAGAATCACTTGAACCTGGGAGGCACAGGTTGCAGTGAACTGAGATCACACCACTGCACTCCAGCCTGGTCGACAGAGCGAGACTGCATCTCAAAAAAGAAAAAAGAATGGGTGACAAAGTAATAATATGAGGTCTTTCATTTATCACACAGAAAATAACTTGTTAAATTATAATACCTGTGTGGGCGAAGGTGCAGTGAAATGGCCATTTTCTTGTAGTATTAGTGGTGTTTAAAATGTATATAAGCCTTCCAGCATAAAGCTTGGAAATTTTTTTTAAATCATACAGACAGTGACTGCCTCCTCCAACTCCTGGCCTCAAGCAATCCTCCCACCTCAGCCTCCCAAAGTGCTGGAATTACAGGCTGACAGCCACCATGCCTGAAAGCTTTGCAATTTACATCAAGGGTAATAAGAATGTTCATGCCCTGTGACTCACAGTAATCTCACTTCTGGAAATTTCATCTTTGGATACAATTCAACCTAAACAAAAGGTCATATGCACAAACACAGTGAAAATCTGGGAGTAATTTTTTTCTCTTTTTTTAAAAAAATATGGAATGCTTCACAAATTTGCATGTCATTCTTTCACAGAGGCCGTGCCAATCTCTCTATTGTTCCAACTTAAGTATGTGTGCTACTGAGGCAAGCATGAGTAATTTAAAATAGAGTGGTTAAGTGAAATAAGGAAGAATTATGGAGAATTTAAAAATCTATGCTATTTATAGGCACCTAGTAACAGCTCAGTAAATATTAGCTGCTACTATTATTATTTTTATGGTAATTTCACTCAATTAAAAACTGTCATTAAAAATTACCATTGTCATGGAACATAATGTCTCCTACTGTATAATTGTAAAAACAGATACAATTTGTCCCTTGGTATATGGGGGGATTAGTTCCAGCTCTCCCATTTCTGTGTATACCAAAATCCACGCATACTCAAGTTTTCGAAGTCAGTCCCGTGGAATCCACATATAACACAAATGGGAAAATTAGTGAGGTGTGGTGACAAGCACCTGTAGTCCCAGCTACTTGTGAGGCTGAGGCAGGAGGATTGCTTGAGCCCAGGAGGTTGAGGCTGCAGTGAGCCATAATTGCACCACTGCACTCCAGTCTGGGCAACAGAGTGAGACAGAAGGTTGACTTTTTAATAGAATTTTTCTGTTCACTTGAAGATATGGTCAGGATTGTGGCATATGAAAATTCTTCATAAAATAACTAATCCAATTAATGCTGGAATTGGGAACAGCAGAAGTGTCATCTCAGAGCTACTCACAATGAAAGGTGATGTCTGGGGCTCAGGTGTGTTGAGATCCCCATGCCTGGACTATGGGTGCTGAGTGGGATTTACTTGTCCATCCATTTTCTATATTCCAGCACTGGGAAACTAGGGTTTATCCATCTTGATGTCATTTAAATTCCACTTCACAAGAACCACAAATGGAAGAAAGGCCATGAAACCGCAGGACAGTACTTGTTCTCAAGGGAATCTTCAGCTTAGGTGGCTCTGTAAAAGAGAAATTACATTGTTGAAAAATCGTCGCAGGTCAGGTGAGGTGGCTCATACCTATAATCCCAGCCCACGGGGAGACTAAGGCAGGAGGATTCCGTGAGGCCAGGAGTTCAAGACCAGCCTGAGCAACACAGTGAAACCTCATCTCTACAAAAAATTAGAAAATGAACTGGGTGCGGTAAAACATTCGTATAGTCCCAGCTCCTCTGGAGGCTGAAATATGAGGATCACTTGAGCCCAGGAAGTGGAAGCTGCAGTGAGCTCTGATCTCACCACTGCACTCCAGCCTGGGTGACAGAGTGAGACCCTGTCTCAAGACACACACACACACACACACACACACACACACACACACACAATCTCAGTCTGTCCAGCCTTGACTAATCAAAAGGGCCTTCTGGTTACAGAAGAGGTATACTCTTTTGTAGGACAGGGAGAGACCAGCAAGCTTGTTCATAGACTTTTCCTCATCCTCTGCTTAGTTTTCCAAGAACCCTCACAGTGGAAATGGAGTCTCTGGGAAAATGACCTAAATCTTTGGGTTACCAGGGGAAAAATATGCCTCCTTTGTCAATTAATAAATGGAACATCTGCCTTAAAATCCAGGGAGTTCTGCTAGAATGAATCACTCCCTAAGACCCTGACCTACGCATGGAACATGAAAAACTGAAGTTTAACTGGGTGCGGTGGATCACACCTGTAATCCCAGCACTTTGGGAGGCTGAGGCGGGCAGATCACCTGAGGTCAAAAGTTCTAGATCAGCCTGGCCAACATGGTGAAACCCCATCTCTACTAAAAATACAAAAATTAGTTGGGCATGGTAGTGGACACCTGTAATCCCAGCTACTCGGGAGGCTGAGGCAGGAAAATGGCTTGAACCCGGAAGGCAGAGGTTGCAGTTACTTCCAGAAGAATTTCCATTAGCCCTTTGGAATTCTTCAACATTCATAAAGGCCAAAGAGTTTTCACCTAATTTAATCTGATGGGTATGTGACCAGAGTCTTTCTAGGGAATAGAGACTCCCAAACAGTTCAACTGGGAAGTGAGGAGAGAATTTATTACTCAAAATCAAAGGGAAATGAAAAGAGGCCAACATAGAATGTCATTATTCTTTCTTGGCGGGGAATGGATTCCAGAGTCATTCTGTGACCTTTACATGACCTCCTTATTAGCATCTAAAAGCTTCCAGTGTAGGATGCAGCCAGCTAGGTTCTCTTCTAATGTAATAAAATTTGCTTCAGCAAATCTTATGCAGAGCCATCTCCAGGCTCCAGAAACAATAGGCTATAAATTACTGGATCTCCCATTTGATACAATGAAGTATAAGCACAGTCCTGAATGACTCCTCTACATACTACTCTGGGTGGCTTGAAGTGAATTTGATACAAGAACTGGAGCGAGTGCAAAGCATAGCTAGATCTAGGATTAATGTGCTTGGGCCCAGCTCCTCACTACTCACCTATGAGTCTAGTTCCAGAACCCAAGTAGAGGATGGGGAAACAAGGCTCCTGACTTTTTTTCCCTAATGTCTGCATCTCTTTCACATTTCTTATCTCCTTGCAAAGAAACTAAACAGGCTCAACTGAAATAACTAAATGATTAAATCCTATACAGAGAATCTCCAAAGACTGACAAAATATCATTCAAGACCGTTACACAGACAACCTTGAGGATGACTTGATGTACCAGTGATCTACAATATTTGGGATCATTCCAAATTCCCATCAAGGATCTGCCTATATCAACAAAGGAGCCAAGGACCAACCATTCAAATGGGCCCTGCTGCCAAGCCTTTTTTTTTTTTTACAATGCCATCTCTTCATATTGTTCCATTTAACAAAACTGCAGCCCTTCATCTATCCTTAAGCCCCTTGGCCAATGGTACAGAGCCAGAGTATGCTACTCCCTAGCAAGAAATCAACAGGATGACCTACTAAACACCATTCAGAAGATGCTAAGACCCATGAATTACAACAGGAAAGAAAAGACAGAGAATTAGTCAGATAGGTACATGCTGTGCCAAAAATGCACTACAGCCCCCACCCAATTCTGCCTAATCCTAGCTGGGCTGACACCAACCTGATGAGACAGGACTATAAGATCTCAAACTAAAACAGAAACTCCTGAACTGGATTCTTTCGAGCCCAGGAAGCAGCAGTAAATCATTAAAGAACAGATACGTTCTTAAGGTGAGGGACAGTTTCAGATAAATGGAATGCTGGTAGAACACAGGGCCCAAAGGAGCAAAAGTTAACGTAAGCCCAGGTAGAACCTTATTTACTAGAGTATTAGGCATGGGTTGGGGCAACTATTCTAACCTGAGAAACTGGCTTCAGTGAGGGCAAGTTGGCAATCCAAGGTATAGCATGCATAGGGCTGGCAAAATTCAGGGTGACTGAAGCAAAAGCTTCAGAACCAGAAAGACCACATCTGAGGGTAGAGCACAAAACTCTCAAGAGATGAATCTTTGTAAGAGTGAGGCAGAACTACATAGCAGTTTTAGGAGATCTGTTGGTGCCCAGCAAGAGCTCCAAACGGGCTATATGCAGGGATGCAGGCTGTAGTCTCAGGAGAGGAGGTTCACAAAAGTCATTCAGTCCAAGACCTCAAACTGTGTTCTCTACTAAAAGGAATCAAGGTTCCCTAGAGAAATGGCTGACTCCATGTATGGTGCAGTATATTGATCCTGGAACATCTTTTTTGCCAGAAAGCAAGGAAGCCATCAAAGTCCAACAGGATCCCGTCAAAAAGACATGAAAGTCAACTTGAAGAGATAATTATTAACCTAGATGAGACAATGAAAGCATCCAAAACAATAAAGACTGTAATGGCCTGAAATACATCAAATGCAAACAATAATCTATGAGTTCATAATGGTATTCAGAAAAAAAACTACTGGTCATTAGAGGGAAGGTTACTAGGTCACTAACTTACTACTCTGAAAAGTGACTTAAGATGAGAGGTAGGGTGGAGAATTAGCTATTTATTCAGTCTTTCCTGTACAAACATAAATTTTTAGGGAGATTGAAGCAGACAAAACAAATCTGGAAAAATGGAGGTAACTGCTTAATCTGCGGGTTGGGTGCATGGAGGTTCAACATATTTCTTTTGTGTATATTTGAACCCCCTACAAAAAAAGCACAAGACAGAATGTGAGCCAAGCAGCTTAGGGTTTAGGCAAGGCTTCTGCCTACAAGAGACACTAGGATATGAGGGGTAGTTTTAGCCCTGATGGGCTGAGCCAACTGGAGGTATATAGGGAGGTGCTAAATTGCAGAGGTATCATGTTGCCCAGCACTTGATCAAATCCTAGATCCTAGGTCTGCTTGGTAGCATGCTTCCTAGGTAGTGGATCTGAGGCTACCTATAGAACTTCCTTTGCAGTCATAATTCACTCAGAAACTACAAAAGTGCTTGCTCTTGAAAACGGAGTCTTTGTCCATTTCATGCTTCTATAAAAGAATACCACAGACTGCATAATTTATAAAAAGGAAAAAAGGAAGGAAAGAAAAAAGGAAGGAAGGAGGGAAGGAGGGAAAGACGGAAGGAGGGAAGGAAAGGAAGGAAGGGAAAGAAGGAAAGGAAGGAAGGGAAAGAGAGAAAGAGGGAAGGAGGAACGGAGGGAAGGAGGGAGGGAGGGAGGGAGAGAGAGAGGGAGGAAGGGGAAGGGAAGAAAAGGGAGAAGGGAAAGGAGGAAGAAAAGGAAAGGAAAGGAATAAATTTTATTTCTTAACAGTTCTGGATGTTAGGAAGTCCAAGGTTGAGGGGCCTGCATCTGGTAAGGGTCTTCTTGCTGCATCATCCCACTACAGAAGGCAGAAGGAAAAGAGAGTGCAAGAAAGCAAGAGGGCAAAAGGGGCTGAACTCTGTTTTATAATAAGCCCACTCTGTGATTACTAATCTATTACCACAATAACAACATTAACTCATTCATGAAGGCTATTTTATTAGGCCCCACATCCCAACTGTTGCATTGAGGATTGAGTTTCCAGCACATAAACTTTGGGGGACACATTTAAACCATAGCAGAGCACTTAGGTTAATTCAACTAAGAGGAGCTGGGAAAATCAAAGGCATGAGAAAGACAGCAAAAGCTAGCAGAGAGAAATGCATAGGTTAAGGAAAAAAGTCACAGTGAATCCTGTAGTGCAGGCTACTTTATCAAAAGCACCTAAAAAAGATCTCATTAACTCCCCCAGCTCACCTCCACCCACATCTAAAGAGCCACACACAGCACCACCAAAGGCAGCACAATGAGAACAGCATTCTCCTCAACAGACAAGCTGGGAGTATCTAGACACCTGACCTCTATAGCTCCAGAACAGCCCTAAAACAGTTCCTCCCTAAGCACCACTCAAGTCACCAGCTTGGAAAGTATTAAGAAAACCCAAATCCTGACACACCACTATGAAACAACTTAAAACAGCAAAGAACAACCCATTTAAACAGCAATGCCAGCTGCTGGGAAAAAATAGAACAATGAGTAGAGGAGAAACAGGCCTCTTGGGGTCCACCAAGACCCAGTCTCTCAGCTCCAGCACTTTCAAATGCAGAATCCATACCCCTCTGGGGCCTGTGGAGCTCCACAAGGCATGTCGTTCTCAAAGATAAATGAGCAGGCAAGCTGGCTAGAAAACCACTAAGGGTATTATTCTTTAAAGAATCTTTATAGGGTCAAAGAGGAATGGGTCTTAACTGGCTATGTGAACTCCCCACAGATTCTGAGGATGATGTCAGTATCCCTTTCCAGATGTGTTTAACACTTTGCAGTCACTTGTATTCCTGCCACTGAGTGCCAGTGCTTTGCTAATTTGCTCACGCTGACCCCAGCTCCCTGGATGTTACCATTAGCCAAGACTGTCACCCATACTGTACCCTTTCAAAGAGTCCTAAAAACAGCTCTTCACCTACTCTTCCAAGACAAGTAAAAATGTCTGCCAAAGAAATGGGGAAAAAAGATTCAGAGAGTGAAAACAATTAATATACTAAGAGAGCAAAAAGCAAAGGGGGAGGAGAAACTAGGAAAATCATATATGGGCTCACACCTATTTCCAAAGCTGGGCTAATGTCCTTTTGCCTGTGTCTGAATAAGGCACCAATTTTAAGCTGCTAATGAAAAAAAAAAGAAAAAGAGAAAGAAGCAGGCCCAGGCTGGGCGCAGTGGCTCATGCCTGTAATCCCAGCACTTTGGGAGGCCGAGGCGGGTGGATCACCCAAGGTCAGGAGTTCTAGACCAGCCTGGTCAACATGGTGAAACACCATCTCTACTAAAAATACAAAAAATTAGCCAGGCATGGTGGCACATGCCTGTAAATCCAGCTACTCAGGAGGCTGAGGCAGAATTGCTTGAACCTGGAAGGCAGAGAATGTGGTGACCTGAAATCACGCCATTGCCCTCAAGCCACGGCAATGAGAAAAAAATTCAGTAAAAACAAAACAAAACAAAACCACCATAAAATAACTCAGACTTAATTAAATACAACCCTAGTGGTGAATGACTAAAGATGGATTACTCATAACAGAGATAACAGTCCAATAAGAATCCAGGAATCTTACCTTTTAATAACAAAAAAATCCTTTCCTTCGAAAGTAACATCCTCTCAAGGCCAGGAATTCCATTAGTAGAAAGCCTTCCTAAAAAACAAAATTCCTGGCCAGGCATGGGTTCACATCTGTAATCTCAGCACTCTTGGAGGCCGAGGTGGGAAGATCACTTGATGTCAGGAGTCGAGGCGGGAAGATCACTTGACGTCAGGAGTTCGAGACTGGCCCGGCCAACATGGTGAAACCCCATCTCCACTAAAAATACAAAAATTAGCCTGGTGTGGTGGTGGGCACCTGTAATCCCAGCAACTTGGGAGGCTAAGGCAAGAGAATTTCTTGAACCCAGGAGGCAGAGGTTGCAGTGACCAGCAAGGTTGCGCCATTGCACCCCAGCCTGGGCGATAAGAGTGAAAACTCCATCTCAAAAAAAAAAAAAAAATTCCTTTGGGAAGGCCTTCTACATAAAAATCTTCAACATGAGACTGGACAAAAGGGTATGGGATCATCACTGGACCTTTGGCTTTTACAGCTCGAGCTATAAGAACAAAAAGAAAAAGGGATATCAATTAAACACAGTATGTAGAAAAGAATAATTATTGAATCTGTACTGGTCTTTAACTTTTACACTTTGATCTTTAATTCTGTTATTGTGATTGAGTCCAAAGAAAAATAGTATGAGTAAAATAAAAAGAACACCAAAAATGCTAATATTCTGTTTACCAAAGTCTGTAGTGAAATATTCCATTAAATCCAAGTGCAGTGACACACCCATAATCCCAGCACTTTGGGAGGCTGAGGCGGGTGAATCTCCTGAAGTCAGGAGTTCAAGGCCAGCCTGGCCAACATGGTGAAACCCCAACTCTACTACAAATACAAAAATTAGGCAGGCATGGTGGCAGAGGCCTGTAATCCCAGCTACTTAGGATGCTGAGGCAGGGAGAATTGCTTGAACCCAGGAGGTGAGCTTGCCATGAGCTGAGATCATACCACTGCACTCCAGCGGGGGCGACAGAACAAAACTTCAACCTCCAAAAAAAAAACAGCTAGCAGGTGACATTTGCTATGGGGAGACTAGGGATATGATCTTGCTGCAATCCTTCCATTTTAGTAAATCTAAACAGTGTGAATCCATTCTGTTTCGTCCCCACTCCACTCCAGAGCCAAAACAAGAAAATCAATTATATTTCTAGTTCTTTAAAAACATGTCTAACTAAATCATCTAATTAAAAGATAATATGCATGGTTCCATACTCTAAAAGAAAACTTATGTCCTGCATATCATGGACATTTGATGAATGCTTATTCAGTTGACTGGTGTAGACTTCAATAACAACCGGTTCAATGCATTATGCCGGATGAATCTTGCATCTCAAAAGTAGAACAAATATTGTTCTTTCAGTTTTGTCTACCCATAAATGCAATATTTACTAATAAAAAGAAAATAAGTTTATTGTTCTAGAGAGTATGAGAATTTTGACAACATGAATTCTCCTGTCCTAGGACATAATTAATACTTAGAGGCATACTATTTCATGTGGAAGCTACCATTAAATCAATGTTAAGTGTTAATTACCTCACATAATCTTCTAATCTGACTTAAGACTGAAGACTTACCTCACAAAGTTGATTTATCAAGTTGTAAATCTTTACCTGTTGAATTCATAAGTTCATGTCTGAAAGGTGAGAATAAATACTTAATATTCACTAGGCAATATTCAGCAAAGTAATATCCACTAGTACATATTTAATATTTCATCATGAACTGCGGGTGTGAAAAGACAGGCTGGGCACAGTGGCTCACACCTGTAATCCCAGCAGTTTGGGAGGCCGAGGCAGGCAGATCATGAGGTCAGGAGTTCGAGACCAGCCTGGCCAACATGGTAAAACCCCGTCTGTACTAAAAGTACAATAATTAGCTGGGCATGGTGGCAGGCACCTGTAATCCCAGCTACTCGGGAGGCTGAGGCAGGAGAATTGCCTGAACCCAGGAGGTGGAGGTTGCAGAAACCATGATCACGCCACTGCATTCCAGCCTGGGCAAGAGAGCAAGATTCTGTCTCAATCAATCAATCAATAAAAATATAAGGAGGAAGCATTTACTGTGTATTTATATGTCTGGAATTATGTGAAGCACTTTACTATCTTATCAAATCTTTGGGACAGATCTTCAGTTCTCATGACCACAAAAGAGGATACTAAAGCTCAGACAGGAGAAGAGACGTGGCCAGCCTGTGTCCCCAGGGCCTATGGTCTTACCACTAGGTTACAGTGTTTCCAGATATCACATGTTGTGAGATTTTTGCTTTAAAATGAACCAAAAAAAACGAAAGGCGAAAAAGGCATAAGCTATTAAAAAGTGGGAGAAACACTAAGAGAACCTTAAGCATGTAACTAAAAATATTATGGAAATGTTATTGAATTCATTAGCAAATTTAGTGCTAGGTTTTCATTGAGGAGTAGGTTATATTACTCATGATGAAGAAAAATGTTCATTTTAAGTATATTAACATAAATACCATCAATATTGTTTATCATGTTTAAATGTTCACTTAAAGCAATTCAGTTAAAATTCTGCATACCATACAATTTTATAGTTTGCTAGTAGGTTACAAGTAAATAGTCACCCAAATAAAAACATCATGTGTTTTCCACTGGTTGTTGCTCTTTTTAGGTGAGCATCTGATGTATACCAACAGAGAGAGGATAATAACAAATCGCTAATTTCTTTCATCACTATATAAAGGTGGCTTCAGGATAGAATAGTATCAGGGCAATGATGAATTTGAAATCTAACATCAATTCAGTGATGCATCAAGATAAAAGTAGAGACAATAGGGGCACCTTGGTGAGTACTGAACATTTTATTTATTTATTTATTTTGAGATGGAGTTTTGCTCTTTTTGCCCAGGCTAGAGTGCAATGGTGCAACCTCGGCTCACCACAACCTCTGCCTCCTGGGTTCAAGCAATTCTCCTGCCTTGGCCTCCCAAATAGCTGGGATTACAGACATGCACCACCACACCCGTCTAATTTTGTATTTTTAGTAGAGACGGGGTTTCTCCATGTTGGTCAGGCTGGTCTCGAACTCCCGACCTAGATATCTGCCTGCCTTGGCCTCCCAAAGTGCTGGGATTACAGGTGTGAGCCACTGCGCCCAGATGAATTCCAAATTTAACAAAGCAGACTAAGAGAAACAATTCATTTAAAAAAATAATATTTGGCCAGGCATGGCGGCTCACACCTGTAATCCCAGCACTGTGGGAGGCTGAGGTGAGTGGATCAGGAGGTCAGCAGTTCAAGACCAGCCTAGCCAAGATCATGAAACTCCGTCTCTACTAAAAATACAAAAATCAGCCAGGCGTGGTGGCTGGTGCCTGTAATCCTAGCTGCTTGGGAGGCTGAGGCAGAGAACTGCTTGAACCCAGGAGGCGGAGGTTGCAGTGAGCCGAGATCGTGCCACTGCACTCCAGCCTGGGCGACAGAGTGAGGCTCCGTCTCAAAAAAAATAAATAAATAATTCAATGAAATCCCTAAGATCCAGGGCTTTGCAATAAATATGTAAATAAATTTCCAATCTCCATACTGAAAGTTTAAAAGAAATGCTAACTAATAACTAAAGAAATATAACTTTTCCTCAGCTTTGCAGCAATCTAGAAACAAAGTGTGTAGACACTACAAAGCACCTTACAAGGAGAAACGTGTAAGGATAGCATGACTCGCCGGCAGCCCTGGGCTTGTCCACGGTACCCCCATGATGAACAGTAACTCCATTGTGTAAACGCCCATGAACATAAGATTACAGGACTTTTCCAGTTTAGACATACCATATTTTCTTTCAGACAATTCTTCAATTTGTTTACGCAGATCAGCGATACGATGATTCCATTTCTCTGAAAATCAAGCAAAAGTTGCTTCTCAATAATACGTCCCTATGTCAGAGCAGCACTAACGTATAATGAATTATTTCATATATTTTACATTCTAACAGTCCATATCATTTTACTGCTTTCAAGAAAAAATTTCCCCTTTTTGGTGGTTCTTAGAATTGGTTTAATGGGAGACTATTAGAGAAGCTGAAAAGCAGGAGGGCAGAAAAGTTCAATCAAATTAAACACAATAACAGGGAGGTCACAATGAGGCGGTCTCCAGGGGTCTTTTAGCAAACTTCCTAAAACATGTCTCAGCTGTGTGAAATAAGACTTTACAGCAGCCGGGTGCAGTGGTGCAGGCCTGTAATCCCAGCACTTCGGCAGCAGAGGCAGGTGGATCGCTTTTAGCTCAGGGCAACATAGCCAAAACCCCCCTCCCTAGCCCCACCCCCACCCCTTCCCTACCAAAAATACAAAACAGCAGGGCATGGTGGCGGGCGCCTGTAGTCCCAGCTACTCAGGAGGCTGAGGCAGGAGAATCACCTGAACCCAGGAGGCAGACATTGCAGTGAACCAAGATCACGCCACTGCCAGCCTGGATGACAGAGCAAGACTCCACCTCAAAAAAACAAAAACAAAAACACAAGGTTAAGAGGGACCCCCGACCTTACAGATACAAGTTTAAGAAGGATCCCTAAGCAAAAAATGCCAACCCTTTTTCTCCCAATCATTGAAACACCAGGAGGGTGTAACAGTTTTGCAGCCTAGCTGTAGCAGGCTGATGCCCCCAAGATGCCCATATCCTAATCCCGGGAACTGGTGAACATGACTTTATATGGCAAAAGGGGCTTTGCAGATATAATGAAGTTAAAGGGTCTTTGGCTTTTGCGGTTGATGTACTCACTCGGATCCTTATAAGAGCAGAGCAGGTGATGGAGAGGGTGGGAGGTGTAGTGACAGAAGCAGGAAACTCCAGTCATTCGAGACGGGCAGCACAAGCTGAGGAGTGCAGGCCACCTCTACGGCCAGGAAACGGATTCTCCCGCAGAGCCTCGGAAGCCACCGACCCTGCTCCCACCTTGACTCAGTAGGACTTACTGTAGAATTCTGGCCTTCAGACCTGTAAAGGAATACATTTTGGTTGTTTTAAGTCACTAAGTGTGTGGTAATTTGTTGCAGCAGCCACAGGAAACTAGTATTGTAGTGAAGCCTCAAAACACCCCTGAAGGGGCTGGGCTCAGTGGCTCATGCCTGTAATCCCAGCACTTTGGGAGGCCGAGGTGGGTGGATCACTTGAGGTCAGCAGTTCGAGACCAGCCCAGCCAACATGGTGAAATGCCATCTATACAAAAAATACAAAAACTAGCCGGGCATGGTGGCACATGCCTGTAATCTCAGCTACTCAGGAGGCTGAGACAGGAGAATTGTTTGAACCCAGGGGGGCGGAGGTTGCAGTGAACTGAGATTCCACCACTGCACTCCAGCCTGGGTGACAGAGCAACGCTCCATCTCGAAAACAAAACAAAACAAAAAAACCCCATCTGAAGCTTTCCAGTTCTGCCAGCAGTCTCCCACCCAACCCCCAGAAGCAGACATTCCATTGCTGTGGGCCATGGACAGGCAGAAGGAAGCACCTCCTCATGGCAGAGGCCTACACAGGAGAAACCCAAGGGAAGGCACTGCTGGGCTGGCCCCTCTCTGCCAAGGCCATATTCTTTCTTTTTTTTGAGGCCAGTTTCACTGTGTCTCCCAGACTGGAGTGCAGGGGCACAATCTCGGCTCACTTCGACCTCTGCCTCCCCAGTTCAAGTGATTCTCCTGCCTCAGTCTCCTGGGTAGCTGGGATTACAGGAGTGTAGCATGCCTAGCTAATTTTTCTATTTCTAGTAGAGACGGGGTTTTGCCATGTTGCCCAGGGTGGACTCGAACTCCTTGCCTCAAGTAGTCCACCTGTCTCAGCCCCGCAAAGTGCTGGGATTACAGGAGTGAGCCACTGCACCCAGCATTTGCCAAGACCTTTGATGGTAGGCTTTTTCCAGGTGATCAGTCCTTGTTTGGTGTGGCTCTGCCCCACTCTCCTTCTCACCTAGTTGGAATCCCTAGCTACTTTTCAGTAGAGGAGAGTGTGTACCCCAATCCCAGCTTGGTTCAGATCTGCATTTAACTCATGGAACCTGGCTGCTCCCCAGGTCCTGAAGAAAAAAAGGGTCTCTCTGTGGGTATGATAAAGGATGGGCCTGTCCCCAGGACCCTGTGAGAGGGAAGCCCAATGTCCCACCAGGTTGGCAGGGCTGGGGAAGGGAAAGTGTTATGGCAGCCCCAAGAAAAAAAAGAGGCAGCAGAGGGAGCAGGACAGCGCTCCCATGGAACTCATGCCACTGCCTGAGTGACGGGAGGGAGGAGTGCACGCCAGTGACATCAGGGGGCAGAGAGGCGCAGTTCCAGGGCGGCTTTCCCCCTCACTTCCTGCCATGTTACTCTGCTCGCCTCCAGGTGAGCCTGCCCACTTTGTGCCCAGGGGCCTGTAGAAAACCACAGCTCCCCATGGTTATGGCCCCAGGAGTGGGGCAGAGCAGGGAGGAGTCCTGGACAGAGGAGAGGCAGGGGCAGGAGGGAGTGGGCCTCAAACTCCAGGAGGGGGCCCTTCTCATGGGTCCTGCTTTCTGGCTTCTCCTTCCTTACCCCTGGGCTGATCACTCGGGGAAGAACTCAGACAAAGTTTCTCACCCTCAGGCCCAAAGGGTTTAATTACTGGGCCCTTAGGGAGGTGTGAGCCCCCTGAAAGGATGCAAGGTTTTGTTTTGTTTTGTTTTTTGAGACAGAGTTTCGCTCCTGTCGCCCGGGCTGGAGTGCAGTGGCGTGATCTCACCACACTACAGCCTGCGCCTCCCAGGTTCAAGTGATTCTCCTGCCTCAGCCTCCAGAGTAGCTGGGATTACAGGTGGCTGCCACCACGCCTGGCTAATTTTTTGTATTTTTAGTAGAGACAGGGTTTCGCCATGTTGGGCAGGCTGGTCTTGAACTCCTGACCTCAGGTGATCCGACTGGCTCCGCCTCCCAAAGTTCTGGGATTACATGAGCCACTGTGCTTGGCCACGATGAAAGGTTTTGTGTGGAGAGCATGTACATGCCTTTCTGGGAAAACAGTCCACAGCTCTTATTCTCAGCAGGCTTCACGGTCAAAAAAGGTTAGAACTCTTGCTACAGAGCTGTGGAAGCAGCTAGGTGAGGGGCCTGCCAAGGGCACTCTGGGCACTACCTGGGCACTCTCGAGCCCATCATCCCCTAGGCAGGCTGCACTGCTTGGTATTTGCAGAGCTGAGGGGGTGGGGCATGTGGGGACTGTGAAATCGCCCTGAGATGACCCACAGTCCTCAGCTGGGAAGTGAGCGGCGCATCTCCTGCAGCGTCCTCCATCCCTAGAGCCATGGGGCCAGGAGAACTGGCCCTTGCAGCAAGTGAAAAGCCTATTATTGACTCCCTCCCTAGCCATGTAGACAGTGAACCAAGACACTCATATCAGGTAAATGCCTTGTTCTCTGTTACCGAGGTAACCAGTAGGCATTCCCAGATACAGTGAAGGTCCTCACACAAGATATGCACCTGGCCACCTGAGGAAAGAGAAAGGACTATCTGAGGGGAGGGGCTGAGCTGGGTGTGGAGTGGTCCTTGTGGGTCTTGGAGAGTGGGAGGGGGAGCAGCATGAGCCAGGCCTCGAGGCAGAAGGACAACCAGGAGACAGCCTGGAAAAAGTGCTGGACCCACAAGGGCTCAAGGCTGGCCAGAGGGGAGGTGGGATAGGCTGCAAAGTCCTGAAGTCTGAAGATTGGCCCTGGCAGGAAGAAACCAGGTAAGGTGGGGTGTTACCTACACCCTCAGGGCCAGATGGAGGCCAGAGCCAGCCAATTACCAGGCCCTTAGGGAGATGTGAGCCCCTGGAAATGATACAAGGTTTTTTGTTTTTGTTTTGGAGACGGAGTTTCGCTCTTGTCGCACAGGCTGGCAACTTTGCCCAGAGCAGGCACCAAGACTTCTGGCTCTGGGTGTGACCTCAGTCTGAGTAAAAGCCCCAGCCCCCACCAGGACTACCTACCCCCTACAATACTTCAGGTGCTGAGCCCAAGCCAGGGGCAGGAAGCTAAACTGATGCCTAGGGTAATCCCAACAAAGTCCCTGGTTCCCTGCAGCTATGGGGCTGACGGGGAATTATAGCCCAAATCCCAGATGCTGGCTCTCAAACTAACACTGAGCCCTCAGTGCCCACAGGGAGATACAATCAGCGCACTTTCCAGATGGGGAAATGGGATCAGAGAAGTGCAACAGCCTTGCCCAATGCCCCAGACCAGGGCTCCAGGCCCAGAGTGTTCTTTTGTCACTGTGTTCAGAGGGCAGCAGCTGCTGTGATGTACCCACCTGAGCCTGGCAGCTTTCTCCAACTTTGGAAGCCCAGGAGCATGGCCCCTGTCCACAGATGCACCTGGCATGAGGCGTGCCCAGAGGGACAGAGGCAGATGAGTTTCGTCTCCTCCACTGGATTGTGAGGGCCTAGAAGGAGACAAGGGTCTGCTTGAGAAGGCAGTGAACAGCGAGCAACCTGAGGCAGTGCCCCTCTGGATGGATCCGCAGTGCCTGGATGGAACCTGGCTCAGACAGAGCTCAGTTCTGCAGGTCCCTGAGGCATGGAGAGTTCACAGCTACCAAGTGTAGGAGTCTGGATTCAAAGCCAACGGCGTGACTCCAAAGTCCCTGCCCTAGCCCCTGGACCACCCTTGCAGGCCCATCAGATGCCCAGGCCAGCAGCACAGCCGGCCAAGACCAGGGAAACTTGGGGAGCCTCAGAGCACCCCCAGGTATTCCAACCTAATCCTGGTACCCCGCCTCTCACCACCCTTCTTCCTGCTTTAACCTCAACCCCTACACAAAGCCTGGGCCACTTAATGTGGCATCAAACAGATGCCTCAATAAATCAGTCTAATCTTGAAAAAAAAAAAGACTTAACAGATATACAATTGCACGTTAGAATGCTAAAGACCATAAACACATAACAACTTAAAGTACATATAAATTCAATATATATCCAATCATTGTAACTATGACACAGTAGAATATTAAAATACTATTTTCAAAATGTATACAAGCTTAATGTTCTATGTATTCAAACTATTTATTCAAAATACAAATCATCAACATAGATTGCCACTAATATTCAGTCCCTTCACAGGACACATGATTCACTGGGAGTTAATAAATTAGCAGCCGGCAGGCAGTGACACACAGCAAAAATGAAAACCAAGAGGTGAAATAGTTCTGAAACAAAGGTTTTAAAGCTGACAGAAATCACTGAATTACTAAGTCATTAGCACTAATTTTGAGCCAACTAATTAATATGAGATGATACAATGTCCTATACTTTGGTAAATACAGACTATGTTTAAACAATGTCTGTAACGTGACTTGTAAAATGCTCCCGGCTTTACAAAGATGTGATTAAGATGTAGTAACACATGCTAAACCATTTCCCCCTGCAGAGCCTGTGATAACTTTCATCAGTCACACTGAGAGTCCAGAAGATAAAGGAAAAGGTCATGGATTTCGCTGAGACCTTACCAGAGTTGAACTCCCTCATTTTCCATTCCCCAGCATTGGCGGGTTCTGGGACTGGTGGCTGTGGTGGATCGTTGGTCTTTGTCTCTTAGAAGGTGGGGAATAATCATCATCTTGAAAAAGAAAAAATGGTCATTACTGAAGGAACCATCTTAGGTTACAGCCACCTCTGGGTCAATTCCCAACATTCAAAAGCTGAGCAGGGCTTTAAAGCTATCTTATTAATAATTATTTCTGTATTGCGAACTTCAGCATACTTTTTTCTAGTTACATTTGAAATGTTATTCTTTTGGGATGTACTCAAGTGAATACTGCTTTTTCCTCTGCCTTGCTTCATTACTTTTTAGTTTCCTTCATTTGAATCATCATTGTAAGTCTCCCCTTCTCCTCAAATAACTTTCAAATTGCTGCCAAGAACTATGTTCTATCTTAAGGCTTTTGAGAAAAAACTTTCAATGAAGATAGCCGCCTAAAGTTATACAAATATAGAAGAAACGGGATAAAATAAAGCTTAGATTGGAAAAAATATTTAAGATTATACAAAATTCACACGTAAACAAGGGAAGCTGAGTAATTGTATGTTCAAATACTTTTAACAAGTGCAAAACATGTAGGCTTAAAGAAATAGAGCTGGCCAGGCATGGTGGTTCACGCCTGTAATTCCAACAGTTTGGGAGGCTGAGGCAGGCAGATAACTTGAGGTCAGGAATTCGAGACCAGCCTGGCCAACAGAGTGAAACCCTCTCTCTACTAAAAATACAAAAATTAGGCCAGGAGTGATGGCTCATGCCTGTGATCCCAGCACTTTGAGAGGCCGAGGCGGGTAGATCACCTGAGGTCAGGAGTTTGAGACCAGCCTAACCAACATAGAGAAACCCCATCTCTACTAAAACTACAACATTAGCTGGGTGTGGTGGCACATGTCTGTAATCCCAGCTACTCGGGAGGCTGAGGCAGGAGAATCCCTTGAACCTGAAAGGCAAAGATTGTGGTGAGCCGAGATTGTGCCATTGCACTCCAGCCTGGGCAACAACCGCGAAACTCCATCTCAAAAAAAAAAAAAAGAAAAAATTAGCCAGGCATGGTGGCGCATGCCTGTAATCCCAGCTACTTGGGAGGCTGAGGCAGGAGAATCGCTTGAACCCAGGAGGCTGAAGTTGCGGTGAGCTGAGACTGCACCATTGCACTCCAGCGTGGGTAGCAGAGCAAGACCCTGTCTCAAAAAAAAAAAAAAGAGAGAGAGAAAGAAAGAAAGAGGGCTACATTATTTATGAAACAGATACTGTTAACTCAGTCACCAGAAAGCCTGTGTATAAATGAGCAGTGAGATATTCAAGCACAGCACACACACACTTCTCAGGACAGCTGTCATGAGAGTTCCATGCTCGTTTCCTTCTGGATACATCAGCAACTCACTCTGCTATGATCCTGCAATACATCTCATGTTAGAAATAGAGACATCTGGGCCAGGCACAGTGGCTGACGCCTGTAATCCTAACACTTTGGGAAGCCGAGGCAGGCAGATCACCTAAGGTCAGGAGTTCGAGACCAGCCTGGCCAACATGGTGAAATGCTGTCTCTACCAAAAATACAAAAAATTAGCTGGGCAGGGTGGTGCGCACCTGTAATCCCAGCTACTCGGGAGCCTGAGGCAGGAGAATTGCTTGAACCCAGGAGGTGGAGGTTGCAGTGAGCCGAGATCGTGCCACTGCACTCCAGCATGGGGGACGGAGCAAGGCTCTGTCAAAAAAAAAAACAACAACAGAAAAAGAAAAAGAAAAAGAAAAAGAAAAAAGAATTAGAGACATCTGGATGAAATCAGCTGCCAGTCTCGCAAAGTGTCGGGTAACATCCTATTAAGATTGCTGCTTACACATCATCTATAAAATACTGAAAATATCATTTTAAGAAATTTTTTTTTTATTTTGAGACAGAGTTTTGCTCGTTGCCCAGGCTGGAGTGCAATGGTGCGATCTCAGCTCACTGCAACCTCTGCCCCCCGGGTTCAAGCAATTCTCCTTCCTCAGCCTCCTGAGTAGCTGGGATTACAGGCATGCACCACCACGCCTGGCTAATTTTGTATTTTCAGTTGAGACAGGGTTTCTCCATATTGGTCAGGCTGGTCTCGAACTCCTGACCTCAGGTGATCCACTGACCTTGGCCTCCCAAAGTGCTGGGATTACAGGTGTGAGCCACCATGCCTAGCCAAGAAACCCTTATTTTAAAACAAGCCAGGCGCAGTGGCTCATGCCTATAATCCCAGCACTTTGGGAAGCCAAGGCGGGTGGATCACTTGACGTCAGTAGTTTGAGACCAGCCTGGGCAACATGTTGTAACCCCATCTCTACTAAAAATATATTTAAAAAATTAGCTGGGCGTGGTGGTGGGCACCTGTAATCCCAGCTTCTCAGGAGGCTGAGGCAGGAGAATCACTTGAACCTGGGAGGTGGAGGTTGCAGTGAGCGGAGATCACGCCACTGCACTCTAGCCTGGGTGACAACAGAAAGACTCCATCTCAAAAACAAAACAAAACAAAACAAAAAACCACTAAAAAAAAGACTCCATTTCAAAAACAAAACTAAAACCAAAAACACAACACAAATGTAGTACACAAATGAAAATAATTACTGTGTTAAACACAGTTTCATAGAAAATAAAAGACCAATCAAATACAATAAGCTGCCTTTTTAGATGGGTATGTTATTCTTCTTTCACAGCTAAAGAAACGGGCTCAGAGAATGTTATTTGATTGGACCGTGTTGCATCTCTGGACAGTGCAGCTGAGATCAGACTTTGTGGGTAACTCCACTAGCCTACCAGGGTGCCTCTCATAAAGGTAAGAAATGTAAATTTGGCCTAATATACAAAGTTGCCAGGGCAGCACTGGGTCAATTCTACATACAGTACTTCTATGTTCATCAAGGGAAACCTTAAGGGAAAGTGAAAATGCTTCTAGAAGGTGACTGGACACCAGCGCCTTTGCTTGTTGCCTTTGGGCTCTTCTTCTAAGGCCAACAGTGACCTGAAATTATTGACTGGCTTTTCCAATCAAGTGGACAAAATGGTACCAAGGTCGCCAACATCAGACAAATTCACTTGAGGGCCTTATCTATGTGCTTTGAACGACAAAACTGCTTTTGTAAAGGACACTGTATTTCAGAAAAACATAATCATATTAACAAATAATAACACTGTAAAATGCTGATGTGTTGAATGCTACTTTAGAAAAACATGCTCAAATCTAGGGAAAAAATTTGATACAAAACTACATATCAATTATCTAGCTAGCTAGCTAGCTAGAGACATGCTTTCATTCTATTGCTCAGGATGGGAAGCAGTGGGATTATCATAGCTCACTGCAGCCTTGAGCTCCTGGACTCAAGTGATCCTCCTGCCTCAGCCTCCTAACTAGCTAGGGCCACAGGTGGACACAGTTATGCCTGGGTTTTTGTTTGTTTTGTAGAGACAGGGTGTCACTACATTGCCCAGGCTGGTGTCAAACTTTGGAGTCTCGCTGTGTTGCCCAGGCTGGGGTGCAGTAGTGCGATCTCAGCCCAATGCAACCTCCGCCTCCCGGGTTCAAGTAATTCTCCTTTATCAGCCTCCCAAGTAGCTGGGACTACAGGCATGCGCCACCACGGCCGGCTAATTTTTGTATTTTTTGTAGAGACTGGGTTTCACCATGGCCAGGCTGGTCTCCAACTCCTGACCTCAGGTGATCCACCTGCCTTGGCCTCCCAAAGTGTTGGGATTACAAGTGTCAGCCACTGAGCCTGGCGGAGCACTTTCTTATGTTATTAAGTAGCCTAACCCAGGTGGGGCGCTGTCCCTCACGCCTGTAATCCCGACAACTCTGATGGCCAAGCTGAGAAGATCGCTACAACTCAGGAGTTCGAAACTGGCCCGGGCAACATAGCGAGACCCCCCGCCCACCCCATCTCTAGAAAAAAATACAAAAATTAGGCCAGGTGCACACAGCACCCGGCTAATTTTTGTATCTTTTGTAGAGACGGGGTTTCGTCATGTTGCCCAGGCTGGTCTCGAACTCCTGAGCCCAAGCCATCCATCCTCCCGCTTTGGCCTCCCAAAGTGCTGGGATTACAGTAGGGCCCAGCCAGCCTCATGTTTTATTTAGCAGTCCCTCCCTGTTGCACACTTGGATAGTTTTTTTAATTTTTTTAGACACGGTTTACCTCAATCTCGCAGGCTGGAATGCTGTGGTGGGATCATAGCTCACTGGAGCCTTGAACCTTTGGGTTCAAGTAGCTGGGGGGCTGAGGTAGGACTACAGAGATGGGGTTGCGCCATGTTGCTAGGCTGCTCTTGGCCTGAAGGGTCCTCCTGCCTCGGCCGCGGCAGACATAGTTTTCTATTTTTGACCAACATAAACACTGTGCTGGGTCTGAATTTTTCAGCTACCCTTCTTCAGCCGGCAACACACAGGACCTGGCGGTGAGGTCGCTCTTACCAGTCCCCACTCTGACGAGAAGACTGCCCAGCTCCAGGCACCGTAGCGCCCCAGTGACGTAGCCGAACACCCGCGCCTGTGACTCGCCAAAGGCCCACCTCTATGGTGTCGGCGAAGGCGCGCCCTTGCGGCGCCGGGGAAGGCGCGCCCGTGCGGCGCCGGGGAAGGCGCGCCCGTGCGGCGCCGGGGAAGGCGCGCCCTTGCGGCGCCGGGGAAGGCGCGCCCTTGCGGCGCCGCGGAAGGCGCGCCCTTGCGGCGCCGCGGAAGGCGCGCCCTTGCGGCGCCGCGGAAGGCGCGCCCTTGCGGCGCCGCGGAAGGCGCGCCCTTGCGACGTCACAGGGGACCGCCACTCACGCGGAGCCAATCGGAACTCATGGCGGGGCTGCTGGGTCTTCCAGGAGCGCGCATGAGCGGACGCTGCCTATGGGTTGCCGGGCGAGATGTAACCGGCTGCTGAGCTGGCAGTTCTGTGTCGCTAGGCTTCGGCCCGGCCGCCGCCACACATAAGCTGCGATGAGGAGCTTTACGACTTCCCGGTCTTCGGGGCCGGGCGCAGCAAGGGCCAGACTCTGCGCTAGCAGGCGCTGCGCGCCAACCGGCCGGCACCTGTCGCAGAAGGTGCAACCGATCGCACTGTCGCGCAGAAGCTCCTCAATGGCCAGCACCAGCTGCAGCCCCGGCCGCCCACTCGCCTCACTTGAGCCTGTGTACGTGCGCCCCACAACGCCTCCCCCAGCCAGGGCCCGTGGATCCCCGGGAGCGTCCCCGGCTATCTGGCGCTGCTCATCCTGGGTAGGGTCGGCCCCTCTGAGGCTGCCCGGCATGAGGGAGCTGCAACCCTGAGCTTGACCTCTGACGGCCCTTTGTAATAGCATTAAGTCTTTGAAACTTTGTAGCGGGGTAGAAGGGGCTAGGAAACAAAGAAAACATCTTTTTGAAAATATAATCTGTCGGCTGGGCGAGGTGGCCCACGCCTGTAATCCCAGCACTTTGGGAGGTCGAGGCGGGATCGCGAGGAGAGGAGTTCAAGACCAGCCTGGCCAGCATGGTTTCACTGAAACCCCGTCTCTACTAAAAACACAAAAATTAGTCGGGCGTGGTGGCAGGTGCCTGTAATCCCAGCTACTCGGGAGGCTGAGGCAGAGAATTGTTTGAACCCGGGATGCGGAGGTTGCAGTGAGCGGAGATCGCGCCACTGCACTCCAGCCTGGGCAACAGACCAAGACTCCGTCTAAACAAACAAATATATGTGTGTATATATATGCGATCGAGCCCAGGAGGTTGAGATTACAGTGAGCTGAGATTATATAAGCGATCAAGCACTGGAGGTTGAGGTTACAGTGAGCTGAGATTGCGCCATTGCACTCCAGCCCGTGTAACAGAGGGAGACTCTGTCTCTAAAAAATTATATATAAGTGAGAGCTTTTCTTCCAGCACTCATGCTCAGACTGAAGAAAGTAATTGTGCCAGGCCCGGTGGCTCACGCCCGTAATCCCAGCATTTTGGGAGGCAGAGGCGGTGGCGGAAGCAGGTGGATCGCTTGAGCTCAGGAATTCCAGACTAGTTTGGGCAACATGGTGGAACCCTGTCTCTACAAAAATACAAAAAATTAGCTGGGCATGGTGGCACGCACTTGTAGTCTCCGCTACTTGCCGGGCTTAGGCAGGAGGATCGGTCAGCTGCAGCCTTGACCTCCAGGGGCAATCCATTTCAGCCTCCCAAAGTGCTGAGATTACAGCCATCGTGACTGGCTTTACACTATATTTTAATACTTTTTTTGAAAATGGAAAATTTTACAGGCAATTCACTTCCTTCAAACTAATGATAAGGAAGTGATGCTGTTCTGTTCTGTTTTGTTTTTTGTTTTTGTGTTTTTTTTTTCTTTTTTGAGATGGGGTCTTGCCCAGGTTGGAGTGAGGTGGTGCAAACAAGGCTCACTGCAGCCTTGACCTTCGGGCTCAAGGAATCCTTCCCTGTCAGCCTCCCCGGTAGCTAGGACTACAGGTGCATGCTACCACGCTTGGCTAATTTTTTTGAAATGGAGTCTCACTCTGTCTCCCAGGCTGGAGTGCAGTGGTGCAATCTCGGCTCACTGCAGGCTGGTCTCAACCTCTGACTTCGGATGGTCCACCCACTTCTGCATCCCAAAGTGCTGGGATTACAAGTGTGACCCACCATGCCTGGCGATTTTGCTCATTTTAGATACTAGAACTTTTTAAATTAAATTTTTTTTTTCCTGAGATGGAGTCTTACTTTGTCTCCAGGCTGGAGTGTAGTGGCATAATCTCGGCTCACTGCAACCTCCACCTCCTGAGTTCAAGCGATTCTCCTGCCTCAGCCTGCCAGAGTTGCTGGGACAACAGGTGTGCACCACCACACCCAGGAGTTCAAGGCTGCAGTGAGCCATGATCGTACCACTGCACTCCAGCCTGGGCAACACAGCGAGACCCTGACTCCACAAATAAATAAATCAACATCATATGATCTGTACCAGGGTATAGGCAGGTGCTATGATCCCCACTTTTCATCCTC
This sequence comes from Homo sapiens, assembly GCF_000001405.40. Classification (NCBI taxonomy): domain Eukaryota; kingdom Metazoa; phylum Chordata; class Mammalia; order Primates; family Hominidae; genus Homo; species Homo sapiens. Next base: position 38,400,743 of record NC_000010.11, on the reverse strand, counting down.
AACTCTAAGTTGAGTCATACATCAACCTCTAGTAAAAAGTGGCATGCTCTCAGTCAAAGGAGTAAGCCCAAACCACGTGGAGAGAATCTTATCTCTTTTGAGAGCTATATAAAAAGAATTCCTCCTAGGCATAAAAATATTGTGACACCAGTTACTTAGGCTAAACATGCCTATTATGCTAAGTGAGTTATTAACAATAAATACTTTAACTCTGTGCCATGTTAATTATCATAATCTGATTTATAATTTGTTTTAACCTTAGGTTATATATACCTTGAAGCCATTTATATTTTGGTATACTTGTAATAATTACTATACACTGGACTATGTATATTGGACTAAACACGGAGAGTCAAAAAAGAGTATGTGGTCAGAGTAGAAATCATGCCCTAGCTTCCTTCGTGTCTACCTCCTACCTTGAGTAGAAGTGGTAGAAAAAGTAATTACCTAAGATTTTTTTGGATTCTGGTTTGTGGAGAATCACCCTTATATTTAGGCTGATGGGCGGCGAAATTAGAAAGTATTTTTTGTGATTTTGAATTTTATACAGAGATGTTCATTGTGATTAATTATTCTTTGTATTAGCAGATTTTTGCTTTTTATAGCTGCATGATTTCTTGTTTATTATTCATTCATTATTGTCTATTAATAAAGAAAAACTTTATTTCACTGAAGCAGTGATATATAATCCAACTTGGATTTTTAAATAATGACTGACTTTTTTCTTTGGGAATACATTACTGTTAAAAATGTAATTATTAGATACATTACTTTTAATGAATATAAGTGGTATAATTAGAAGGCTGAAAAGAATCCTTGGAAACGTGAGTTTAATTTGATAGCTAAGAAACTGAGGACAAGATACTTATTCTTTGTAGCATATTTTCTAATGTCATTTCATTGTCTCACCAAGAAATACTTGCATAAAGCAAGTTCAATTACAGCATCTGTTGAATATTTAAGGTTGGGTAAAGTGGGTGAGTTTAACAGATATTTTCCCTTATTTCTTTTAGACGAATCTGGACTGGGAAAGTTGACATTAATCAACTCATTATTCCTCACAGATTTGTATTCTCCAGAGTATCCAGGTCCTTCTCAGAGAATTAAAAAACCTGTACAGGTCTAGATATTGGTATTTTTAATTGATGATAAGCTGGAATAATATTAATACACACAAAGCATGTGTTGTAACTTTTATTATGCTTCCTTAGAGGTAAGATGCAAATTTGCCCTTAGCCAGTGTAAGATGGTAAATATGACTTCATAAAATTAAAAAAACAGAAGAAGTACAGTTAATCAAAAGAATTATCTTGACTAGAACTTTCCAAATTTGTCCTAAGGATTCTCCTAGAGATGACACTGTGACATAGTAACCAATTCCCCTGGAGTTGTGCTATGTAGTATGATAGTCATTTGCCACATGTTTAAATCAATTAAAATTAATTAAATTAAAATGCAATTTCTCATTTGCTCCAGATACATTTCAAGTGCTCAACAGCCACCTGTGGCAAGTGGCTGCCATTTTGTGCAGCACATATGTGAAGATTTTCATCATTGTAGAAAATTGCATTGGACAGTGTAGAGAAAACATGATTCATAGAAAAACTATTGTTATTTAAATACAGTGTTCCATATTAGTCAGTGGGATAATACCATATCATAGTTGAATGGCAATAGCAATTCGGTAAGACTCCCAAGCTATATGTGATTTAATTTACTGCTTCTCAGTCTTTGCTATGCATTCCAATCCTGGGTATCCTGTTAAATTTATTTCTTCTAGTAGTTCTGAGATGGGCTGCCTTTCTACATTTCTAACAAGATCCCAGGTGATGCTGATGCTGCTGGATGGTAGATCACACTTTATAAAGCAAGGGGCTAGACTCTAGATATGCACTTTTTATTAAATAGTACAGCAGCCTGTAGCCACATGTGGCTATTAATCTTTGAAATGTGGGTAGTCTGAATTGTGATGTTCTGCAAATATAAAATATGCCACAGATTTCTAAGACTGAGCATGGAAAAGAAAATCTCCGTAATTTTTTATATTGATTGTATACTGCAGTGATATTTTGGATGTATCGGGTTAAATAAAATTGACTGATTTCACCTTTTTCCTATTTTAAAAGTGGCTACTAAGAAAATTTTAAATTACTTACATGACCGACATGGTATTTTTATTTGGCAGCGCTGCTCTAAGCTGTTGATGAAAAATATTGTTGGTGAGCTCTGCTTAGGTAATATATAGGACATGAGCAGAGAGGAGGCACATGAACAGTTCTGGCTGGAGTAGGCTTCATTGAGGCCATGATGCTTTTAGCTGGATTTGAAGAAGTGGTAGTGATCATCCCAGTGCACAGGATAGGAGGACAGTCTATATATTCTGAGCAGTAACTCATATATATCATACTGCAAGACCCCAAAGGAGTAATTTTGTGAAGTAAATATCTTATTTCTCCTTTTTAATGTTTCTATTTTAGGAATTTTTTTTTTTTTAGTAACCTTCATAGGGCTTGAGATTTAAAATTACCTGCAAAATTCTACTCTAAAAACTTGATCCTACCTGCTTATTTATTTTGTGATAAATATTGGAAATTTTAAACCTAAGCAAGAAAATGAACTTTGAACTTTCTTAATTTGGGTATCTATTATGAATACCTTCACTTAAGTATTTATGAATTTAGATATGAAAGGTAAAACTAAGCACTATCCAAATTAATATACAGTTCATTTCCAGAACCCTAGTTTCTTCCATGTGCTCACTCGCATTCAGTATTACAACCCCCAAAGATAAACACCTTACTGAATGCCTTCTCCATAAATTTGCCTGTTCTTGAACGTTATATACGTATACTTTTTTGTATCTGTTTTCTTTCAGTGAAGATTCTGTCTGTATTATTTACTCATGTTGGGTGTAGTTGTTTTTTTCATCGTCGTATAATACTCCATTGTGTGAATGTATCAGTATATCCTTTATTATTTATTGTAGATAAGCCTTTGGGTTTTCAGTTTTTTACTAACGGGAACATTCTTGTGCATGTCTTAGTAGACTTAGGCACTCATTGCTGTTGTGTGTGCATAAAGATATAAAGGTATTTGAGTTTATTTGATTTCTAGTGAGGTTGAACATGTCTTTTGTACTCAATAACTGTTCAGATTTCATTAAAGTCTTTTGGTAATCTTAATATTTTCTGTCATTTTCTTGCTGATTTATAAGAGTTTGAAAAATCTAATAATCCCCTACATTTTAGATATTGCAGACATTTTCTCCCCAGGTGAGCATCTGTTAAAGATGTGACATGCCCTCAATTTATTTTAGAATTCTTACATTGGCTTAGCTTCAAAATAAGTTGCCTAAACCCATTTTACCTTCCTTTAAAGTAACACTTCAAAAATATCCTCTTCTGTTGTGAATATCTTCCCGGAAACTCTCTTTATCTTGAAAACAAAGGGGTAATGGAGGTGAGAATATCTCTAGTAGGATTTTTAAGACAGGCCTGTGCACCACTGTTAAATATCTTTTCTGTGCCAAAAAGAAGACCTGTAACATTTGAGAACCAGATTGATCCTTAGTAGAATCCTGTAGAAGTCCTCTTTCCTGATTGAACCATGGAGGTGTATTCCTTTATATACTGAAAACTAGCTGAAGATAATCTAAACTCTTGTGCCCAGTTAGGAAAGAACATGCCATATTACGGACAGGGTCAGAGTCATTCAAGAAGCCTGAATATAGTTAGAAAATGAGAATGTAATCTTTTTAATAGTTGGCTGGCTCCTTACCAAGCCCAGTAGTCTTGAAGATATAGGGGAAATAGTGTAAACGGTTGTCAAGATGAATCTAAAATGGAAATTAATCAGTTCCCTAGAATAGATTGAGAAATTAGCTTTAGGAAAAAGATAAATTTCACACACACTGTACCATGGAAGGTACAGTGCTGATTCAGACAGACTGGGAATGGTCTCATTTTTAAGTGGTGATGTGAGGTACTTCACTGAGCATTGTGACAGGCACGGGCTTGGGAAGAGCCTATTAGGGAATGGGAGAGGCATGAGACTAAGGAGCACATAAGAGGAATATTAGCAGAGAAATTCTTTTTGAGGTTGAAGGTCATGAATTTTATGGTATAGGAATAGAAAGATGGGTTAATCCAGAATGGGAATTGAGTTGGAAAGGGAAAGAAATAAAGGTTTTGGGAAGGAGGTTGCTAATAGAAAATGAGAGGGGCAAGGGATTTGAGGTCTCAATAAGGAGACAGGGATATGAGGAGTGGAGAGGTTCAGAATAGAAAGCCAAATTAGAGTTTTGGGATCAACTTTCTTCTTAGTAAAGTAGTCCTGGGTCTTCATGAGAAGGAAGTATTCTTCAGGCATAACTGTTCTACTATTGGTTACTTCCTCTTTCATTTTCTTGTGGAACACCATGAAACATTTAAGATGATATTTGTCTTTTGAGCCAATAAATAAGGGAAATAGATAGTTTTTGTGTTTGAGCTAAGTGGAGTATCTCAGGCCATTCCAATGTCTTCAGAGTTTTGGCTGTAATGCTACCTCTTGAGCAAGTGTAGGTAGAGGTAAGTTCTTGACAGAAAATTTTAACCCTCTCTTCAAAATGTTATATGCTTAATTAAATAACTTCTTAATTTACCTTAATAAATGGCATGTAAACATTAAGTTAGAAAAGGTTAGTGTATATGAAGCTGTATAATCAACATTGTTTGACTTTTTTTCCTCAGATTGTAAAACTGAAAACTCAGTATACTAATACTCTTGTATACTGTATACACTCAGTATTAGAAAATGAGTACCTTTGGTTTCTGGAATCTCGGATGCCAAAAGAGGTCTCAATAGATGAATTATACATAGATGATTCATAGATGATAGTTTTAGTTTATTTATTTTTCAGGGAAAAACATTTGAAAATGTTCTTGATTCATTTTTTTGTTATTAAATTATGCAGCTAATCTTAGAGAACCCTGAGTGATGCCATAAAAGATGTTGATGTGGCCTGCTTAAGGAAAGTGCATGGGAAAGTGGCCATTTGGAATAGATTTGTTAGGGAAAGTCTGAAATTCTTAGACTTGAACTAATTTGTTTTCCATGGATCCCATGAGGATACTTGTAAAAGCAGATGATAGGGTCCAGTTGGATCCTGTGAATGGCACTAGTTTGCAGTTATGTTTTCTGGATCTCTTCCATATGTCGCTGACTTCTTTGTATTTGACCATGTATGGACATACAGAATTTCATAGGCCAGAAAAGAAAAGAAGCTTTATAAACATTCCTTATGTGTGTAAAATACAAATCTTCATTTGTCTTAGCAAGTCAATAAGTAATTAAGTTGTTGAACTGATTTTTTTTTTAAACAGGGAAATATCTTAAAATTTAAGCTGTTAGGTTAAAATGTGTATTTGTTATACAGCATATTACTGAAGGTAGAATGGGCTTCATTTGGTAATAAAGGAACCAGAAATATTTTTAAGTAAAATTGGGAGATGATTCATGTAAATTAACTATATTTTTGTATCTCTTTCTAGAATACAGTACTATGTTGTTTAAAAGAGTAAGTGGGTAAAGGAGTGGTATAATTACTGTGGATATTTCTACTTCAGCCACAGTTACCATGAATAAATGATCTGTCTTTATAAAGGAGATGGAGGTGAATTCAAGATATTGAGATGTTAGATTTGACTGGGTTGTCCTTTGACTAGAAGATCACCAGATAAAGAAAATGTAAACTTCCTAAACCAGATAAGATGATATCGTTAAAAATTTTTTTTGACCCAGCACTTTGGGAGGCTGAAATGGGAAGATTGCTTGAACCCAGGAGTTTGAAGCTGCAGTAAGCTATGATCTACCATGCACTCCAGCCTGGGCAACAGAGTGAGACCCTGACTAAAAAAAAAAATTTTTTTTCCTTTGGTTCTCATGATTTCACACTGATGAATCTGATTGTTTTCTCTGAGTCATTTTGCCTCTCTCATGTTATTAGGGTAACCTGATAATAGACATGTTATCTTAGTTATGTGGTATGTAACAGTGATCTTCTAAATGATATGCATCCATCACTGATACTGAGAATGATCAGAAACTATTACAACTCTTATTTATTGATGTTTACTTTTAATCTACAGATAAATGATAATACATATTAATACTTAATATTCAGATTGCCAATAGTATATATTTGGTGGGTAAATATCTTTTGGATCTGCAAAATTTTCACTGATAGTTTGTATCAGGATCAAAGCAGTTTGAAGAACATTAATCTAAAAGATAAGACTTTGGCATCTCATTTCTCTAAAAGATAAGTCATGCATGTCCACATCTCAGGCAATTTTTTTCAGTTTTATAAGTTTTATTCTTGATAATAAAATTCTTTTAACAGAAAACTCTTGATTGCTATAGACCTCTGCTGTGTATTCAGTAGTCACTAGCCACATGTGGCTATTTAAGTTAATTCAAATTAAATAAAATTAAATATCAGTTCCTTATTTGCACTAGTCAGATTTTAAGGAATAAGTAGCCACATGGGCAAGTGGCTACCATATTGGACAGTGTGGATACACAACAATTCCATCATCTCAGAAAGTGTTATTGGATAGTGTGGCTACAGACTTTTCTTGCTCAGCAATCTTAGTCTCCGCATGTTAGTCTCTTCATGCATTAGGTAGCATCTATAAAACATGCCAAAAGGAAATAGGCTATCTCTAAAAGTGTCCCAAACTTTTTGTCTTGTAAATTAGCTTATCAGCATACTTGGAGCCTCTTGCCTTAAAAAGGACTTGATATAAATGTGTATCAGGAGAAAGCCTATCTTATGAAGGAATTATTCCCTTTTTATTTGAATCCATGTTTGCTTTATCTTGGGCTCCTGAAAACTGATACTTTGCATTTAACAGCAGCATATGCCCAGGATGAATGATAATACATCTCCTGATACAGAGCTTGAGGTTACAGAATATCTTAAATTGTTCCAGGAACTGTTGTTATCATTTAAGTCCAATAATCAGTAAGATTTCACCCTACCAGAATACACTTTTTTTTATTAACTGTCTGGACCTTTGCTGATTACATTTTCCGGAATGTGGAGTATCGCATTTGAGAAGAGGATTGGATCCTAGCCATAACATAAATATAAGGGTAATTACATCCATGCTGAGAAAGATTTAGGAATGATAGTAAGTTCATTTGAGTGAGTGGTTTGGGCCAAACTTGATAGAGAATAGTCCAGGAAGACATTTACTATAAACGGTAGATTAAATGTTCTTGCCTGGTTAATTACATTTGAACTCTGTGAATGACTGAATCACTCAAACTGCTTAATTGTATTATTAGATGCACATTTAAGTTATGTATTACATGTCTTTAGTGGTGATCAGAATTTTATCAGTTCCTCTGTCTTTCTTTATACCAAGTATGACTCATAAACCCAGTATTAATTTGCCAAGAGATTGGCACACTATTTGTATATATGCTTTTCTTTCAAATAATCTGGATTCCCAATGCCCACAATCATTGATCCTAAAGAAAATGTGGGAGTAGGTAGATAAACTCAAACATCCCTACCATCACCCCTGGTAAGAAATCACTGGTGTAATGTATGATATTAACATCTGCACCAATTACTCTTATAGATGGAACAATCCAAAGTTTTAATCAAAGAAGGTGGTGTTCAGTTGCTGCTTACAATAGTTGATACCCCAGGATTTGGAGATGCAGTGGATAATAGTAATTGGTAAAAAGGATTTGTCCTCACAACTTTCCAGTGTATTTGGGGTACTGGGGTGGTTAAACTTTCTCTTCTTAACATTTTAAAACTCTTCTTAGCAAAGGTCACCAAACTTCAAGTAACATGACAGGTTTGTATACCAACTTTGCCACTTATTTGACAAAGTTTAAATTCAAAGTTAAACAAAGAAGTTTAACTTATTTGAACCCATTTACTTTTTGATAAAATGGAGATAATACCTATCATAAAATTGTTTTTAAGACATATTCCAAAATAACGTAGCTAGATAGAAGAATTCTCATTATTGTAAGAAATTTAAAACGGTTTGCTTTAATTTTATCCATTTGTATAAATTCTATCTCAATCCTAATTTAAACCTGATATTTAGACCTTCAGTTTTTCCATAAGTCCTAAGTGAAGAAAACTATGAAATTTTAGTCTGAAGTAATTATCTTAGTATTTTATAAATAACTTTAATTTTGTTTGAATTTACATTGTTTTTGAGGTATTTTTCTGTCAACTCTTAAAACTCCTAAGTTCATCATGAAGTTTTTATATTATTTAAGTAATCTCTCCTTTGAAATTTGAAACTGAATATAATTGTTTTCATATTATGAAGTGTGTTATTAATACACTTACTAGTGCCAATAGTATGCTAATAATTTAGCTGTGTTTCAACAATAAATATTTTCTTTCATTTGGAAAGTTTTGAAATAATGAATAAAGATTTATTCAACACAATTTATATTTTTGAATCTTTATATAGAATAACTTGACATATCTTCCATTGGTTAATTCATTTTGCCTATTTGAAAATATTGATTATTGTCCTTTAACAGTCATCAGTTAATTCATATGTAGTATTGCAACTTAATTGTTTTGTTTATTTGCATTCTATAGCTGGCAGCCTGCTATCAATTATATTGATAGTAAATTTGAGGACTACCTAAATGCAGAATCGCGAGTGAACAGATGTCAGATGCCTGGTAACAGGGTGCAGTGTTGTTTATACTTCATTGCTCCTTCAGGACATGGGTCAGTAACCTGATACTTCTGATTCCTTTTTGTTGTTGTTGCTTACTGTTACCTTTATGTGCATATTTGAGTAATCTTTAAGTTTGTGAAGTACATACAACTATACCCATTATTAAGTACCAAATTTCATGTAGAAATGTCTTAGTTGAAAAGCCTTTTTAAGTCCTGTGTAAGCTAACAGTGCTTTTACTCCTTAGTTCTTATTCATAAGGATTTTCCCTGCTTCATGGAAATAAACAGTGTTGCCACCATGGTTTGAGGTCTCAATGTGGCAAATTTAGCTTTCACGTTGAACTACCAAATAAAGAGAAGCAGCCAAACCAGTTAGACATATTCAAAATAAATCCAGAGATACTATTTATTATGTCTCATAAGAGATGGTTATCAAAAGCACTTGCATGCCAATGTTTTCTTGTGCCATTTCTTTCTGCAAGAAATCTGTTTGGCTTCTGTTTCACCTTAGCTGTCATAGACATGTCGTTTAAGTATCATGTTGTCAGTACTAACCTTTTGTTTATTAGGACATAAGACCTAAGAATCTAGACATTAATCTGATGTGATTGTTCTTTCTGTTTGTTATAGTTAGCCTGTACTCCCTTTTTTGTTCTTTGTACTTCCCCTTTCATTTTGAGTACATATATGTGTCATTTGTAACTGCAGATTTTTCCAATTATTCTTCCTCAGTCTTTTCCTTTGGGTAAGTAACTCAGCATACATAATTCAGCCACCTGGTGATTGTAACTCCACCATCTCTCCACCAAAAGAACTGTAGTAGCATCAGGCTACATAGCATTAAGTTATCTAACACTCAAACGTTACAGTAGAGTAAACCAATTCCTTCAGGTATACCTTTCTCTTCCATTTTTGGCTTCTCGCTCTCTTTTTTTTGTTTGTTTTTATAGATGGGTCAATGCCCATTATCACTCTAGATGGATAAGGGAGCCTTAATTATATACTTATATTTTTGCACTGTCATATTGGAGTGGGGTAAAAATGTTTCTTCTTTTACGTCTAATACTCTTGTTTTTTTTTTTTTTTTTTTTTTTGCTGTGCCCTAAACCATTACATAACTGAAGACTCCCACCTTCAGGCAGGATTGGGTAGTACATGTTTGTAACTACCTGGCATTGCCTTTTGTTGAGGTAATTTCAGTTTTTATTAGTAGTAGTAGTAGTAGTATACTTTAAGTTCTACGGTATATGTTCACAATGTGCAGGTTTGTTACATATGTATACATGTGCCATGTTTGTTTGCTGCACCCATTAACTGGTCACTTACATTAGGTATTTCTCCTAATACTATCCCTCCCCCATCCCCCACGCCACGACAGGCCCTAGTGTATGATATTTCCTGCCCTGTGTCCAAGTGTTCTCATTGTTCAATTCCCACCTATGAGTGAGAAACACCTATGCGGTGTTTGGGTTTCTGTCCTTGCGATAGTTTGCTCAGAATGATGGTTTCCAGCTTCATCCATGTCCCTGCAAAGGACATGAACTCATCCTTTTTTATGGCTGCATAGTATTCCATGGTGTAGATGTGCCACATTTTCTTAATCCAGTCCATCATTTTATGGTGTTCTCAGTTTACATATTTAAATCACTAAACTGACTCTTTGACTTAACAGGCTCGAAAAAAAGTCATCTCAAAAATACAACACACTGTATAACCTTTTATAAGTATTTGTGTAGCTTTTTGAACTTATATTTTTAAATCATTCTCATTTAACTTGTCAGGGCCTTTTTCTGAAAGCCAGCAGAGTGAAATCTTAACCTGCAGTTAAGTCAATAAAATTTGTCAGCTTATAACCAATTTTATTATTTTAGATTTTCTGGACTCTCTCCAACTATAGTAATTCTCATGAAATCACATTCCTGCCATCCCCTTGGGGAAAATTTTATTTCTTAAAATTGCATGGGAAATGAGAGCTGTTTTAAAAGAAAAAAAGTTTTATATTCAAATGATATGTAGTGGCTTTGTGCCATTTCTTATTCATCACAAGGGGTAAGATGTTTAAAATTGCTATATCTTATATATAAAAATGTACCTTTGAATAATTTCTCAGTTTAACTATTTTTAGAAATGGAGCAAAGTTTTGCCCATTGGTACATGATATTGTGGATTAAGTGAAAGAATACGAGGCTGGGCGCGGTGGCTCACACCTGTAATCCCAGCACTTTGAGAGGCTGAGGCAGGCGGATCACCTGAGGTCGAGAGTTCGAGACCAGCCTGACCAACATGGAGCAACCCCGTGTCTACTAAAAATACAAAATTAGCTGGCCGTGGTGGCGCATGCCTGTAATCCCAGCGACTAGGGAGGCTGAGTCAGGACAGTTGCTTGAACCTGGGAGATGGAGGTTGCGGTGAGCTGAGATCACACCATTGCACTCCAGCCTGGGCAACAAGAGTGAAACTCCATCTCAAAAAAAAAAAGAATATGACACAGAATTTTATGTATAGAGTTCCAGGTACCCTGCTCACTACAGACTGAAATTCTATGCAGTCTAATAAATGAATCAGAGCCTTTCCATCTTGTCTGGGTAGTCCCTAGGTTCCCTTTTTAGAGGGTTTTGTTTTTAGAGTGATTATAAATTCGTCCAACAGTGCACTTTCAGTGCCTCCTACCTCCCTCTACCAAGTATGAACTGCATGCATGGCTGATATATGATTTCGGCTATTATCGCTTCATGTGCGTTGTTCACTATTTTGTAACTGTTATTAAAGTAAAATACTGACTTGGAACATGAATTTTAAAATGGTGTTTTATCCTTCTAGTATTGATTCCCACTTTTAGAAAAATTGGTGTCATCCAGTGAGTTTTATACAGAAGGATTTTTTCCCTTAGAAATACATACATACATACATACAAAAAAAAATTTGTCATTTTCCCTGTAGTTGTTTATAATGCTGTAGAATTTGAGGCTAAATAGTCTTTTCTCTCTGCTGTGGGTTTATCTTCTAGAAATGATAAAGGATTTTCTATTGCTTAAAAACAAGATTTAAAAACTAAATTTGTTGACGAAAAGACTAGCCAATATAAATCTAAAGGGACAGAGGGAAAAAATTCAACCAGAATGTAATACACATGTGAACTAAATGTTTTCTGTTGCTGATGTTTTGTTATATTTTGTTCCTCATGGTTATATGGTTATTATGCAGTTATTTTATATTTTGTTATATAGTTACTTTGCACTGAAGAAAGCAAAGTTCTTTCATCTGAGGAAGGCAAGTCCTTTTAAATTATCAGGCTGGGGAGGGCATGAAAATGAGACAGCAATCATGTTGTAACTCCCCACTTTAAGCTATGTATTCATCTCTTGAAACCGCTTACTATTGCCATAAACAGCTGTACATTAACCTAATAATGTCACACTGGACACTATAACCCACATCCTATAGCTTAAAAACATACAGCCAATCATGTGTATATCTATGTAACAAACCTGCATGTTCTGCACATGTATCCCAGAATTTAAAGTACATTTTTAAAAAAAGAAAATGACATTTAAAATACCACACCAAAAAAAAATAGCCAATCACTTATCAATGTTATTTCTGCAAACCAAACAGAATTCCTGACAAACAACTTTGTATCAGCCTACTCTGTCACCCTTTTTGCCTTTAAAAGCCTGTTTGTAACAAAGGCTGAAGGGAGCTCATATCCAAGGTTAGTTAAGTCTTCTGGGCAGCTGCCCTCACTTTGGCTCAAGTAAACTCTTCAAATTATATTTTGTGCATCAGCCTCTTCCTTTTAGGTTGGTAGCATGTACTCTTTCCTCAAGAGGAACCATAATTTATCAGTTTCCTTAATAAGCCTACAAAATTGTGTATCTCCACACTCCCTCTGCTATAGTTTGAAGATGTTCCCTCCAAAATTCAGGTGTTAAAACTAAATGGCCAGCCGCGCTTGGTGGGTCATGACTGTAATCCCAGTACTTTAGGAGGCCAAGGCGGGCGGATCACCTAAGGTCAGGAGTTTGAGACCAGCCTGGCCAACATGGTGAAACCTCACCTCTAATAAAAATACAAAAATTAGCCGGGTGTGGTAGTGCAGGCCTGTAATCCCATCTACTCAGGAGGCAGAGGTTGCAATGAGCCAAGATGGCACCACTGCACCCCAGCTTGGGCAACAGAGTGAGACTCTGTCTCAAAACAAAACTAAACATAACTAAATGGCCAATGTGATAGTATTGTTGGCCCCACTGTTGGTGGGGCCTTTAAGAGGTATTTAAACCACTGGGCTCCTCCCTTTTGAATTGTATTAAATGGCCTTATAAAGGGACTTCACAGACAGGACTGGTCCTCTTTTGCCCTTCCACCTTCTGCCATGAAATGGTACAGCAAGAAGGTCCCCACCAGATGCCAGCACCTTGATCTTGTACATCCTAGCCTTCACAATTGTGAGAAATAAATTTCTGTTCTTTATAAATTATCCAGTCTCAAATAAGTTTCTGTTCTTTATAAACTACCCAGTCTCAGATATTCTGTTATAGCAACACAAAATGGATGAAAACACCTTCAAATCATCTTTCAAAGAAAGTTAAAAGGGAGGGAGCAAAAAACAACCAGAGGGTAGTGAAACATTAATACCCTTGACTTTTTCTTGAGAAGGAAATCACTTAATACCTCTGCCCAAGTTTGGGTTAATTAGCCATATGGATGAGTGAAGAACTTAGAACACTTCAGCAAACTGCACATATTCTCCTAAGTATGATCCATACTCCATCATCTAACTGGGCAAATGACCAGAAAAAATAATGTAGAAAAAAACATTCAAAATGTTCTTATTTCTGATCTCCATTGGAGCTTATTAAAGGAACAGAAACATTAACCAAAGTAGTCTGAATTATATCAACCCTTCAAATGCCATTTTCAATGTCACTTTCAAGTGCTATTTTCTATTAGGAGACAGATACTATCTAAATTTCCATGAAAATTACAGGAAAAAAATGCTGCAATGAATTGTTCTTGTACAGATCTAAAATCCTTTACCCACTATTCTAAAGTCCAAACAGCTATGAAAATTTAGTCTTTTCAAATTTTTGGCACACTCATTTGGCAGCTGAACTATAGCTGTACTGAGGTGAGGCTATTTATCATCTTTACTTCTACTACTTAATGTGAATTCATGTATCTTTTTTGCTAACATATAGCTAGGTTTGATTGCAGGTTGTTATCCCAGGTCCCAGTAGAATTATTGCAAAACATACTGTATTGTATGCACCAACTTATCTTTCTAAACTCTAAGCAATTTTAAATTCTAAAGCACGGTTAGTACACATTTTGCATAAGTGATGGAAGTCCTGTATAAATATCTTTAGGTACATTAATGAGTTGTATCTTTAGGATAAATTTTAAAATGTAGAATTATTAAAGGTATGTGCATTTAAAATTTTGGTATTGTCAAATTGCTTTTCAAAGGAATTAACAATTTACATCACAAACAATATGAAATGAAAGTGCCTGTTCTTTCACACCCTGAACAAAACTTTTTGGTGTTTGATAATATGATAAGCAAAAAGGTGATAACTCATGTGCTTTTAATTTGATTTCATTTTACTATGGGTGAGAATAAATTTTACTATTGATTTGTGCACATTATTTAAATAGTAGGTTAATTATCCAATTGGCTTCTATGTTACAAATATTTTCCCAGCTTGTTATTTGAATTTTGATTTTTATTTGTGATAATTTATTGTACAGGAAATTTTAATTATTTTGTAATCATATTTATTCATCATTGATACATATGGAATTTATTTGGGTGTAAAGAATTGTATTAGTCTTCTATTGCTGCTGTAACAAATTGTCACAAATTTAGCAGTTTAAAACAATACACGTTTATTATCTGAGTTCTGTAGGTCAGAAGCCTGGCATAGCCTGACTGATTTCTGGCTCAGGGTCCCACTAGGCTAAATAAAAGCCAGGCAGGCTCTCGGTCAAATCAGCTTCCAAGTTCACTTAGACCCTTTGCAGAAACCAGTTCCTTGCTTGGTAGGTCCACAGTCCCACTTTCTTGCAGTTTATAAACTTTGTGGGGATGGAAGACAGAGGGAGGGATCCTCAGCTTTTAGAGGTCACCCACTATCCCGTCAGGTAGCCCTTTCTGCAGAAGGTAGTTTGCTCTTTCAGGGTCCACAGGAGAGCACTACTATAGCTGCAGATCTGACTTAACTTCTGCTCCTTCTCTACAGCTTTAAAGGCCTCATGTGGCCCACCTGAATAATCCAGGATAATCTCCCTATTTTAATAACAACTGCGCCACATAACAATGCAATCATGAGAGTAACTGGGCAAAGGTCATGGGGGATATTTTAAATTCTGCCTACTACAGCAGTGATAGAAGGCTCCAACTTTTTTTTTCCCGGTTACTAGCCACTTGTCCCAAAATTATTTGGAATAAATCACTGATACTACCAATTTGTTTGGTTGTTTGACATTTAGATTTTTGGATAATTCAGAAATGTTCATTATTTGAGAGGAACTCAGTCCCTACCCTTCTCCCACTCCAACTCCTTTCAAGACAAGAGATCAGTATTTGACAACTCTAACTCTGAAAATAAGAATAGTCTTATTCCAGGGCCAGACCCAAAGGCTCAATGTGAAAGTTCCTGGACTCAGAGGTGTCACGTAAGAAAGTGAGTGGAAACTTGGGAGTATGGCTGTCCCATGAAGAGCTCACCCTCTGGAAAACAGAAAAGGGTCCTAATCTTGGAGGTTTGACACTCATCATAATGTGGGAATGACAGCTAGAAAAAAACGGTGAACTCCAGGAAGGCTTGAAGGCATTGGAGCAAGGCCAGCAGCCTCTCCCTCCCACCATCACTTCCATGAGAACCACGTAAGAAAGACCTAGTTTCTTGTTATCTCTAGAGACCTGGCACCTTTCACTGAAGAATTTGCTTTCAAGCTGCTGCAAACTTTGAACAATTGTCTGACCTACTAAAAGTAACAGAGAAAGACAGAACTCTAGATGACTGAAGAAATCATGTATTTAAGTTATTAAAATGTATTATGTATAGGACAGTTATCATGATACTATCATTTTGTTGATGTCTCTTTGTGTATTTTTGATACCAGCCAGGTTCA
The DNA here is from genome assembly GCF_000001405.40 of Homo sapiens. NCBI lineage: Eukaryota > Metazoa > Chordata > Mammalia > Primates > Hominidae > Homo > Homo sapiens. Next base: position 38,384,896 of record NC_000010.11, on the reverse strand, counting down.
CTCTACCTGCACAGTAAATAAATTACTGGGACAATGGGTTTTTGCAAAAGAAAAGATTAATTAGGCATCCCAGCAAGGAGGTGGACAACAGCTCTCAAATCTGCCTCCCCAAAGATAGGAAATATTTATGGATTAGAGAAGCAGGTGGTCTAAGGCATAGGGAAAGGTGATTGGCAGTGGGTTAAAATGAGGTAATCAGTGATCTATGCCAGCATTATCAGGGTTCATGGCATTTCACAGGATATATGTCTCAGATCAGCATTAGCATGATCTGAGAATGGAGTTTTTGCCTCTGACATCAAAAGTTTCCCTCTCAGGTACCTGCACATGCCTAGTTGAAGGGTACGTGGTCTCAACTGGTTTGAACTGGACAGGAGCTGCCCTAAGTTCCTAAAAAACAACTGAAGTGACCACTACCATGTGACTTATGTTATCTGTAAAGTAGCCAGTGAAGGTTAAGTTACAGCATTCGGTGGTGCAGACTTCAGCTACCATGCCTTCAGCTTCAGGGAAAAACAAAAACAAAAGCAACAAGCAAACAACCCAAAGCAAGCAGGGCAGGATAAGTTTGGTGGATCTAATCAAATTAAGCCCTTGGTTTTACTTCCAATAACTCATACATTTTCTTCTTGATTTTTGTTGTGTTGATGTAGAAATTTTAGTTTCTGGACATGGAGAAGCATCGCCTGGTCATGATAACCCTATTCCTGGACAACCATTCATCCATTCTCTCAATAAGAATCTGGCAGCTCTATCTGTGGCTGATTATTTGCTATTTTTTTTCATCCACTTCTACCCTGAACTTTAAAATCTAGCTCTAATTCCTATCATGTGCCGGAACTAAGTCCTTGATGGCCAAGAATAAAGTGATTTATTTTTAGCCCCTTATAACAGAGAACTTGTACTTCTCTGTAGATCTCTCTGGAATGAAGTTGCCTCCAGTTTCAAGCAGGGGGAAACTACTGCCTTAACTCAAACACTCTCCCTTCATTTCCTTTCCCTCCTATCATCCATATCTCTTTTCAAATCCCCATACCTCCGGCCTGGCTCATAACTAATGTGTGGGATAGGATTTTTTACATTGTTATAAATGATAAGTAATTAATTCTTACTCATATGGCATATATAATAAATCATTTTTTTCCTGGGTGCTTGTGAATATATTTCTTTCAAATGTAGAATATAAATGATAGTTATAAATAGAGATCACTTTGCAATCAAAGATATAGAGAATATAGAATCATTTTGACTGTTAAATACAGCAGGGTGGGATAGTTACTTCCTAGCCTAAGAAAGAAAATAAATCCACGCATAGCCTATATCTAAAGCATCATCTATGTCAACTACCCACATTTAAACCTATTTATGAGTCACTAACAAAAAATGTTTCTTGAACATCCAGAGTCTCTGAAATTTCTCTTTTCCACTATAAACTGCTATAAAACCTCCCATAATTCCCTTCTTTGAAACAGGAGTCAAATGAGACAGTGAGGAATAACCTCCAGCAATGGTGAGATGAGCTCTCTTTAACCCAGTGGATTACTATCCATTTTCAACAGTCCTTTATGTATATTGTCATAGTTATTAAAAATAATAAGCAAATGAGACTTGTTGGATAATGAAATTTGTTCACATTTTCAGGTGGCAGACAAGAAACATGGATTATTGCGTGGAGTTCCATTAGTAGGAATAAGACTCATTCTACATTCTTGTTGTTCTTAGTGTTTTTTGTTTTTCATGAGAAGGAATTGTATCAGCACAAGGCAATATTCTAACATGACAATGACAGCAGACAGAACCTCAATAAACTCTGACTTGGTACTGCAAACACCATTTCATGATACCTTAATTCAAATAAACCTTTGTTTAATCAATTGTTCATATATTTATTTATACAACAAGCAGTAATCGAGTGCCTACTATGTGCCTTGCATTAATAGTGGCGAAACAATTTTTTTAAAAGTCCCAATCATCTTGGAGCTTATACTTCGGTAGGTTGAAAGGCAATAGACAAGATATGTAAAATACATATGTTAGATAGTAATAAGCAGCAAAAAGGAAAAAAAAAGGTAGATAAGAAAGATTAGAAGATATGAGGGGCATGATGAAATTTTAGACTGGGTGACCAGAAGACTTTGCTGAGAAGTGAAGCAAACAAAATGAGGGAAAAAAAGTTTGAGCTGACAACCACAATAACCACCATCTCCCATGCCCAAGAAAACAACTACAAGGGAGAAGAAAATACTAACCCAATGAAACAGAATTAAATATCCTTAAACAAGCATTTGGAGATATTAAAAAATACTATGGATCAAAAATTTTAAAAACAGAAATGGACAAAGAACAGGAAGAAATAAAACAAAAACTGATTATACTCAGGAAAGAAACAGAAGAAAGTAAAATCATACAGAAATAAAGATGGAACTAAAAAGTGCGGAGAAGTCTTGCTTTTAATTATAGCAATGTACCCCACCTACAGACCATCCTTCCTGAAGAACAACTATTAACTGTGGAAAAAAGGCAAAAAAAAAAAAAAAACCAATTACCTTAGAATTCCGAAGAAGAAACAACAGCAGGTACAGTGTGGAGGACAGCCCATGAGACATTCACCAAAGCAGGCCTTATCCTAGGCCATAAAACAAACCTCAACAAATTTAACGGTATAGAAATCAGACAGAATGTGATCTCTGACTGTAATAGAATAAAACTGGAAATCAAAACAAAAAAAGTCAGAAATCAATAACAAGTTTTTTAAAATCTCTAAAAATATGTACATTAAACAATATTTCTAAATAATCCATGAGTAAAGAGAAAGTATCAAAGGAAGTTAATAAAAATATATACAACTTAATAAAAAAGAATGTGTCAAAAAATCTGGCATGCAGCTAGAATAGTGCTAAGAAGAAAATTTATAGTTCTAAATGCTTATGATAAGAGGAAAAATTTCAAGTTAATAATTTTTTTACAGCAAGAAAGTAGAGAAAGAAGAACAAAATAAATCCAAGCAAGCAGAAGGAAGGAAATAGAAAAGATCTGAGCCGAAATCAGTGAAATTGGTAATAGGAAAACAATTGGGAAAATTTACCAAACAAAAAGTTGGTTCTTAGGAAAATACCATTAAAATTGAGAAACTCCTAGCAAGACTGACAAAAACTAAAAAAGAGAAGACATTAACATCAAGAACGAAATACAGAACATCATTACAGATCTCGTAGCCATTAAAAAGAAAATACTACTACAAGCAACTTTTATGCTAATAAATTTGAAAACTTAGAAATAATTGACCAATTCCTTAAAAAGTACAAATGACAAAAACACAAGATAAAACAGAAAATCTGAATAGTTTTATCATCATTAACAATTACATGCATAATTTTAAAGATTCATAAAATAAATCTCCAGGCCCAGATGGTTTCACTGGTGAATTCTACCAAATATTTAAAGAAGAATTAACACCAATGTTATATAATATTCCAGAATACAGAAGGTGAGAGAACACTTCAACTCATTTTATGAGGTTGCTATTGCCAAATAACCAAACCAGTCAAAACCAAAAAAAAGTACAGGCCAATATCTTTCATGAACTTAGACACATAAATTCTCCATAAAATATTAGCAAAGCAAATCCAACAATATTAAAAAGAAATGATTTATTTTTGGTAAAGACAGCATCTCGTTATGTTGCCCAGGCTGGTCTCTAACTCCTGGCCTTAAGCTATCCTTCCACTTTGGCCTCCCAAAGTGCTGGGATTATAGGCATTAGCTAATCCACCCAGTGATTTTTGTCAATAATCTATTGTCTCCAGTTGTTTTTGCAAGTTAGTTTCTTTGGTTCTCTGCAGTTTCACTATGTCTAGGTTTTTCTTTATCTGTGTCTATCTTGTGTGGAACTTGCCATTTTTCCTGAATCTGATGATCATGGCTTCCATCAATTCTAAAAAAAAAAAAAAAAAAAAACTCAGCCTTCATCTCCTCAAAGTTGCCTCTTTCCCATGTTCTCAATTCTTTCTAGAATGCCTAGAAGCATTTGAGATGTCTCACTCTATCATTCATATGTTAACTTCTATATCCTCAAAACCCAGCAGTGCCTGGCATGTGGTCGGTGCTCATCTGTGGAATGAATGAATTATACTGAACCCATTGGAAATCAAAATAAATGTACCAGATCAAGGCAGAAAGCAGGCATCTGCTGAAATCCAACTTCCTAGCAGTTGAATCTTTAACTTACTACTCCAGTCAGATACAAAAACAGTGAAACCTAGGATTGTTTAATGAAAGGAACCAATTATACAGGTACATCATTTGGGAGTGTGGGAAGGGAGTGTTCCCTATTTTGAGGAAATTGGATAAAATGGCTCAGAAAATACGCACAGCACCAACCTAGTGACACATCATCAATGACGTGAAATCAAGATTGGTTCATGTTTAAAGCTTCCTTTTGGGTACTTAACGTAGAACAGAATTCAGTACCAATTTGCATTGACTGTGCACCTACTAGGATATTATCACAATTCTGCAAGGTAGGCACTGGCATCAATACTTTATGTAATTAAACTGAGGTACACATTGAAGTAACTTGCCCAAAGTTATACAACTGGTCTCGAACTCCATACAGATAGTTAACTGGCTAAATCCTAATCTGATCCAAGGTCTTCCCAGCCCTAAAGCCCATACTCCTCCCACCATGCCCTCCCACTTGATCAGATGCTGCTTCCGGGTCAAACTTGGAAAATTAACCAACTCTACCAGATAGGAAGTGATCACTCAGTGCCTTACACCGTAGCATTTGAACCATGATACTCTGGCATATTCAATCTCCAGTAAAAATTATTACAATGTGCCAAAAAAAGCTCTTTATTCATTCACATATATTATTGCATTAAATCTTCACTCCATACCCATGAGTAGAAGCAGCAAAAAGATAACCACTCCACTTTACATATGAGGAACCTGAGATTCACAACAGATAATGTGCTTCTTCCAAATTTACAATGTGAGTGAATGGAAGAGTGAAAAACAGCTCTGATTTCAGGTCAACTTCACCCTTCTCTCCCAAAGACGGTGGACACAGTGGTGTGCAGCTCTCATTTTCACTTACAGAATGTTTATAGAAAACCTTTAACAACAAAATTAGAGAAACTAGAACCAAAAGCTTCATACTTTAAACTGTGAGGAAATTATATATCATTTTTTACTTTTGTCAAGTCATTCAAAATTTTACTGACTTTAGATTTCAGGCATTACATTGGTTATATTTAAAGTAAAAATATACAGCATTTTATCATTTTTCTTCATATCAAATGAGGCCTGGGGTGTGGTTCTTTGAAAATTTATAAAGTTTGCATGATTATCTGATACATGTAAACTAAATCCTCACTATAGTGTACCTTACACCAGCAGTTACCCAGTTAGAAAATTTTATTGAAACTTAATGTGAGTGAATAATTTCTTGCTGCAAGTTTACAACTATTAAGATATGATCATGAAAATGTGTTGGTCACTAATAAATATGCAAATAGTGTTAAGGGTCGGGCCCAATATTAGCATGAACTCCCTCAGAATCAATAAAAGATATTTTTTAAACAAGAAATAATTCAAGTGACCCAAACATCTATCTATTTGGTTTTTGTTATTAACCACATGGGCACCCACATGAGGATTGTTAGGATTCTAACAATCTTAAGATTGTCAGAAGCAACATATGGAGGAAGAAATAAGGCAAAAGAGCTAAAAAAATTGCTCATAAAGCAACGAAGTTCCGACTGCCACTCAGATAGTGGGCAGTACTTCCTTTTGCTGGGGGCAGGCCAAAGAAAGGAGCAGTGTGTGCCTGTGTCACAATTATTCAAGTCCACCTCTTGTCCCATGGAGCACAGCTTAGGCCCCAGTTGGCAGAATAATATAAACAGATACTCTGTTGGGTGACTCGAATAATTTTTATTTTTACATAAAATCTTTCAGAAAAGAACTCTAATAATTTTGATGTGATACCACTCTAGAGAATAACTAATTAATATTTTTACTTAATCAATTTTTTATTTTTGAGATGGAGTCTTGCTCTGTCACCCAGGCTGCAGTACAGTGCCGCGATCTCGGCCCACTGCAACCTCTGCTTCCTGAGTTCAAGTGATTCTCCTGTCTCAGCCTCCCAAGTAGCTGAGATTACAGGTGCACGCCACCACACCTGGCTAAGTTTTGTATTTTTAGTAGAGATGGGTTTTTGCCATGTTGGCCAGGCTGGTCTCAAACTCCTGACCTCATGATGCGCCCACCTCAGGCTCCCAAAGTGCTGGGATTACAGGCTTGAGCCACCGTGCCCGGCCCAATCTTTTTCTCATATGCATACACATACACAGTCTTGGAGATAATTCCAAAAGGAAGGAAAAGAGAGTCATAGTTCATAGTTTATTACAAATGCATATTATCCAACTCAGTAGAAATCCATGTACCCCAGAATGTACAGAAGGTATGCAATGTTCCAGAGTGTCATTGTCAGCTCTGGCTTTACATATATATTAAATATATATATGTTTTGAGACAGGGTCTCGCTGTCACCCAGGCTGGAGTGCAGTGGCACAATCTCAGCTCACTGCAACCTCCGCCTCCCAGCCTCAAGAGATCCCCCCACCTCATCCTCCTGAGTAGTTGGGACTACATGCGCATGCCACCACACCCAGCTATTATTTTTATTTCTTTTTGTAGAGACAAGGGCTCACTATGTTTCTCAGGCTGGTCTCGAACTCCTGGTCTCAAGTGATCCTTCTGCCTTGGCCTCCCAAAGTGCTGGAATTATAGGCATGAGCCACTGAGCCTGGCCTGATTATCTGTTTTTTGAATAGTGACCCTAATGTGCTTTTCCAGTTCCAGTAACTTTTGATAAAATTTTTCAGCAGTGTCTTCATCTAGGTCCATCTGGAAAAGAAGCAAACATAGAGATGTCTAGAAAGGAAAAATAAGATGAATAGTATTTGTATAAAAAAAAGGCATTCAATATATGAAATAAAAAGAAAGGAGGCAGCAAGAAAGGGCCACGGTGGCAGACACGTGGAAGAAGCTGAGAGCCTGAAGACATACTAAATCTCAGTCTCAGTTCCAACACTCACCAACCAAACCCACTGATGCTTCCCTTAAACAGCAAGACTGAAAGATCTGAGTTTTGCTATCTCCCCCAACTTTTATATGCCCAGTAACAGAAGACACCAACCAACTGTGTTATCAAAGGACAAAACAGAAAAATCAAGAGTTTTGTGAATTTTTAACGACTACTCACTTCCTAATATCAATCTGGCTTAGTAAAAGAGCCCTGGTTTTAGCTGGGCTCACTGCCCTCTGGATATAAGACGATACTTCAGCCCCCATTGAAACAATGGGTGCCAGAGCCATGAGACTATGTTCTGGCTAGTGAGATGTAAATAATACCTGGAGTCTCTTCAAGAGAAATAAAGCATCCCTTTTTTCTTCCCTTCTTCCATACCACTCTCGAGCCACAAGCCTGAGGGCCACGCCCTAAAGATGGCCAGGTGGTGATTGCAAGGAACTTGAGTACCTGACAATTTGTGGACTTGCCATGGCAGCCTGAGACTGCCTCTCTCCTAAATGCTTTTACAGGCAAGAAATTTAAGATTCTATCTAGTTTAATCTATAGTTATTTTACATTCTTGTGTTTCATGCAGAAAATCTCGACAGTATGTACAGGCAAACTTTCAGCCCTTTTAAAATAGTGATATCCTTTTATCAAGCCAACACAGAGCCTAAACTTCAAGAACAGCCTCTTTGTTCACAAAATTGAAAGGCTAAAAATTAAATAAACTTTTGAACATTTTGAAAATAACATTTTTAAGGGCAGCCAGAGAGAAAGGTCGGGTTACCCACAAAGGGAAGCCCATCAGACTTAACAGCAGATCTCTTGGCAGAAACTCTACAAGCCAGAAGAGGGTGGGGGCCGATATTCAACATTCTTAAAGAAAAGAATTTTCAATCCAGATTTTCATATCCAGCCAAACTTAGCTTCATAAGTGAAGGAGAAATAAAATACTTTACAGACAAGCAAATGCTGAGAGATTTTGTCACCACCAGGCCTGCCCTACAAGAACTCCTGAAGGAAGCACTAAACATGGAAAGGAACAACCGGTATCAGCCACTGCAAAAACATGCCAAATTGTAAAGACCAGCGATGCTAGGAAGAAACTGCATCAACTAACAAACAAAATAACCAGCTAACATCATAATGACAGGATCAAATTCACACATAACAATATTAACCTTAAATGTAAATAGGCTAAATGATCCAACTAAAAGACACAGACTGGCAAATTGGATAAAGAGTCAAGACCCACCAGTGTGCTATATTCAGGAGACCCATTTCATGTGCAGAGACACACATAGGCTCAAAATAAAGGGATGGAGGGAGATCTACCAAGCAAATGGAAAACAAAAAAAGGCAGTGGTCGCAATCCTAGTCTCTGATAAAACATACTTTAAACCAACAAAGATCAAAGACACAAAGAAGGCCATTACATAATGGTAAAGGGATCAATTCAACAAGAAGAACTAACTATCCTAAATATATATGCACCCAGTACAGGAGCACCCAGATTCATAAAGCAAGTCCTTAGAGACCTACAAAGAGGCTTAGACTCCCACAGAATAATAATGGAAGACTTTAACACCCCACTGTCAACATTAGACAGATCAACGAGACAGAAAGTTAACAAGGATATCCAGGAATTGAACTCAGCTCTGCACCAAGCAGACCTAATAGACATCTACAGAACTCTCCACCCCAAATCAACAGAATATACATTCTTCTCAGCACCACACAGCACTTATTCCAAAATTGACCACATAGTTGGAAGTAAAGCATTCCTCAGCAAATGTGGAAGAACAGAAATTATAACAAACTGTCTCTCAGACCACAGTGCAATCAAACTAGAACTCAGGATTAAGAAACTCACTCAAAACCACTCAACTACATGGAAACTGAACAACCTGCTCCTGAATGACTACGAGGTACATAACGAAATGAAGGCAGATATAAAGATGTTCTTTGAAACCAATGAGAACAAAGACACAACACACCAGAATCTCTGGGACACATTTAAAGCAGTGTGTAGAGCGAAATTTATAGCACTAAAAGCCCACAAGAGAAAGCAGGAAAGATCTAAAATTGACACTCTAACATCACAATTAAAAGAACTAGAGAAGCAAAAGCAAACACATTCAAAAGCTAGCAGAAGGCAAGAAATAACTAAGATCAGAGCAGAACTGAAGGAGATAGAGACACAAAAAAACCCTTCAAAAAATCAATGAATCCAGGAGCTGGTTTTTTGAAAAGATCAACAAAATTGACAGACTGCTAGCAAGACTAATAAAGAAGAAGAGAGAGAAGAATCAAATAGACGCAATAAAAAATGATAAAAGGGATATCACCACCGATCCCATCTGAGAATACTATAAACACCTCTACGCAAATAAACTAGAAAATCTAGAAGAAATGGATAAATTCCTGGACACTTACACCCTCCCAAGACTAAACCAGGAAGGGGTCAAATCCCTGAATAGACCAATAACAGGATCTGAAATTGAGGCAATAATAGCCTACCAACCAAAAAAAGCCCAGGACCAGACAGATTCACAGCCGAATTCTACCAGAGGTACAAGGAGGAGCTGGTACCATTCCTTCTGAAACTATTCCAATCAATAGAAAAAGAGGGAATCCTTCCTAACTCATTTTATGAGGCCAGCATCATCCTGATACCAAAGCCTGACAGAGACACAACAAAAAAAGAGAATTTTAGACCAATATCGCTGACGAACACTGATGCAAAAATCCTCAATAAAATACTGGCAAACCGAATCCAGCAGCACATCAAAAAGCTTATCCACCATGATCAAGTGAGCTTCATCCCTGGGATGCAAGGCTGATTCAACATACGCAAATCAATAAACGTAATCCAGCATATAAACAGAACCAAAGACAAAAACCACAAGATTATCTCAATAGATGCAGAAAAGGCCTTTGACAAAATTCAACAGCACTTCGTGTTAAAAATTCTCAATAAATTAGGTATTGATCGGACATATCTCAAAATAATAAGAGCTATTTATGACAAACTCACAGCCAATATCATATTGAATGGGCAAAAACTAGAAGCATTCCCTTTGAAAACTGGCACAAGACAGGGACGCCCTCTCTCTCCACTTCTATTCAACATAGTGTTGGAAGTTCTGGCCAGGGCAATCAGGCAGGAGAAAGAATGAAAGGGTATTCAATTAGGAAAAGGGGAGGTCAAATTGTCCCTGTTTGCAAATTACATGATTGTATATTTAGAAAACCCCATTGTCTCAGCCCAAAATCTCCTTAAGCTGATAAGCAACTTCAGCAAAGTCTCAGGATACAAAATCAATGTGCAAAAATCACGAGCATTCTTATACACCAATAGGAGACAAACAGAGAGCCAAATCATGAGTGAACTCCCATTCACAATTGCTTCAAAGAGAATAAAATATCTAGGAATTCAACTTACAAGAGATGTGAAGGACCTCGTCAAGGAGAACTACAAACCACTGCTCAATGAAATAAAAGAGGACACAAACAAATGGAAGAACATTCCATGCTCATGGATAGGAAGAATTAATATCATGAAAATGGCCATACTGGCCAAGGTAATGTATAGATTCAATGCCATCCCCATCAAGCTGCCAATGACTGTCTTCACAGAATTGGAAAAAACTACTTTCAAGTTCATATGGAGCCAAAAAAGGGCCCGCATTGCCAAGACAATCCTAAGCCAAAAGAACAAAGCTGGAGGCATCACGCTACCTGACTTCAAACTATACTACAAGGCTACAGTAACCAAAACAGCATGGTACTGGTACCAAAACAGAGATATAGACCAATGGAACAGAACACAGCCCTCAGAAATAATGCCGCATATCTACAACCATCTGATCTTTGACAAACCTGACATAAACAAGAAATGGGGAAAGGATTCCCTATTTAATAAATGGTGCTGGGAAAACTGGCTAGCCATATGTAGAAAGCTGAAACTCGATCCCTTCCTTACACCTTATACAAAAATTAATTTGAGATGGATTAAATACTTAAATGTTAGACCTAAAACCATAAAAACCCTAGAAGAAAACCTAGGCAATACCATTCAGGACATAGGCATGGGCAAGGACTTCATGTCTAAAACACCAAAAGCAATGGCAACAAAAGCCAAAATTGACAAATGGGATCTAATTAAACTAAAGAGCTTCTGCAAAGCAAAAGAAACTACCATCAGAGGAAGGCAACCTACAGAATGGGAGAAAATTTTCACAATCTACCCATCTGACAAAGGGCTAATATCCAGAATCTACAATGAACTCAAATTTACAAGAAAAAAACAAACAACCCCATCAACAAGTGGGCAAAGGATATGAACAGACACTTCTCAGAAGAAGACATTTATGCAAGCAAAAGACACATGCAAAAATGCTCATCATCACTGGCCATCAGAGAAATGCAAATCAAAACCACAGTGAGATACCATCTCACACCAGTTAGAATGGCGATCATTAAAAAGTCAGGAAACAACAGGTGCTGGAGAGTATGTGGAGAAATAGGAACACTTTTACACTGTTGGTGGGACTGTAAACTAGTTCAACCATTGTGGAAGACAGTGTGGCAATTCCTCAAGGATCTAGAACTAGAAATACCATTTGACCCAGCCATCCCATTATTGGATATATACCCAAAGGATTATAAATCATGCTGCTATAAAGACAGATGCACATGTATGTTTACTGCGGCACTATTCACAATAGCAAAGACTTGGAATCAACCCAAATGTCCATCAATGATAGACTGGATTAAGAAAATGTGGCACATATACCACATAGAATACTATGCAGCCATAAAAAAGGATGAGTTCATATCCTTTGTAGGGACATGGATGAAGCTGGAAACCATCATTCTCAGCAAACTATCACAAGGACAAAAAACCAAATACCGCATGTTCTCACTCATAGGTGGGAACTGAACAATGAGAACACATGGACACAGGAAGGGGAACCTCACACACTGGGGCCTGTTGTGGGGTGGGTGTAGTGGGGAGGGATAGCATTAGGAGATATACCTAATGTAAATGATGAGTTATTGGGTGCAGCACACCAACATGGCACATGTATACATATGTAACAAACCTGCACGTTGTGCACATGTACTCTAGAACTTGAAGTATAATAATAATTTAAAATAAAAGAAAGAAAGTAACATTTATCTTCAATCAAGTTAGAGTTTTTCCATAATGGAACTGGAAGAAGCATTACAGAACTCTTCTAGTTCAACCCCATCTTTTAACAGAAGAGAAAGCTGACTTCCCCAAATTAATCAAAGGTTAAAATACTTTCTTCAATGCATTTCCATAAAATGCTAATGAGTATGTCAGTTTGTACAACTAAACATTTTCCCCTTGATAAACAAATCATTCATTCTAAGTTAATAGATAGTAAGTTCAAATACACCCTGCTAGCCTAAAGTAAGCTATTAGTTTACAATAGAATTCCCCAAAGGGATGTTACAGGTTATGTAAAATTTGCTTTAAAAAAAAATTCATGGTGAAGTACTGAAAACAGCAGGATAAAATATTTCACACACATTTCTTAACTGTTTCAACTTCTCACAGCCTTTACTTTGCTGATGTATGCTGTACAAGTCTCTGAAAGAGGGGAATGTAATATGAAGCATGGTTCCATTTTACTTGCTAGAGGAACTACTTCTTGCAAATCTTCTCAGGAAACTAGTATCCCACAGAACATATTTTGAAAAACCTGGAAGGTTCACTTTTAGTGAACAGATAGCACAGGAAGCCAAGTGCATGGCTCCCCTTTTAACTCATGCTACTAACAGAGGCCAAGATCAATGCCAGTTAGTTGACTTACCTGCGATAACAGTCACCTCAATCTCATTTTATCTTATGCTAATGTCTCCTCACAACAGGCTGGACAGTGGAAAATCAGGGGCTGAAATAAACCTTACGCATGACAAAAGTACAACAAAGTAGTTCTCTTAGTTTAAAATAAATTTTCTTATTCCCCAGTATGTAACTCTATGTTTGATTTCATTTTAGATTATACCAAGTCTAAAAAACACAGTACTGACTTTTTTTTCTGCACATTATTCTGTTCCTCCTCAAAACACCATCTATTAAAGCTGACAATTGTCACAAGCAGAATTGAATACTCAAAGGGAAGTTAACTTCACACAGAAAAACACTTCATATTTCATTCAACTTGCAACGTATTTACTGAGCGTCTACCGTGTGTAAGGCAGCCTGCTAGGAAATGGGGTACGACCCTCCTCCTCACAGAGCTTACATTCTGACAGGGGAACCCGAAGGTGAACAAGCATGATCTGCAACAGGTATGAGATGTCAAGAAAGCCTATTACAGAGGCACCCAGGCCCAGTCTACGGGGTCACTAAAGGCTATGGGATAAACTGATCTGAAGGATGAGCACAAATCAATCATCGAGAGGCTGAGAGCAGCTCAAGTCGGGGGAATAAGATGTGCGAGAAGCAGGAGAGAGCAGGATGAAATAAAATCAGGCCCGTGTGATGCTGGTGAACAGTGAGTACCCAGAGAAGCGAAGCTGGGGGGCTGAGGGGCTGGTCAGGAACACGGGCTTAATTCATCAACCCAACAGCAAACATCAGTGCAACAATGTAAGCACATTTACCTTCTGGGTCATAATGTAATTTCTTCCAAAGCCAGTGGTGGCACTCAGATATTTGATCAGAGGATTGACAGATTCAGGCTTTTGGTGGAAAAGCCATACCTGGAAAGGAAGGATGTGTCAATGATTTGTTTCTTCTGCCCAAGGTGAGTGAGGCTGGTGGAGAGTCACTATCTGCACTTTATAGAGCTCCCCAGACAAATTATAAACATCCTCTCAAATATCATCAGTGAATGGTTTGGCAAATATATTGAGAACCAATTAAAATATAGTTTAAAAGCACTTGCTTCTACAACCAATTTGTATTCCCACAATAAATGTATTTATTTCTGTAACACTTACCAAAACAAGAGCATCAAAGCCAATTCCATTTATGTTTTCCTTAGCTAATCTCAATTAAGATTTAAGAATCTACTAAGTACTACAATGCTAGGTCCTCAGGTTTCCAAAGTGAATAGCAAAAATCCTGAAGGAGTTCAATGGAATGAGGGAGACAAATGTAAAGAACTGACTCAGATACAATGGACTTTTTATGTATGACAATTCTGAACCGTTAGTAGAGGCTGCCTCTGGAGCTCTGGGTTGAAGAATATTCAGAGACATCACGTGTGTATAGCAGAAAGGAGTATTATAGCCCATTAGTAATGTCTGCCATTGATGAGGAGACACATGCAACCCATTTGCCACGTGTGATTTAACTCCACTGGCTTCCTAATAAAATAACAACTTGATCTTCTAAGAGAGGGAAGAAAATCTTTATAGAGGGGAATGGTGTTGAACCTTGTTGTCCTGGCTCTTGACCCACAAAATGCTCTTTCTCCACGGGAAATCACAGACTGATTGTGCAGTCACCGTCCTGCTCTGCCTGTCCCTCCAGCTTCCCATTGCTCTGTCTCTCCTCTAGCTGCTGGTGTATCTTGCCTCTAAAGAAGTGCTTTCCCTACAGTCATGGTGCCCAGTGCCATGGTAGATGTTAAACTTGCAAACTTCACTCCTAATGTTCTGTGCTTAGCCTTATAGTCCACTTTAGTTCCAAACGGGACCTCAATTATTCACAGAGCTTATTCTCTTATTATCTTTTCTGTTGAAATTATTTCTACTACGAGTGAACCTATAATTCACATCTGCTAAGTCATCATACAAGTTATAAAAACTTCAGTAACATACCAGAGCTTCTGTTCCATTATATGGTGTCAAAGTGAATGCATTTGCAAAAAAGCGAAGCTGCAGAAAAGAAAACAACAGTTATTTTTTGGTGGTTTAGAATAGAGTCATGAAAGAATTATTCATTTAAATATTTTTAAAAACCCTGCCTTTCTGATTATAGAACACTTTTTAAGTAACAAAAAATAAAGAAGTCAAAAAAGAAACATCATTTAATCTCCATTATTCCAAATCAACTACTTTTAACATGAAGGCCTATTTACTTCTGATCTTTACTTTATGCCTGCCCTAAGGAAGAGACACTTCTTCCTGAGCCCTAAAGAGAGAATCATTCCTAAAAGTAGCATTTTTCAAGATGTGCCACAGAAACAATGGTCCTGCAAGACGTTCAAATCACAAAACAAAAATATGGTTGTATAGTTACATAGTACACAATTATCCCCTTCTTGGGAACTTTTGATGCACAGGATCAGTTTGAAAACTTAGAGAAGTCCAGTTTAACAATGTTCAACATGGGTTTTCTAAAATTATATGATTACAGAACTCTTGGGATCTGTGGTGCATGAGCAATGAAACATTCCTTTAAAGAGAAGTGGACACTCAAATGGTGGTGTGGCAGTAACACTTAGAAATATTAAGCAGAGGTTTCACATTAAGTTCAAAAACCTCAAGTTAAATGGCATTCAGGTTCAATTCCTTAAATCATTTCCCAACCTTTAAACATATCTTCTAGGTCCCAAAAAGAGATTTTTATGAGTTAAGAAAAGAAGTATTCATCACTTGCTAGCAATATTGCCGGCATCAACAGTGTCCATATAAACGGAGGCAGAATTCCATATGTCAAATTGGTCAATGCTGTACCTGGACAGGCCACATTGGAATAGAGACCCTAGGAACAGAGAGGTGTAGCAATGAGACTTTAACTCAGTGTATATTGACTCAGTCCAGCTACATGCTAGTTAATAAAAGAGGTATGTACATGAGCCAGAAGTCAGGTAATAAAGAATTTATGTTCTGAGTTGTCTCTGAAGTTGGGTAAAACGTTTATGTTGAAGAATCATGTATTAAGAGAACCCACTGTGAGAGGCACCCAGGATGCAAAAATTAGTGGGACAAAGTCTCTATTCTCATGAACCTTGCAGTATAAAAAATAACCAATCTTAAAGCTGGGGGAGAAAAGCAGGGCCTGGTTATCTGAGTTTTCCCTATTATTGGCTTAACTGAAGATCAGCTTTTTAATCATAATGAGCATTTAAGATTAAAAGATGTACGGAGTACAGTCCTTGCCTTCGAGAAGTTTCTGGCCTAATAAATAGACAGCTAAACCTAAAGTATGTGTCTGTTTCCCTGCAAGTACATAAGACCCATACCTCTAGCTTGAGGTGGGTGCTCCCGGCATTAGGCTGTATGTGCTATCACAAAACTTTCTCCAACTGAAGATCTCTAAATCAGGTCCTTAGCCTAGAACTCATTTTAGAAAGTTCCACCCTACAAAGAGAGCCCCAATTAACACAGAGCTTAGGTTAATCCAAAGGGTCCTATGTGATCTATAGTTAAGTCCTGGAGCCCTGGGATCATGCCTCTTATTGGGATTTGTTTTACTATTTTATTTAGTTTAATTTATACTATACATTTTACTTTATTTTGATATTGACTATTTTAACTCATTTTTATCATTTTTAAACTCATTTTTTCTTTTAAATAAAAAAATAGGAAGTGCCAGTTTAACAGACAGTTCAACGGACAGACAGCACCCTAAGCAACAGAACCTGGAGGCTTTTCATCCTTTATTTGGTACTGCAGAGGCTTGGCACTGCCTGACATGGATCAACCATCCCTGAGAATCCCCTTGATTTACCAACAATCCTCTAGAAAAAAGTCAAGAGCTAAGACTTATCCTCATGATAGTCCAAAAGTTTTTCCTAAGCAAATAATGTACTCTGCCGCTAAAACAGCTAAGGAAAAGTTCTTATTCTAGGCGCTTCCTAGGATCACTTGGGGACTATTCTGTCCTAAACAAAGAAATCTTCAAACTAAAATCCAGCGTTTCCAACGTATATAATTCTCTGATGTTGAGAGATAAACAAAAAAGAAAGAAGAAGACAATCTTAACCAAGACTGTATCCTTCCATTTGTTTAATTATAGGGATTAATTGTGATGATCCTGAATATTTCTATACAGCTTGAGTGGGGGAGCATGCATGGATAATTAAAGTCTATCAGGCAGTCTATATAGAACCTGACAACATTTCCAGTAACACAGGGCTTCAAAAGGAATCCTGTAATGTTATTCTTTCTCAGCTGCTTCTTTCCTCATAAAGGCCAAGAAGAAAAAGTCATTGGCTGAGAACCAATCTCAACAGATTTTACAAGCAATAGCTAAATCTCCCTCCTTCGTAAAAGATAAAATCCCAAAGCTTACTTGATAATTGAGACTTAAATAGAATCCCAGACCTTTTTATGAAAGGAAAAGCTAATCCCTCTAAAAGGGAGTTCTCAGAGTATCAGGAAGCAGTTGTGACAAGTTTTTAAACATCTCAAGAAACTTCAGAAGGAGGTGCACAATTGGGCCAACATGCTGAGTCCAACCTGCAATATTAACAGCCAATACAAGAACATGTACATGCATGTGCAGACCACATGCACTGACACCTACACACATGCACACACCCAAAAAATACATTCACAAACACATGTGCACACACCCACAAAACCTGTACATGTACATATGAACCCGCTACACATGGGTAGGCACACAAATACATACCCACACTCATGTATATCCACATGTACATATTTGTACAGACACATGTACATACAAACTCACATTCTGAATACAAAACACTGCTGTGAGTGCTTCATACAGATCCCCCTCAGTCAATCTTCCCAATAAATCTGTGAGGCAGGCACTATTACTATCCCTATTTTTCAGATGAGGAAACTGAGGCATAGGGAGATTAAATAATATGCCTAGGGTTACAAAGAGTCAGGATTCAAATTCAGTTCTAGAAAGTATGCTCTTAGCTTCAACTTTATAAGAGGCATGATTCAGGCTGGGTGCAAGCACTGTAATCCCAGCATTTTGGGAGGCTGAGGCAGGCAGATACCTGAGGTCAGGAGTTCGAGACCAGCTTGGCCAACATAGTAAAACCCTGTCTCTACTAAAAACACAAAAATTGGGTGTGGTGGCACATCCCTGTAATCCCAGCTACTCGAGAAGCTGAGGCACAAGAATCACTTGAATTAAGAAGATAGAGGTTGCAGCGAGCCAAGATTGTGCCACTGCACTCCAGCCTGGGCAACAGAATGAGACTCTGTCTCAAAAAAAAAAAGGGGGGCATCATTCTAAGAGCCAGAACACAGAATAACACCTGATAAAGGTAGCAATTCCAGAATAAGCCAGGTCTAGACCATCACGTAAGAGTTATATTTCTATGTCTAATTCATGATCCAAGAAGCTCCGTTGAAGTAAAACATAATTCTTGATCATCTTCTTATTTCACTTTCCTCCTCAACCCTAAACCTGGCCCAGTGCCCTAAACATGATAGGTCTTTTGTAAATGTTAGTGAAATTAAACTTCTCCATAGCCCCATACTCATACAACGCTGTTAATCAAAGCAAACAAAAGAAAATGTCCAAGGGGAAGACTGGAGATTTTCAGGTCAGAATTTAGACCTGGGCAACAGAGACATACAAAGAAGCAGTAAGCTGCAAACCATAGTGGCAACAAGGACTCAGTATGACCAACAAGGGTCGCCATCCCCTGAAAAACATCCCATAAACTGAGATCCTCATAGAGACAGAGCTCTGGAGTCTTAGCTAAAACCACCACTATCTAGAAGGTTTTATAACTACTTGACTGTCCTATAAACGTCTGCTATGACAAACACTAGGAGGCAGCATGGTACAGTGGGAAAAGTCCAAGCTATAAAGTCAGCCTCGGGCTCAATTCTGAGCTCTACCATTTACAAGTTGTGTGACCATCAGGTAAATGACTTAAGTTCTCCGAGATTTAGTGTCCTCATCTGAAAATGGTAATACTTAGACCCACCTCCATGTAATGAGGCAGGTATTTAATGACATACACAGACGAATACAGCACCTGAAACACAGCAAGTACCAAAACAGTAGCTATTATCACTTTTAGTAGTGTCACTCTGTTAACATAAGTTAGAATTCCTGAAGAACCACAGAATGATGAATGAACTACCTATAACTATAATGTCAGGAGCCAATTATCTCTGCCCTAACACTTTCATATACACCAAATATCAATCTAAACTACAAGAGTTAGTGGAAAGCCAGCTACCTTATTAGGAAATCAACAGCAGGTAATTAAGAGAACCCTCCTCTGCCATTTCCGTCACTGAGACAGGCCTTACCTGCTGGTTGAAAGTTCCTGTTCAAAGCCACACTCAAAAGGTCAGTGGCATATTTGGAAGAGCTGTAGGGTTCCTTGCCTTTGCTGTGCTGGAAGTCCTCGAGGCTGAAATTAGATTTCCTTGCATTGCGAGATGATGTCCAGATGAGCTGAGATGGATTGTCACTGTGACAGAGGAGAGGCTCCAGTTCCCGAATCTGGGTGAAAGAAAAAAAAAAGTATTAAAATATACTGACAGAATACAGATAAAAATTTTGAAACCACTGTACTGTATGGTAAGAGATTAGGGTCAGAGACATCAGTATTAACTAGTTATCTAAAAGAGACATGAATTAGTTACACAGAAAAATATTTATAGATATGTATACATACATGAGTTAGTATGTACATATATATCTCTTAGTCTATCAGCAGAGAGGGTTTAGAAGACACTGATATCTCAGTAGCAATAAGCACCCAGATCTTGGTTTCTAATAACCATTCTCTGATAAAAGAAAACATATGTCTTTAGAAAAGTAGCTGATTCTAGGACTGAACAAGGAAAACACAAGATGAGTCTGACGCATCTTGTAGTGCCAGATAGTAAGAAACTGCTCAAAATGAAAGCTAAAACAAAAAGAGAAAACCATAACAATGGGGGTGTGCCAAAGAGATACAGGAGCCAACTGAAAGTGTTCCCAGTGGCCAAAACTGAAAAAATTTGAGCAGGAAAATAAAATAGTATTTATAATTTCAAAGCAGCAAATACATAAACATGAGTCCATATGGATACAATAAATGATTGAATAAAGACATAAATAAAGGAGAACTGACAATCTCCCTTGTGGAAAAAATCCAAATAATTTCTGTAGATAACCCACTCTCTTAAGAAGGTAGAGCACTAGCCAGTATGCATTGGCTGCACATAGTAACTTTCTTTCTTTTTCTCTTTTTTTTTTTTTGAGATGGAGTTTCACTCTTGTTGCCCAGGCTGGAGTGCAATGGCATGACCTCAGCTCACCGCAACCTCTGCCTCCCGGGTTCAAGCGATTCTTCTGCCTCAGCCTCCCAAGCAGCTGGGATTACAGGCATGCGTCACCACACCCGGCTAATTTTGTTTTTTGATAGAGATGGGGTTTCTCCATGTTGGTCAGGCTGATCTCAAACTCCCAACCTCAGGTAATCCGCCTGCCTTGGCCTCCCAAAGTGCTAGGATTACAGGCAGGAGCCACCGTGCCCGGCCCAACTTTCTTTCAAAAAGTAGAGTATGAAAAGGGAGAAAGAAAAAGTAACTTAACAATGGAGAAACCTGACAGACATGACCTCAAGCCAGGTGATCAAGGTTAATATCAACACTGAGAAGTCATACTGAAAGAATACACCCTTGATGTGATGTCATGAGAATGTCACTTTACCTCTGTGGCCTTCCTCCCAAAAACCACATTCTTCAGTCTCACCATGAGAAAAACATCAGACAAATCCCGATTGAGAGAGTCTACAAAACACCTAAGCAGTACTCCTCAAAACTGTCAAGGTCATCAAAAACAAGGAAAGTCTGAGAAGCTGTCACAACCAAGAAGAGCCTAAGGAGACATGACTGCTAAATGTAATGTAGTATCTTGAATGGGATCCTAGAACTGAAAAAAGACATTAGGCAAAAACAGAACCTGAATAAAGTGTGTACTTTAGTTAATAATAATGTAGCAGAATTGATTCATCTATTTCGACAAATGCATCATACCAATGCGAAATGTTAATAATAGGGGAAACTGGGTGTAGGGCATACAGAAAGTCTCTGTACTATCTTTGCAGTAATTCTGTAAATCAAAAACTATTAGTACATTTATTAAAGAAAAATCTACTAGGAAAGCTTCCAGAAGTATTCCATGCTCACAATAAACAAGGCAAATGCAATCAAGAAAACTCAAACATGAGATTAAATCAGTTAACTGGCTGCTCAACTATAATAATGCCCTGTGCCCAGAGCTTTACAGGAACTATCACACCAAATATTAGCTTATTAAGCCCACAGCTTCTTTACCAGGATAAAATGGCCAAAGACATCGGTCTCAAACACCTCCTGAAGTCCATCAGCAGTGATCTTATCACCCTGGGTCAGCAGGCCTTCAGCTGTGGAGAACATATGAATCACTTTTCTGAAACAGCAGAAGATAATTGCATGACTTTTTAAAGCTTCTTTAACTGGAAATACTGAAAACACTTTCCAACCCATCCCCCCGACTCATAAACTACACCTCCCTTGATTCTGTAATGACAGGAATAAAAATACCTATTTCTCAGACTGGGTTATTGTATTAAATGAAATGCCAAAGACCCTCCTTCCCCCCACTAATTCACAGAAATACTTACATACTTATAGCTCACGCTACCAATAGGAACTTGAGTCTCTCAAAAACCTGCTGCTAAAATTCTCTTCACCTCTTTCCCAATCAGGTTACAGGTAAACTGTTCTAAAGGAATAATAAGCTATGCCAAAGGGAAAAAAGTTTTCCTGTGCATGAAGTATGTTTAACTGTCAAAAAAAGAGTTAAACAGATTGTTTGTTTAACTGGGAATTCTTCAAACATATTAATATAGTGTTCTGCTGGGAGGTCAATTTAGTAGGTCAAGATCAATGTGGGGAGAGACAGAGAGAGTGTGTGTGTGTGTGTGTGTGTGTGTGTGTGTGTGTGTGTGTGTGTGTCTGTCTGTCTGTCTGTCTTTTAATGGAAAAGAAGTAAAGCAAAAGCATTGGTATAGTAAGCAGCACATAGTAAGAATGCCTATTTATGAATAAGTGTATTGGGTCACAAAGTAAGATTTATTCCTATAAATAAGAATTCTCCTGGTTGTGTTTCAACATTTTGGAAAGCCACTACACTAATGAGTAACAAGAATCTCCCAGGAAACATTAGTTGTCTGCATTTCCCCAACCTACTTGTCAGAGCACCTGACATACATCTGGGAAATAGTTCAAAGTAACTTTCCTGGAAATTGGAGTCTCTCTGAGAACTCTGCCTAATTTCAAAATGTTCTTGCTAATAGGCATATCCAGGCAGACCAAAAAATGACCTTCTAAACCATTTAGAATGTCCTGGAGACTTAGAATACCATAAAAAATGGGACTTTCAGCACTCCCCACAAAAGAGGATTGCTTTTCTTTCATGATAATGGTTGCAACATCTCCTTTTTCTGTCTTCAACCTTTTCAACAACCCCTTACCTTTCATCCCCCCAACTTAACACGCCATCAAAACTAGGCAGAAAAATGAACACATTCCTTCCAATCAGTTCATCCATAAAATGAAAATTACCTTGAAAAGAGGCCAAAGAGAAGTGCTTTGATATTTAGTTGTGGATTAGGCATGATCCCAGCATTTAGATATATACGGTCTAATCTCTGAAACCTGCAACTAAACCACCAAACAAGATTGTGAGTTGCAAGTAAAAACATCAGGACAAGATTGTGTATTCTATCTCTAGAGTGACTAGATTCAAGGAGGCCTAAGAAAGACAAAAAATACTTTTTAAATTAATAAATTAGCCACAGCAAGCTCAGAAGAATTTATAGCACATTAGAGTTACAGCATTTCTTTCTCAACAGTTTTTCTTTAGCTACAGTAAACATTTGAGAATTCTTTCTTTGGTAGTGGCTTCAAACAGAATCTGTGGAGTCATCGTGGACTTTAAGTAAAACCTCTGATCAATAATTCCTTCCAGCTCTGTCCTCTCAATAAGGAATTGCAGCAACCCTCTAACTCTTAAACCCACTCTCCTCATCTTACAAAGTCTCTTGCTTTTAAAAAAAAAAATCCACATCTCCTCTGGTTGACAAGTAAAATTTATATACTATTGATATTCACCTGACCTGATCTATTAATGCTGAAATCTGAATGCCAAAATATATAATAAAACAGAAGATCCATGTGGAAACCTTTCAGTGTTCATGGACAAGTCCTATGCATCCTAAAATGATGAAAGTTCGTAAGAATACAATGAGATTATAAAAGATGAATGGGGGTAAGGTAATCTTGTTGGGCTCCCCCCTGAATACTTGTCATGGAAGGGATATGAAATGCTGAGTTGAAAAAGCATTTTCAGTTTTAAACCTATGTAAGTCTTCATCTAAGACTCTTCATCTAAGACTTATATAGGTTTAAATGTACTCATTTTGAACTAGGTTCAAGGCAGGTAAAGCCTGCTCTCATGATACTTACAGACACCATAAATATTCAGAATATCTCCTAGAGTTCTATGTGCCAAACTGTCTCTGAATAACCCAAGATATTAAGAGTCATAGCTTCTAAAGTTAGGACCCTGAAATACATACATGGTCTTCAACACGGATCACATACAACCATTTCTTGATCATCCTATAAATAATTGACAAATGACTCAAATTATTAAATTGACCATTTAAAATGCTGATATTATTACCATCAGTTCATCATGTAAGTGCCACAAAGATAGTGTGAGTTCATCCATTGTTGCTTGTTCTATTACCTTATTTGCCAACTTTTATCTACGAATATTAACATATTTGGCTAGGAACGGAGAGGAAATGTTTAGTAAAGACATCAAATTAAGCTCTGGCTTCAGTAAAATGACATACCACTCATCAATAAAATAATTGATACATTGCTCTAATATGGATAAAACAGCATCACTATTTCTTAATAGTTTTCATCTGCACTATGTAATAGAAGAGAATGCTACAGATGGAAAGACCAGGTGTCAGGGATGGTGCTACTTGAGCCATTAGAAGGGATTCTCGAGCTCTCTTTAGCTCTAGTTTATTTCAGACTTAGAACTGAAGAGATCCATTTGAGCCACTGGGTGCAGTTTCTTGACATAAGTAAGAATCTTTCTGGACACTTTCATATATTCCAAACTTGTGAATATCACTACAACCATCATTTCCTAAACTTGAATAACACCAACCATCTCAAAAAAAAGGCTGTTTTGTGGACTAAATAAATACCTCAAAACTTCACTAAAACGCTGATGACAGGTACCTGGGACAACTCACTTATCACCTGAAGTGCTCCCTTCTGCCCCACAGCCTCACTGCCTTGAATCTGTGCTAAGTTGCTAAATATCTTACGAAATACTAAATTACTAAACTTGCGATAAAGTACCGAATATCTTGAACCTTTGAAGGCATTTGGGAATAGTCAGTACTATAAATGTTAAAACTTTGGGTCTCAAAAGTAAACTGCATCGGAATGGGATATTATTAACTGGGAAATGAAGGTTCTTTTCTTCCAAATAAGAAAATATAACAAAATCTAAACAAAGCAGGTAAGAAGCCAGCTGGCTAAGAAAGTTTGGGAAAAGAATGCCTGTAAACATGATTTAAAACTCATAACTTCTCTCAACTTCATGGTTTTTATCTCCATAAGGACATTCAGTATACAGTTTCACAGCCCTGGAGATGCTTAAGTTATGGAGGAGTCGGGGATATGGAATATATCAAAATTTATGTGAAAACAGAACCTAGAAAATCTCCTCAGGTTTTTTTTTTTTTTTTTTCTTTAAGATGCGGTAGAAAACTCTAATAGCTCAGCAATACTGGAGAGAGAAACCACATTTACAAAGGACTAAGGCCACACTGAGAAGAGCTGGAGTGAAGAAAACTAGCTTTCACTTTGTAACTTGTGCATTTGGAACAGGCAAATGCAAATGATTATCAATTCACATAAAATACGAAGTATTTTTATTCAGCAAACGTCTTCATCAAGAAGGCCTTCCTTGTTTCTACCCATTTCATTTTACTGTCCAAGGAAACAAGGTAGTTCTTTGTCTCTTAAGTGCCTCAATATTTGAAAATTAATTATTCCAGATAGCCCTAGGGCAGCATAGACTAGTGCAGGGTTCTTGGACTTTTTTCATCATAAATTCCTCTTACAATTTAAAAACAAATAAATAAATAAAAAGCCCTCTCTGCCCAAAAAATGCATTGTGCACCTACATGCAATTTTGTGTTCACTTTCAGGGGAGTTATACATCTGAGGACTCTATTCCTTCATATACCAACTACTGATCAAATGTCTATTACATGCCAATTACTGTGAAGGTGTGAACAAATCTTTACTGGCCTAGGGAAAAAAAATACTCCTTAGGAAGCAGGGAGAAGCCCTGGGGTCTTGGACCCACCCAACTAATATAAGACTGGATGACCTTCCCAGGCATATTACCCTTATTTCTGTGTCTCAGTTTCTTCACTTGTTAAATGTCACTCACTACTTGCCTTATCTACTTAATGAATTCATTATGTGAAGAAAGATGTAAAAAATGAATTCAAATGTCAAAGGAGTTACCTTAACGTAAGGCAGTGCAACTGATCACACACCAGGATGTACTTACAAATTAGTCTCCATGAAATAATTACGATCATGGTTGAGATTGAAAATGTGGTACTGGCCAAGTGCAATGGCTCACACCTGTAATCCCAGCACCAACTGATCGATATGTATCAGGATGTACTCATAACTTAGTCTCCATGAAATAATTATGATCGTGATTGAGACTGAAAATGTGGTACTGGCTGGGTGCAATGGCTCATGCCTGTAATCCCAGCACCAACTGATCACACATCAGGATGTACTTATAAATTAGTCTCCATGAAATAATTATGATCATGATTGAGATTGAAAATGTGGTACTGGCCAGGCGCAATGGCTGACGCCTGTAATCCCAGCACTTTGGGAGGCCGAGGTGGGTGGATCACGAGGTCACGGGTTCGAAACCAGCCTGACCAACATGGTAAAACCCCATCTCTACTAAAAATACAAAAATTAACCAGGCATGGTGGCGCATGTCTGTAATCCCAGCTACTCAGGAGGTGGAGGCAGGAGAATCACTTGAACCCAGGAGGCAGAGGTTGAAGTGAGCCGAGATCACGCCATTGCACTCCAGCCTGGGCAACAGAGCAAGACTCTATCTCTTTAAAAAAAAAAAAAGAAAGAAAGAAAACGTGGTACTGAGACACAGTGGGTCACCCTATACAGACTTCTTCAACATAACTGCTTACACCGCACCTGTTTCTTTTTAGGTTTTTCTTTCCTCTCTTATTTTATTAAGTGTTATGCTGCACAATCACACGAGAAAAAAAAAATCCATCAGCAAGAGATATACCTTTGCTTAAGTTCCTTGGAGGCCCGGAAGAATGACTGCAGGTTGCTGACATCCACCTGGACAATGGTGACCTCAGCAGTGGGGTGAGAGGCCAGCAGAGCAGCACAGACAGCTTCTGCCTTGCTCATATTCCTGCACGCCAAACACAGATGAAGCTCATCATCTTCCGCCAGCAGCCGCTTGCAGAGGGCCAGGCCAATGCCACTGGGAGGACAATTCAGACACAAGATGTGGGTTATCTGGGATGGCATCAGGTAGAGGCATTTCTCTCTGGTTCAGAAAACTGTGTCAACTTGACCTCCAATGAGAAGCCCAGATAGAAAGAAAAGACTCAACAATTATTTAAGAAGGGAGGAATCCTACACTCCAATAGTCACTTGCTTGAGACACAGCCTAGTTTGTGTTTTTCTCGTTTTGAAAAACTTCAGTGACAAAATAACTGGACTGAAAACAAGAATTGTTCTTTAGTTTTTCTACTACTGGGCTTTATCCTGCCAGTGGTTTTCATTTTGTACTTATTATGCCACTCATGAAAATGATTTAATATATCACCAGTAAGGGCTCAAAAGAGCATCTTATTAGCTGTTTCCTATGTGCATTTTGACTTTGCTCTCTAGGCTCCTCAGGGGCAAGGGCTCTACCACCTATTGGTATCATAAACACCATAAGGAGCACCAGAAATCTCTGATAAAGGAAGAGATGAATCTTTCAGGATGAGGCATCAGTAACATGGCAGGATGTACAAATCCCTCTCAACAACTATGATTAAATAATAGAAAAAGAAAGAACTCAACATGATTAAGTAGAAGGTAGGAATACACTAAATATTAGATGAGTACACCACTTGGAAACAAAGAACTTCAAAACCAGCATTGTAAAACCGCATAGGAGTGGTGACAGCAGTCAGACCAGCCTGGCTGATAGCGATGAAAAGCTGGGTAATAAGTTCTCTTTCAAGACTTAAGTTGATTCCAGGCAAATATGTTAATAGTTAAAACCCAAAAAGAGCCTGGAACCATCAGTAATCTATTAGCACCAACAACAAAGCATCAAAAATATTTATTTGTCCTCACATGAGAACAGTAGGCATTTAATATACAATTGCACATATCACAATGTATGTAAAAGGAACAGACAAAATCAATTCTGACTTACTCAGTACCTTCCACATAAGAAGCACCAATCAACGGTTAAAGTCACTTGAGAGGGTATGCTAAAAAGTTGCCAAATGCAGACACCTACCAAGCTGGCTTAGTTAATATGCATGTGGTTAAATAATTCAAAGTGGATCAATCTTAAATGTTTAACATGTCCTCTGTCTTAATCATTTAAAAATGTCAAATGCAACTAGTAGAAAAATGGTTTGATTGGCTTCATCCTCCACACATTTTTCACAGAAGTGCAAATGACAGGTAAAACAAGCAACAGAAGAGGCTGAGAGACTAAACGAGCAACCCTGGAATTATTATGAGCTGGTTATTCTGCACCCCAACCATGCCTTCATAGGAAAAGATTAATTTTCTCTGGGTTTCTGAAGAGTATGTTAGCTCTCTAGCACTGAGCTAAATGAAACGGGATTGTTTTCTCTCCACCGTCCTAATGTTCATGGGTGTCCAAATTTGTAGGCAAAAGGCTTGTACAGACAAAACACCTGGAGTATAAGACATGATCACGTGGTCAGGAGCAAACTATTGGGCACTGACGATAAATACGAACAGTAGGCAAAGATGGAAAAGGGGCGGAGCCCGCCTGAGTACCCCATTGCCTTGATAACCTCAGGATCATCACTGCGACACTCATCACTTACTGATGCTCTAGTTTTCCTTTTCACTGTCATGTTTAATACAAAGCACCAGTTACTGAGCACCTCAAGAGGCCGACATGCCCCACACCTGCTGCAGACTCCGGGGAACCTAGGCAAAGCCAGGGGCGGGCGCTTCCGGGGTCCGTTCGTGGAGGGTCGCAGACCCCTGCTCTCTCGGACCCCTGATCCGCTGCCGCCTCTGCCAACACAAAGGAGCCTCACCTGCTAGCCCCGGTAATCAAAACCACCTTTCGCATCTTCGCGCACTCACACTTCCAAGCAGTGAAGCAAACGCCGCCGCTGCTTTCGGAAGTCCTACGATTTCGGGCCGCCTCACCCGTCACCAATCAGAGTACGGCCACGCCCCGCCTCCCGTTGCGTCATCGAGTCTGAGCTGATCCCTCCAATCTCAGTCCGCCAACCGTTCCCTGCCCTCGGAGACGGCGTCGGGTGAGATAGGCCGAGGGGCGGAGCTGCGTGACGCAAAGCCCGGAGCCATTCCAGGCTCTTCTCGCTCCGCCTTGGCGCAGGTGTCTGTCACTGCTTCCTAGGGCTCAGCGGACCCCTGATCTTTAATCCTGGTGGGGGCGTCACCCGGCCTAGCACTCAGGACAGGATCTGTGACACGCACTGGGTCTGTGCCCTGGCGCCTGAGATTGGCACTTCATTGCAGGAAGGCCTCACGGTATTTGCACCAGTGCCCATTCTAGAGAAAAGGTTTGGGTCTAGGAGCCAAAGTTGGGCGATTATTATCTAATTTTCCACTCCTTTTTGGATGTACAGATCCAGGCATTGTGCCACTTCACAGCCCAACTTTTGATCCCAGACCTCCTCCTCTAAAGAAACTTATTTGAGAAAATGAGCACTGATTTTATTAAGAACTTTATGTAGAATCAGACCTAAATTACCAGTATTCAAAACTTGGAATGTGGCGTGGAACCAGAATCTCAGAACTTCATTCGCCGAAGTACTGAGAATGTGCTGTAACCTTCTGTATCAGTGCATCTCAAACTGTGCTAAAGGACCTGTTTTTGTCTCCAAGCCATTCCAGATGGGTGCTTTTAGAAAATACAAAAAAAAAAAGTGCTAGAAAAAGAAAAGCAAAAGGCATACAAAACACAAGCCCCGATATTTTATTATTAGATCCAAGACATATAAAAGTACTCTGCCAAAATGAGGCAGAATAGGGTTTGGAGGCAGGGTACTTAAGGCCACTTCGTGCTGACTTCCTAAAGCTCAATCAAGGAAAAACAGCAAGGGCTGGAAGTAGGGAATCTGAGACCAGTTGGTGCTGGCTTCCCAAAGCTGGATCAAAAGGAAAACACCTGGGTCTGGGGGCCGAGAGCCTAGGGCCAATTAACACCAACTTCCTAAAGCTAAACCAGAAGGAAAAACCCCATCTCCCCACTCCCCAGTAGCAAAGGATCAAAGGCTACTCTCCCTACAACCTTCTGTTCCCAGACCAAACTGAGGGTTGGGCTGCTATTTTTCAAGGCCCAATAACGAGATGCAGATGAGCTGGGGAGGAAGAGAGTTTTTATTTCTGTAACCGGTTGCAGGGAGAAGGCCTGGAAATTATCGCCAGACCAACTCAAAATTACAGTTTTTCAGAGCTTATATACCTTCTAAGCGAACTGTCTACGTGTAAGTGTGCATTTATCTAAAGACATAAGTGATTAACTTCTTTTAATCTGTAACTAAGGTCTGAGTCCTGAAAACCTTCCTCTGGAGCCTCAGTAAATTTACTTAACCTAAATGGGTCCAGGTGCTGGGGTGATTATCCTTGTATTCTCTCCTGCTAAGTGGTGGAGGTTTGAGGAGTTCTCTTAGACCCCCCAATAAACTTGTTTGTGGAGGCCTGGGGAGTTTCTTCAGACCACAATAAAACTTGTTTAATCCTAAAGGGGTCCTGTTAAGAATTCTTTCTTTATTTTGTATGCTTTAAGAGGCCCAGGAAAGGCCTAGGCAAAATTCTTAATGGGCTTTTGTTACACCCCAGCCTTTGTATAAGGGCACTGGCTTTCAATATTTAACCACTTAGTCAGTACTGAAACAGTTGTTAGTGAGACGTGGCCTGCCACACTTCCACCGTGTCTCAGATGGAAAGGGAAAGTGCCTTGGATTGGCTGTGGGCCAACCACTAAGCATGGGCCATGCCATCATCTGCATAGGGCACAAATTCACCTCAGCCTTTACTTAGCCATAAACCAAATCCTTCATCCAGATAAGGGGTAGCGCATAGGGACCTCAAAAGAACTATTTAAAACCCAGAAAACTTTGTAACTGGGCCCTTGAGCCACTTGCTCAGGCCCACTCCCACCCTGTGGAGTGCTTTCTCAGTTTAATAAATCCCTGCTTTTGCTTTCGCAGCTTCACCTTTGTTACTTTGTGCATTTTGTCCAACTTTTCGTTCCAAATGGCCAAAAACCTGGATGACTCACACTCAAGGCCCTCCTTCCAGTGACAAAACTGCTATAAAGGTTTCTAATGCTTACTCTAGGTTTCTGTATTTGTAGTAGACTGGTAATGGGACCATCACTAGCCCCAGCTCATGCAGAATAAAACTGTGTATCATACATCAAACGCTACTGAACATACTTTATTTAATGGCCTCTTTCAGTGTTTTAATTATTTATGAACAGCAATGATCCATAAAACACTGAGATAATTTATATTGGCTTTTGATTCTAGAGGTTTTGATTAATGATACCAACTTACTTAGTAATCATTTATCCTATATCAAGAAAATTAGATTGAAAGAACAAATCTGGTTATTAGAACATTAGATTCCTAAATAAAACTTTTTTTTTTTTTTTTTTAGACAGAGTCTTACTCTGTCAGCAGGCTGCAGTGCAGTGGCGCAATCTCGGCTCACTGTAACCTCCGCTTCCCGGGTTCAAGCAATTCTCCTGCCTCAGCCTCCCGAGTAGCTGGGACTAAAGGCACACACCACCACACTCAGCTAATTTTTGTGTGTGTATATATGTGTATATATATATATATATATGTATATTTTTTTTAGTAGAGGTGGGGTTTCATCGTGTTGGCCAGGCTGGTCTTGAACTCCTGACCTCAAGTGATCTGCCTGCCTCAGCCTCCCAAATTGTTGGGATTACAGGCGTGAGCCACCGCGCCCGGCCAATAAAATTTCTATATCATGGGGGTCGAACTCAGCTCCTACGCTTATCCCACTTTCAACTGTTCTAAAGAGACCACAATTTAACAACATTTTCTGAAAGTCATGGAGTAAAATTAAGCCTAATTGTGAGAGTCTAGACCCAAAGACTCATTTTAAAATGTCCTAGAGCTCAGAGGTGATGAGGAATAAGAAGACCAGGTTGTGTGGCTGTCCCATAAAAAAAATCATTTCTATAAAGAAGGGAGAGGGCCTGGGCTGTGGAGGCTCAGCATTACCGCAGTCTCGGGATGACCGCCAGCCTAAGACAGACTGAATTAAGTGAAGTCCAGACAGCTTCAGAGCAAGACCGTCTGTCTCTCCTTTCCCCAAGATTTTCATTCAAGCCAAGTGATGAAACTGCTCTCTTCTTCCTTTTTCTCCACTAAAGTTGCTGCTTTCAAGGTGTTATGACTTTTGAAAGATGGGCTGAACTGCTAGAGGTGCTCAGAGAGACTAGAATAGAGTTCACAATAGATGCCATTTAATTTTATATTTTACAAATATTTTATCACTCATAGGACACAGCTTGATAACCATCATAATATGTTTTTATTGATGAGTGAATGGATAGGTGTGTTTTTTTTAATCATCGTAAGTTTATGTTTTGCATGGGCTCATTCTGTTCTCCTGGAAATCAGAAGAACAATAGGGTACACAATGATCCCATCTATCCCTGCCAAACCTTGGCCTGTGATTTATCTACCATGCCCCGTGCTGAAAAATGTGCTCAGAAAACTCACATATTCTGAGAAGTATTCTCAGAAAACTAAAAGTATAAACTTATTCTCAGAGACCAGGTAAGAAATGGGTTGTTTGGGGTCGTTTCATTCTAATCTCTAGTATAATGACTGAGTCTAAATTCTGGTTTTCATAGTTTTTTTTTGGTTTGTGCATGTGCGGGTAGTCTGAGACAGACTATATTTGGATTTAAAAAGGATTTCTGTGTATCAAACAAGACAAGTCGGTAACCATAACGATAAGGGATCACCAGTTAATTCTAGACTGGATTCCCCAGAACTGGACTAATTAATGTGAGGACGTAAAATCCCAGTGTCTCGTATGTTTGGATATATCAGAGACCAAGATGCTTTCTTCCCAATAAACAGTCAACTCATATGTTAGAGGTCTATTTAAATAATCCTTTGTTGGAAAGCCCCACAAACAGGTGTCCACACCACATACACCCCAGCTCTGGGCCCATGCCCCATCACTTCCCCAGGAATGATGTAAGACTATAAAGAGCAAAGGTTACAAAGCCCAGAACTGGCACTGTTTATACAGAAAGGGAGATCCATCAGTAGCATGACTCTTTAATCATTGTTATTTACAATTTATCATCTGACAGACTTACAGAGAATAAATAAAGAAAAGGAAATATACAATTGGTATCACATTTCTTTTTCTAATACAGAGAAATTTTACATATTCTATTTGGAACGTCTATGATAGTTTTAAGCAGAAATTAAATCCATTTGCCCTTTACCCCTTGACAAGACACATCATCTTCCAAAGCCTGCAGAAGGGGGCCCAGATAT
The DNA here is from genome assembly GCF_000001405.40 of Homo sapiens. Classification (NCBI taxonomy): domain Eukaryota; kingdom Metazoa; phylum Chordata; class Mammalia; order Primates; family Hominidae; genus Homo; species Homo sapiens. The sequence continues at coordinate 38,351,998 of NC_000010.11, read as the reverse complement.
TTCTTCATCACAGGAAGAGTGCACCACATCGCTGCAGAAACTCAGTCCTCAGAAAAAGTTACCAGGCAACAAGGTAGAAGAATAGGATACCATGAATAATAAAGGACATAAAATGGATAGGCTAGATTACAGACTCTTGGCGTGTTTGCAGGAAGCCAGCTTTCAATTGTGTCCAAGCCTGTTTTCAAGAAAACAGTTTTTCACTGAAAGTGATTACCTTATCCCATTGTGCTTCCCTTGAGTCTCTGCAAATTCTTCCTTGACATGTTCATTGTGATTGTGGATGAGCACAGGCTAGCTTGGGACTCAGATTATTTTCCTGCAAGGCACCTGACACTGTTGCATGTTGTTGACAAGGTGTCTGCAGGAGAAACTAGATAGCTTGTTTCAAATAGGCTGGATATGAGGCCAGAGTCTGGTCTCTCCTTTTGATTCGGTGTCCTGTGGAGAACTACCTTTCATTGCTGTCTAAATGCCTCAAAAAATTAAGCAGCTCTATAGATCAATTTCTCCATCAAAAAGTATACAAACAGAGAATGCACTTCACCAGGAACAAGTCTGAGTAATTTTTTCTCTTTCCTCATTTGAAAATAAACTCTCCATGTTACAGCAAAACAATTCTCCCTACGTTCACTCTAGTTAATTGGATGAGAAGTTTTTGTTTCTATCTTATGTTCATTCAAAAAAACAACATTCAGCAAATATTTATTAAGTGCTCACAATGACCTGGAGACTTAATAAGACACACATTGTTATAATCTTGACCCCTTAAATAGGGGACTTAAAAATGTCAATCATAAAACTCAAAACTGTAATCCACAAAACTGGAGTTTCAACTTCTCCCCAGGTTGCCGCTGTGTTTGCAATTAATTTGGTCTAATGTGGTTGTTATTCCATTTAATAACAGCTATTTAGGCAAATAAAACCTCTCTACCACGCTGAAAATAGTATTTTATCAAACATTAGGAGTCTATACCATTGTATTCTGTTCTCTCCACAAGCTATTTCCAGTGCCATTAACTAAGTGCCAACTAACTCTTGACTGAAATACTGGTTTACTCTAAACTCCTTATTTTGTCCCCAGTGCTAATCCTACTCACGTAGAAGCAGCAGGAAGCATCTAGAATATCCTGCTACCTGGTTTTCTAGGCAACAAGCTATGAACAGGTCTTACTGTCTTTTGTGTTGCCTAATCTTTCTAAGTTTGTCTTGGATTGTTTCAGATGCCAAACAGCCAAACAAATCAGAAAGTTTAGAAGCAGTGTAGTCAGGGTATTGCTCATGACAAAGGAACACATTAGTGTGTTAATAGTCTCTCTAAAACTGTAGAACTTTATCCAGATAGTATCTTTCCTGTTATATCCAAGCAAGGCCAGATTACAAATCAGCAAGAATTAAAAGTATCCAGCAACTAAATGAATATGTGTGGAAAACTGGCGACATTGAAAAAAGGTCTGTAGTTTAGTTAATAGCATTATGCCAATGTTAATTTTCTGGTTCCGAAAATGGACTAAGTGAAATGTTGTAAATGGGGAAAACTGGATCTAGGGTAAGGCCACTCTACTATTTTTGTAACATCTTGTGAGCCTTAAGTTCTTTCAAAATAACAAGTTTTTTGTTTTTTTTTTTAAAGGATACAGCAACTCAACAATTCCCCACTGATCTTTGGCACCAAGTAATGTAGCTAATTGTAGCAGAAAACTCAAAATGCCAGAAATCAAATCACCATTAACCACTCCAGTCTCTTTCCTTCTCAATTCAGCTCTTGAAAACATTTACTAAGTGAAAAACACATTAATCTGTTTTTATAAAAATGTTACATTTCTATTTAGAAGGATTTCCCAGCAAAAATAAGGATCTGCATCTTCCTGGAGATGCAGAAACATTAGAGACCTACCATATGCACTGCCAGAGGACAGAAGTCTTACTAAAAAGGAAAGACTAGGATGGCAAATTCCAGGTCTATAAATTCGACTTACGATCAAAGACTTAGTAGCCATGTATTGCAATTTTCTTTTTTTCTTTTTTTTTTTTTTTTTGAGTTTTGGGCAAAACATTCACTGTTCTGTTTCAGCATACTTCCTTGGAACATCTTCATCTCTTTCCATTTTGCGGACACTCCCCTTCTTCTATTCTCCTTTACTCAAAACATATGGTTTAGACCCACATCATGGCTTTCTTGTGGGAAGCCTGGATGGGACTAGAAAAACACTTGTTTCCAACATGGTGCATATCTGTTTGTGAAGATATCAGACAAGATTTAATCTTGTCTAACTTATGCGTATTGTTTTGATGTTTGCCTGTGGTTATTCTGGGCACAGCAATGGTGGGCATTATTGAAAATGAACTTTATTGGCAGATGAAAGATAATAGAACATAAAGATTTATGAACTACCATAAGCTCTGCATCTCTGGGTCTTCATTTCCAAAGCAGCACTTGGAAAACCAAGCCCAGTTCAGGCAAAGAGTTCCTTTCTTCTCACCAGCACTTGAAATGGTCCAGAATATACCTGATGCTCACACCACCTTCCTCACCCACTTCTTCTGAAATGAAAAGGTCATTCCCTGATGGTTGCTATATCTTTTCCAAGAGGAACTTCCCCTTTCTTAAAATTCTGAAAAATTCCTTTCCATTTCATACACTGAACCTGACTTCATTTCTTAATAAATATTTTTATCATCTCTATCATCCAGAATTTCTTCCTTCTCCATCCATATTTATCTTTTACTTCAAGACACTTACTTTCCTATTCCCTTTCAAAACTCCTTCTTGTTTCAAAATGGATTCCCAATGGCTCTAGCTACTCCTGTTTCTACCTTGCTCGACTTGACCTTCCTGTGTCTTTCCTGTGCACTCTCCATTGCCCCTTTTTATGTAGCCTCCTTTCTAGCCCTGACCTTCCTCCCTATTCAGTCATATGCACATTCGCGTATCCTTTTTTTTCACCCCACTTGCGTACAGTCCTCTTCTTTATACAGTCTTATATACTTGCAAGTGATCTTTCCACAACATTAAAACCACATTTTGCTCCTCAGGCAGCTCTTTGCACTCTAGATCTTTTCTGATCATATGTGTCTGGATAGCACATCAAGTTTCAGACCTAGCTATCAGCACATTAGCCAGCAAGAATATAAGTTTAGATCTGACAATCCCAAAACACAATCTGCACATAAAATAATTCACATATCTCATGAAGAAGATAACTTACTGCAAAGGTAATAAGGCCCCACAGTTTCTGATCTTTTTTTTTCTATCTCCTTTTCCAAATAAGTCCTAGCTTCATTCTTCTAATTCAAATTTGAACTACTTTCAAATTCTACATACTAGGCCCCCACCATGTATTCTGTTGGGTTGCATGGATTTGTGCTACTAAACTCTAAAGGCATGACTAAGCTAGAAACTAAACCTGTGTCTGTAATAGTTAGCATTGATATAGCATTCTATGCTTTCAAAATGCTCGTACCATCAATTACTAATTAGCATAACATTTCAGAACCATCCTAAGCTTTCATTATAAAGAAATTCCTTTCTAGCATGGTTCCCTTCATATGAAGAAAGTTATTCCTTCGCCACCTTCTAGGTCCCAACCATGTCAGAACAAAGTTGTTAAACCCTTCTAAATCTCCTGATTTTAAATTCAGTCACTTGCCACATTGCTTAGTCTCTCCCAGAGAAAAACAGTATACTCAGTGTTATAAAAATCAAGGCTCAACCCGAAATCTGGGAAATTTGAAGTGTACTCTATGTAGTGCTTTATACACCCAAAGCTTGCACTGTTTATTCAACTAACATTTATTTATTGCCTACACACATGTCAGGCATCAAGTCTCCATCTTGCCCTCATTGAGGTTAAAGTCTAGAGGTAGAAACACGCATTACAGTGCAGTGATGCTCAGAGAGAGGGAAGCCCTGGAAGGTGAAGGGGAATGGGGAAGGGCAGACGGCTCAGCTTGGAGGGAGGTGGGAGAGGCCTCCTGGGGAAACCTTGATGAGAACTTTGGAATGTCTCTGCTGCCATTTGAGTTCCATATTATTTTTTTTAACCAATCCTATTTCTAGACCAGTGCTATTATTTACTTAATTACACTTAAATCAAATTTAAATCGATACATTCTTAGCTTTGCTCCAAGTATTACTAATCATAAAATAATGTGTTTGATGTGCTAGTTATGTACTACTTTATCCTAATACATAATAAAATAATACATTCAAATAAAACATTCAGCAAGCCGCCAAAAAAATGGTAAAGCAAGGAAGGGACAGGAAGAATTTACTGACTTTTAGGAGCCTCATTCAGTGTGGAGAATAGAACATAGTTAACGTTGGAGTCAGGAAAAACTGTTAGGATGTCATTTGCAGTCATTCCAGAGAAATGATAAAGGCCTAAGTTAGAGCAGTAGAGGGAGGGAGGGAAAAGGAGAACTATTTCCAGAAATGTTAAGACTGCACATGTAGAAGTGCAGACTGATTTGATTTTGAAGGTTGGAGGAGGAGAAGGAAATCAAGGTTAGCTCTAGGTTTCTTTGGGGGGCAAACATAAGGATAGTCAGGTCATTTCCTGAGATAAAACTTAATGGAAGAAGAACATGGAGGGCCAGGTGGGGGTGGTGCATCCATTTCATTTTGGATACATTGATTTTGAGGTATTCCGTGAATATCCAAGAGGAAATGTGAAGTTTGCAGTTGAATATTTGTGCCTGGAACTCAGGAAAAACAATGTGTGGGCCATCTGCATATCGGTGATGAATGAAGCCACAGAAGCAGAAGCAATCAATGCAGCAAGAGTAAAGAAAGTGAAGAGAAGGGAAGAGGAAGAGAAAGAAGAGAAGAAGCCAATGTTTAAGAGAATGATAGTGTATTCAAAATCGGCAAAAGGGACTGAGAAAGCGTGGCCAGAGACAGAAGGGAAATACAGAGTGAAACCAAGGGACTAGACAGTTCCAAGGAAAAGAAAAAAGCAGTACACAGTGTTCAAAGCTGAAGAAATGTCATGTGATACAAGGTCTAACATATTCCCACCGAGTTCCATACCTGGAAGTCCTCTGGGACTTTGACAAGGTAGTTTCAGTGGAGTCAGGGCAGAGCCAGGCTGCCGCAGTTGGAGGACTGCACAGGGGTAGTAACAGTGGTGCATAAACCCGAACATGGAGAAAAGGGCAGGAATTGGGTGGGGAACACCTGCCAGAGGGGATCTAGGATGGATAGTGCCAAGTTCTTTTTCCTTTCCCCTCATTGACTTGAGTGTGTTTATACATTAAGGGGAGAGAGCCATTTAAAAGGCAAAGGGTAAATGTAAAGGTAAGAGAGAAAAAAACTTGACTGAAATTCCTGAGAAGGTGGGACCAGATGTCTCAGGTGGAAGAGTTAGCCTTGGAAGAGAATCAGAGATACCCTCCTTCTGAGGTTGAAGGAAAGGAGATGGAGATGCATGTAGATACGGAAAATGTACTGGGATGGAGCACTGTGATGAGAGTGTCCCAGGCTGATAGCCTCTAGTTTTGTTTGTTTGTTATGTTCAGTAAGTAAGAGTCATGATCTTATGGAGAGGAAAGATGTTGGTTAGGAGACATAGAGTGTGAGTATAGCTGTGAGTATTTGGAATACCTTTTCCTGTGTATGACATAGGAGGAAGTTAGTAGAATTACCAAGCATGAGAAAGGGATGGAAGGAAATGAGCTAAAAAAAATAGATAAAATATAGTATGGGAAGAAGGTGGGCACAGAAATAATAGGTCATGGCCAAGATTCATGCTGAACAGCCTGCTAGAAAGAACAGAAATAGAGCTTTGCATCTTAACTCACACCAGTTCTTGTGACATTGATTTAAAAAGCAGGTGCAATTGGGATGTCCACGGAGTCACAGAAGTAAGGGATCTTACTCACTAATGAGGATAATGAATATTCTCTGTCTGGCTACTCCAGGCAAGGCAGGAACTGCTCTGTCAGAAGACAATATGTCTCTAGCCAGTCATGGTGGCCCACACCTGTAATCCCAGCACTTGGGGAGGCCAAGGTGGGAGGATGGCTTGAGCCCAGGAGTTCGAGACCAGCCTGGGCAACATAACAAGACTATCTCTACAACAAAGAAAAAAAAGAAAAAAAAAGTCTCTAGTACCCTTCAGAACATACACGTGGATGTGTGAACATAGATGTGGAGACGAGGTCTTCTGAAAGCCCTTATGATTCTGGGGATCCCATGATCAGTATTTTTAGCAACTAGCTTTTCTATTTGGGACTGAAAAAAATAGAAAAGCTACTGGCTAAAAATGCTGACCATGGGATCCCTCGGAATTATAAGGGCTTTCTGAAAGATTGCCATTTATTCGTTTATTTATATCTTTATTCCTCTTCAGTACCTTTTTTTTTTTTGAGTTGGACTCTCACTCTGTCACTCAGGCTGGAGTGCAGTGGTGTGATCTCAGCTCACTGCAACTTCCGCCTCCTGAGTTCAAACAGTTCTCCTGCCTCAGCCTCCCAAGTAGCTGGGATTACAGGTGCACACCACCAAGCCCGGCCAATTTTTGTATTTTTAGTAGAGACGCAGTTTTACCATGTTGCTCAGGCTGGTCTCAAACTCCTGACCTCATGATCCGCTTGCCTTGGCCTCCCAAAGAGCTGGGATTACAGGTGTGAGCCACTGCGTATGGCCCTTTTTTTTTTTTTTTTTGAGGCAGGGTCTCACTCTATCGCCTGGCTGGAGTACAGTGGTGGATCATAGCTCACCAATCACAGCTCACTGCAGGGTGGAACTTCTGAGCTCAAATGATCCTCCCACCTCAGCCTCCCAAAGTGTTGGCATTACAAGTGTGAATCACCACACCCAGCCTCTCTTCACTTTTTTTTTTTTTTTAAGACGGAGTCTCGCTCTGTCACCTAGGCTGGAGTGCAGTGGCGCGATCTTGGCTCACTGCAAGCTCTGACCCCCAGGGTTCACGCCATTCTCCTGCCTCAGCCTCCCGAGTAGCTGAGACTATAGGTACCTGCCACCAGGCCCGGCTAATTTTTTGTATTTTTAGTAGAGACGGGGTTTCACCGTGTTAGCCAGGATGGTCTCGATCTCCTGACCTCGTGATCTGCCCGCCTCGGTCTCCCAAAGTGCTGGGATTACAGGCGTGAGCCACCACGCCCGGCCTCTTCACCTCTTAAAGAACATCCTCCCCAAATTCTAGCATCCCTAGAATAGAAATACATAAAGCCACAACCAGATGAAATAGATAAAATTCTGCTTTTCTCCTGTCACAAGGTTGAATATGCATATAATTTCCTTGAAAATGTTATTCCTGCCGAGGTTCTTATGTATTAGGGATAAAAATGAAACCTGTAGCACAAGATTCTATGTTTTAGAGCAAATGTTTAGATTTTATGTGTTTAGATGGGTACGACTATATTATATGTATCAGATGAACCCTTGTGAAAGTTTAAACACATTGAATTGCAGACTTAACTTGGGCAGCTCTTAGAACAGAGACCGAAAACACAGATGGGGAGTCACTGGTGTCACCAGCTGAACAATTCCAATACAAACTGAAGCCAGCAAGAGTTAGTGCACAACCACACAGGCAAACGAACCAGCTGCATTCCCAAAGACGATCTGTAATGTATGATTAAAACCGGGGCTTTTCTTTCATCAGAAAATCACAGATCTAGGTTTGTAATTTAGAAGCAAAAATAAATCCAGTCTGGTCTAGTGGCACTGACAGGTCAAACACAAATAGTACACATGGGTAAATTAAGGCAACAGCTATAGTGGATGTCATTTACTAACAGTTTATTATGAGGTAGGCACCTGCACCAGACACTTTTTATATATTATCTAATTTAATTCTCATAGCTCTCAGGGAGGTTATTATTATCCTCATTTAACTGAAAAAAAAAAAAGAAAGAAAAAAAGGAAAGGCTGGGCATGGTGGCTCACGCCTGTAATCCCAGCACTTTGGGAGGCTGAGGCAGGCGGATCACCTGAGATCAGGAGTTCAACACCAGCCTGGCCAACATGGCGAAGCCCCATCTCTACTAAAAATACAAAAACTAGCCAGGCATGGTGGTGGGCACCTGTAATCCCAGCTACTCAGGAGGCTGAGGCAGAAGAATCGCTTGAAACTGGGAGGTGGAAGTTGCAGTGAGCCAATATCACACCATTGCACTCCAGCCTGGGCAACAAGAGTGAAATTCGTCTCAAACAACAACCACCACCACCACCACTGAGGCTCAGAGAAAGTGCCGGCCTATGGTTACATCACACACAGTAATGACAAGTTTAGAATTTCAGCACAAGGTCGGGGCCACAAAAGTACCTGTTCCTAGTTATTATGCTAATTACGCTGCTAATTATCACTAAAAAGCATAATGTGGCCAAACAAGCATAGGATGAAAAGTTTATGCCTTGCTGCCAAATATTTTGGTGTGCTATAAAGAAAGGTGGAAGACAGAATCCCTTGCAATACATTTTGACGGCAGCATATAGGACAAAGGCAGCAGCCTTCAGGCAATCAAACATGAGCCTCTCAAGTGGCATTCACTTTGAGAAGGTGTGAAATGAAAGCACATATTGGAAAAGCATGCCTGGGTGACCGTCGGGGCACCCTGACTTCCATCTGGGCCATTACCAGAGCAGACCCAATACAAAGCAGCTTCATAAGTCCCCTGTCCAGAGGATTCCACATTCATGATAACCATGAGGACTGTCCTTCACTTGAAATGTTCAGCCTCCTTAACGATGGCAACCTTTCAGACAGTGGAAATGAAAGGTAGAATAATATAAAGTTTACTCTAGGGAAACTACCAAATTATACTTATAAGGCTTACATTAAATTAGCACACACAGGCATACATACTTGTAGAGTTAGGTTTTGGAATAATTATAAAGCAGTAAAACCTAAGTAAAAAAAGCCTCAATAAGCTATCCTCCACTGATTTGGAGTAAGCTGTTCAAAAATCACCTTGTAAAATGCAGAGTTGGAAACTAGGGCAGCTTGCATTAACTTAAAAAATTATGCATGCTCTAAATGACGAGTTAATGGGTGCAGCACACCAACATGGCACATGTATACATATGTAAATAACCTGCACATTGTGCACATGTACCCTAAAACTTAAAGTATAATAAAAAAAAATTACGCATGCTTCTATGCTCAGATTTAGGAATATATTTTCCCTTTCAAAGATTTTGTTAAGCCTAATCCATGAATGTGAAAATAAAAATATGGATTATCAATGATGAATGAGTACAGCTTTCTTAAATTTAAATAAGCAATGGCAAAGATCACATTTAGAATTCAACAGAAAGAATTCAGCAGCTCCCTGTCCTTTTTAAAATAATGTAGCTAAAAGAACACCAGAACTCAACGATTTAAAAATACAGTGTTATTAACAAGAGTGACAGAGATTTAGTCTTATTTCAATTAAGATTTTGACTATAATGAATAAAATTTAGTCATGAGCAAAGGCCAATTAAATGTCTACCATTTGTTCAATGCTTTGTGGGATTGTAACCCAAATGACCTAAAGATGCCCAGCCACGGCTCATTAGGTCCCTGTGGCTATTGGTTATTCACTAATATGGGTAAGGCTCTGTCTAATTGGCTCACTTACTTGCTATATAGTGCTAATGAGGGAAAGTTGGGGTCACTTTTAAACTGGGTGTCTGAGACAGTCACTCAGCAAATGTATGACTTGAGTCACAAGGGGAGCAGATGAGTGGATGCAGAGGGCTGAGCACTGTCACTATGACCAAGAGTTCACCCCAAGAGCATGCTTTGTATTGCCTTTATAAACAAAAAGTAACAGAAAGGAAACAATATGGATAAAAAGATAGGGAAATCTAGAAATTTAATTTTAAAATCTCATGGGGAGAAAATCTGAAGATCTATTTCTCTATCTGATTTGAATGTCCCTCAAGAATCGTTCGTTTAAATGTAATCCCCACTGTGGCAGTATTAAGTGATGGGGTCTTTGGGAAGTGACTGAGTCACGAATGTATTGGTGTCTTGTAGCGGGGGTTGAAAGGAACAAACTTAGATTCTTTTGTGCCCTTCTGTCTTACCCGCCGCGTGAGGACACAGCGTTTGTTCCCTCTGGGGGATGCAGTAACAAGGCGCCATCTTGGAAGCACAGAGCAGCTCTCAGCAGACACTGAACCTGCTGGTGCCTTGATCTTAAACTTCCAGACCCCAGAACTGTGAAAAAATGAGTGCCTGTTCTTTATAAATTGCCCAGTCTCAGTTATTACAGCAGCACAAATGAACTAAGACTATCATCTATCTATATATCTATCTATTAATATCTATCTTTCTATGTATCTGTCATCTATTTCTTTCTTTCTGTGTATCTGCCATCTATCTTCCTATCTTCTTTCTTTTGTCTCCCTCTTCTTTCTCTTTCTTTTTTTCTATCTATCTATCTATCTATCTATCTATCTATCTATCTATCTATCTCTACCTACTATCTTCTATCTATATCTACCTACCTACCTACCTACCTTCTTTCTATCATCTATCTATCTACCTATCATCTATCTATATCTACCTACCTACCTTCTATCTATCTATCTATCTATCTATCTATCTATCTATCTATCTATCTATCATTTATCTATATCTTTCTATGTATCTGACATCTAACTATCTACCTACCTATCTACCTAGCTTCTATCTATGTATCTACTATCTATATGAAGAATCCCAAAAAGGAAAGAAAATTCTTGACACATGAATGCTCTGGCAAAACAAAACAAAACCTTGTAAAAAAAAGTTTTGTTATCAGCTCCTTAAAGTTATCACAAAACATATATAGGTGGCACAGACTAAGCTCTATGTTTAATCACTTATAGGTCTGTGTGCAGGAGAGAAGGGAGGGGGAAGAAAATACATGTTTGATTCTAACAGACTGAAAGCTTGCAACACCAGCTGAGCAGGACTGTGTTAACACCCCAAGCCCACAGTGTGCTGGACCATCAGGAGAAAGAGGCACAGCATGGAGGTCCTCAAGCTCTAGGATGAATTTATTTCTGTGGTTGAGTAATTGGGCTGATCACTGGCAATACGGAGCGATCTACCGTACAACATGGTGATCATAGTTAATAACAACGTACAAGATTATATTCTTGAAAATTGCTAAGGAAGTAGATTTCAAGTGCTCTCACCACAAAAAATAAGTATATGAAATAATGCATTTGTTAATTAGCTCAATGTACCCATCCCACAATGTATACAGATTTCAAAACATGTTGCACATGATAAATATATGTGACTTACTTTTCAGATAAAATCAATTTAAAAGATTTAATTTTTTTTTAAAGACCAAACAGCACCTAGTGACAGAGTTTAGCCCATAAGTGAAACTGGTTATTTGTATGGTCACTCTCTTTTAGCAGATAATGTCAGTAGGAACAATCACCTGAGCCTTTTCATGCCTGTGACGTTTACCACTGCATGTTTGCTATCCCTCTTCTTTTTAGAACCAAGCTCTCATGATTAGCCCCTCTTTTTTCATTTGGGTTGCGATTCATCACGCTGCATAGCTAGGAATATGATTTCTGATATCTTTCTTGTCTACCCCAGGAGACTGTCTCTTCTCCAGTGTATTTCAGGTTTCTGGTTTCATTGTATTGTTTTCCTATAGAAATTGCATATAAAAACCAATTTGAATACCTTCCTTCCTGTTTCAGGTAATAGAGCAGTTTTTGCTTATTTATATTTTTGGATAGGCACACTTCCTATCACTGAATGCTCTAGCCATCAAGGGGGTCTGTAAGACCCCCACATTTCTTAAAAACCAGCACAGCCTGAATTCTCCGAATGTCCATCCACTGAGTATGGTCACTGCACTACAAAGAAGCCCTGTTGCAAGAGGTTTAGTTTAGAATCTACCTCTCTCAGTGTGCTATGAGGAATGGTCATTTTAACTTAATTAACTTATTAAAGTTTAAAGTTTCTAAGTTGAACTTTCTAGTTTATTACTAAATATTTTAAAATAACACTTATTACTCTAAGTCATTGATTCTGAAACATTTAGTCTTCACATTTTAACATCTCTGACATTGCAATGCATCTTACGATTGCTACAGACCAAGTGACAAGTTGTGACAAAGTTGTCACTGCATTATTCCTGGTGGCATGACAGAGCTCTTAAAGGTTCCCAATATTCAGTCAACAAACCATTTAAGGAACCTTTGAGGAAAGAATACAAGATCTGGTTATTGTCTGAATATCTTGCTTTGACATATTCTGGTAAGCTTCAAAAACAAGCTTCTGATTAGAGACAACAGTAATGCATTCTGTTTCTTAAAGCTACATGGCACCGTCGACACTCTCGGTGGTACAGAGACAATGCTGGGTGGAAAGCATGGGCATCAACCACTGTTGCAAAAAGTGATTCAGAAACTTTGGACTCTGTGTAGATGTTTTAGGAATTTCTTGATCACTTTATTTCACTTATCGCTTGGTCTTCTCTACCAAACTCTGAACTCTCTGAAGTTAGGGGAAGGCTCATGTCTTAGTCACCTTCCTCTCTTTAAAGCCCAAGTTGTTGGCACATGACAGGTAGTCAAGAAATAATTGTTGGATTAAATATTAATGAACAATGGAGAAAAAGTAGATGGTAAGATCAACCAGGGTAAAGAGATGAAGGTGAAAGGGAAAATACTATGTGTAAGGCTTAAAAATGGACTGGGTCAGGCATGGTGGCACATGCCTCTAGTCCCAGCTACTGGGGAGGCTGAGGTGGGAGCACCACTTGATCCCAGGAGTTCAAAGCTGCAGTGAGCTATTATAGTGCCAATGTACTACAGCCTGGGTGATGGAGCAAGACATCACCTCTCTCTCTCTCTCTCAAAAAAAAAATTAATTAATTAAAAAAAGGATGAAAAAGAGCTTGTAAATTTGACAAGGGAAATACATAAGGGTATTTCAGGCACAGGGAAAACAATATTTTGAGAAACACAGCCCTGAAAAAGTAGGTTGTATTTGGGAAATCACAATTAGCTTTCAGATACTTCAAAACTCAATTATAGTAAATAATAAGAATGAGATTGAAATGAGATATTTCAGATCCTAAATGGTTTCAAATGCCTTTTTATTATTTTATTTTATTTTTTAAAGAAAATGTGAACTTAACTTCTAGGTCACTGATTCTAAATCTTCTATGACACTTATTTCACTCATCATTTTATCATCCAACCATGAACAAATAAAAGCCTGCTTTTTTTTTCAAAAGGAAATTGATATTTTCTGACTTTATTTTATTTTTAATTGTTGCTAGGCTACAGAGGCATTAAATATTGCAGTCATATTATAGAAAGTACAATGAATTGTTATGGTTTTGGTAGACAAATAATTCTTAATTTTCAATTTAATTGCAACAGTAACTATAACATACAAGAATTAAAAGTACAGTGGTATCCTTGAGGGATATTTTGCTTAGGACTAAAATATACAACCAGAAATAAAAATTGTGTTAGTAATATAAAAATTCAATAATATGACTGGGTTATTACTAGGTTTGGTGAGAAGTAGGATATCAAAGGCATTTGCTGGGAGGCATGAGCAGAGAAAACGGGACTTAAGAGAATTGTTGGCCAGGTGGGGTGGCTCACGCCTGTACTTCCAACACTTTGGGAAGCCAAAGTGGGCAGATCATGAGGTCAGGAGTTCGAGACCAGCCTGGTCAATATGGTGAAACTCCATCTATACTAAAAATACAAAAATTAGCCAGGGCTGGTGGCATGCACCTATAATCCCAGCTACTTGGGAGGCTGAGGCAGAAGAATCACTTAAATCCGGGAGGCAGAGCTTGCAGTGAGCCGAGATGGCACCATTGCACTCCAGCCTGGGTGACAGAGTGAGACTCCGTCTCAAAAAAAAAAAAAAAAAAAAAAAGAATTGTCACGATTACTCCCTGTAAGCCAAGTGGTGGCAGCAAGTGGCACATCCCACAGGAATACGGATTTGAAGAAAGCAGAGAATTTCAATGACAATCTCACATCTCATTTAGCTTGTTTCTGAAGTCTACCGATTAAGATCATGTATCAGACAATGAGAAGCTATTTCACTTACACTCCACTTTCAGCTTTTAGACTTATAAGGGTTGACAAAATGAAAAAACAAAAATGAAAAGCTGTATGAAAGCAATGGAAAGCCTTGATATTTATAAAACAAATTTATTTAAATAAATTTTTATAAAGTAACTTTCTAAAAATACCAAATGACTGAAATCATACCAAGTATATTCTATGAATATATATAATGAAAATAACAAAGGATAAATAGAACAATCTCCAAATGTTTGAAAATTAAGGATTACATTTCTAAATAGGCCACAGTACAGAGTAGACTGCAGTAGAAATCAGAAAACTTTTTGGACAGAAAACTAATTTAGAAATTTATGTCATATTAAAAATAGATGCAGCTAAATATTGTAGCTTTGCTATAGGCATGAAATAAAAGATTCAATATTGCCCATGTCAATTTTCACCAAGTTTATCTACAGAGTCAGTGTAATTCTAATACAATTTCAGTAGTTTTATGATAAGACGGTTCTAAAATTTATTTCAAAACCTGAAGGTCCAAGAATAACTAAGGCAGTTCTAAAAGTGAAAAACAAAGATGAAAGTTCCACCATCTGTGGAACTTTTATAAAGTTCCACATATTATAAAGGCAAGGTAAACAGTATGGCATTGGTCCTGGGATAAATAAGTAGACTAAGAAAATACGGTAAAGAATTCAAAGACAGAACTAAAATACAGTCACCTAATTTTTAACAACGATGCCTCGAACATGCAGTGAAGAAACTTTTTTAAATGAACAACCCTCCGTAAGTATAAAAATGAACCTTTACTGCTACTTCATACCATAAGCAGAAATAAAGTCCAAACTTAACACAGACTTAAATCTGAACAGCAAAATAATATAGTATCTAGAACACAACAAACAGGAAAATCTCCATGACCTTGTGATGATAAATAGTTTTTATACAGGATGCAGTAAGCATCAACAATAAGGGAGTAATTAATAAATCAGATTTCATTAAAACTAAGAATTTCCATTTATGTAAACACATCCTTGGAAGAGTGAAAAGACAAGCCTCAAATGGATGAAGATAAATGAAATACATATATCCAACAAAGGATTCAAATCTAGCCTAATAATCAATAGGAATGGGCCAATTAAAACAACAATAACACTGGGCAAAATACTTGCAGAGGCACCTTCTCCAAGAGAATATGGAAATGGTCAATAAGCATATGAGAAGATGCTCAATATAATTTGCCACCAGAGAAATGAGTATTAAAGATACAACATGATACATATCCACCGGAATGGCTAAAATAAAACAAGGTGCCAAATTTTGCAAGGATGTGGAGCAAACAGAACGTTAACATAGTGTTTGTGAGAGTGTAAATTGGTGCAACCACTTAGAAAACTGATTGGCCATATCTATCGAAATTGAACACATATATAGCCTATTATGTCAGCAATCCCAATCCTAAGTACATACCGAACAGAAATGTATATGTGTAGGCATCTGAAAGACATGTACAAGAATGCTCATAGCAGCATTATATATAATAACCCAAACTAGGAAAAACCCAAACATCTATCAGTAGAACAGATCCATTGTATTATATTCATAAAATGGAATACTATACAATAATGTAAAATAAACCACTGCTGTATCCAACATGTATTGGTCTTATAAACATAAAACTGAGCCAAAGAATCCAGACATAGAATTCTGTGATTCTATTTATATAAAGCTCAAAGAAAGATAAAGGTAATCTATGGTAGAGGTCGAAATAGTGGTTCCCTCTGCGGAGGGCACTGACTGCAAGGGGGACTGAGAAGGCTTTCTGAGATGTCCGCAACGTTCTACATCTTGATCCGTGACGGTTTTATGTGGATGCGTTTACTTTGTGAAATTCATTGAGCTATATATTTAATATTTGTGCCTTTTATTGCATGCATGATATTCCTCAGGCATCCTCACACCTGCGTGCAATTTGGGTGAACACGTAAGGTGATAATAACCATGTGGTGGAAGATCTCTTTGGTAGCTGTGTGGAAGATCAGATGGTGAAAGAGGAAAGGTGACAAAGGCTTAAGCAAAGTATTAAGAGACCTGAAATAAGGCAGGTATGTGAGGAGGAAATGTGGTATCTAGAAGAAAGACAGGGTGGATAGAGTCTATAGACCATGGCTCATTAGATGTGGCATACGAGAGCGTGGAGTTGAGTTTCTAACATGAGTGACTGAGCACATGGAAATTCAGGTATAGAGACAGATGCTGTGTTGGTGCAGGGAGGGAAAGAAAGCATGTGAGCTGAGTCAACATGTTGCATTTGAGATGTTTATATGAGGGATACAGGTGGAGATGGTTAGGAAGTGAAATTAAGAAAACTGATTAATAAAACCCATTTTGAATTTACAGGGACCCTTGTGTAAAATTAAATCCCTCCCTGGGTGCAAGGACTTCATGAGGGCTAGGTTTCAAAAGCACCTCACCTCCAAGCCACAGTTTGAGACCTTGGAGAGATGGTTTATCTTTCCGACTTCTGAGTCAAAGAGAGAGGCAAAGCATGGGGAGCAAAAGGAACAGGAATGACCTGCACACCACCCGTCAGAAGGGCCTTGGTCAGCTGTCTCACTTCTCCAGCCTGCCTGGCCTTTTTCTGGGCCTCCTTACACCTGCACTAAATCTTTATCATTTACTGGGAAGCCCTACTTTTATTCTTTTTCACAATATATTTGATTAGTTTCTATATTCAGTAACTCTTGCAGCTGAAATTGCTCATGGCTTATTTTATATTTACCTATTTTTTTGGTGGGATATTTCTGGAAAAAACTTTCTAGAATTTTGCTAAAAGACTAGAATCCCTCCCTTGCAAAAAGATAACCCTTAAAGCAAGATATTCAATCACAGATTTAAAATAGTCTCATAAAAATTATTTCTAAAATGCACTGTTATCATTTAATATATGTCTACCAAAGGATGAGAGTAGAGAAATACAATAACTGTATTCTAAAGACTTATACATGTTCTACATACAGTATACACATCATGTGCATCCCTAAGAGCCAGAGAGGCCTACCATCACTACCTAGAAAATAGCTATGAGAAATTAGGGTCCTGTTCATTGCTTTACTCCTATGAAGGAAAATCATTTGTTTTCGTGTTTTGATAAGAAGTCTTATTATATTTCAACAGAACCTAAGTTGTAGTAGTATCTGCATATGCTTGGAAATTCAAACACTTCTTTTTCTGTGAGATGCAATTACTATAATGAAATTTTAACCTATAGTTCACAATAGAAATGTAAACCAGGCCTTTATTCGTGCATTTGTCAATCACTATTTGCTGTTTACAGTAGCAAATATTCAGCAACTCCAAAGAAAATCTGTTAGGCTTCCTAATATCCCCAAGCTTTAACTTTTGGTGGAGTTTACAAGCTTTAGCATGAGCTATGGCAAGAAAGAGAGCTGTGGATGTCTCGGGCTCCCTCCTTCTCTTCCTAACACATCAGCATTTTATCCTGCCAGGATAATCAAACCCAAAGAGATGCTAGTAAACTCCATAAGGAAAATCATCTGCAAATACAGGACCCTCGGTTAACCAAAAGTAATCAATTCCTCAGAAAAAAAAAGTGCTCTCTAACAAATTATCAGATAGTGAGAACCCAATTTTACATTTTTAAAAAATAGGAAAAGTAAGAATACATTTCTAAGCCACATTGATTGTATCTGTCAATCCACTGAACTGGGCACTTACAAGTTTTTCAAAGACATTCTGCTGCACCCAAGTAGCACAGCACAGCTTTTCAAACATACGATTATCTCATGTTTTATTTTCCTGTGCATAGAAAACATGTGCATGGTGATAGGTACATGTGCATGGCCAAGCTTACGTCTTTTATGTGGTGATGACTTTCAATATGCTTTATCCCTTCCAATTTTTCTTCTTCAGGAGGAAGGGCCACTGGGGCTCACTTATTTGATTCCTGTTCTGTTCCATTCTTAGAAGGAATTGCCACTTAAAAATGTGGGGAAGATGACAAGCAAAAAATGCACAGTATGTTTAAACAGCACAAACATGAGCTGTAACACCATCAGGTGGAACATGAATGACTCACTGAGGTCAGTGCCCTGTCCTCTTCTAGGGACGTCCGGCAGCTTGAACATTTTCACTGGCTCAAACACGCCTTTTCCTTTTAGAGGCTTACAGTTTGGATAATAAATTCCAGGGAACAATTTTTACAAAACAGTAAAAACTATTTGGATGTGAGAGCTCAATTCGGTTGACATTACAGCAAAATAAAAAAAGTTATTTTGGAATTATTTTCAGTCTTCGTGAGATTGTGAGAAAAACTGCAAAGTGGCTATATAAATGGTGTTCTCCTGTGGAATTGTCTTAAAACTCATGAATCAGGCAATGTTTCATAGACTCCAGGACCTGACTATATTATTTTTTAAATATATAGCGTGAAAAGGATTTTCATTTTGCAGGCAAGTGAAAAGTAGAGATGCAGTGTCTATTCTGACGCGAAGTGGTTCTTCTCTGTAATCACACTGTTGAAGTGTTCAGAAAGGGAAAGATTCTTCTTTCTAGTTAATCATCTTTTATTGACCAGTAGATTATTTTGCTTACACTAATATGCAACTGTTTTTTTAAATCCCAATATATTAATTAGTTCCTCCACTCAAAAACTTTGAGTTATTTTTCAAAGATGTAAATGTACTATGTACTAAGTGAAATGTACTAACTATAAAGAAATTATATATTATTTTAAGTGAAATCAAAGTTATCTTAACAGAACACCCAGTGGTAGAATAGCATATCAACCTTGGTCTTACCCTTTAATTTCAAGGCTTCTAATACCTTTGAATCAGCTGTTACATCACTCACTAGCTTGATCTCAATATTTTGCGAAGTCAGTTGGAGCAACTTTTCAAAAAGACGTTGACCCTGGAAAAAATATTCAGAGACAAAGAAAGTCAGAAAACCTAAATGTTTACCAATTTAGACAGGTAAAAATAATCTCATTAAAATTAATCTATTCATTCAAATGTTAAAAAGTCAAGCATTTCAACAACTGGTATTCAGATTTATGAAATTCTTTCGAAAGAGTTTATATCAATAGAGTAGTAGCATGAACACAGATTGCACTTTTTGGGGGGTACTGTGCAATTGAACAATTATTGCAATAATAATTCCAATGCTACAATGCAAATCTACCCTTTTCTGCTTTTTGAATCTGTTATCTACACATGAAGAGGCAGCAAAGAAGATTAAGCAGTTGTGTTTTGGCCCAAAGAGACTTGGATTCCAGCTGGTTTTCCAATTTAAAAGCTGTTTCTTAATCTCACTAATCTCCAGTTTCTTCCTCTGCAAAATGCAGATAATATTTATATTTACTTCAAAAGGTTTTTGTGAGATTAAAGTTAATAGTAAGTAAGCATTCTTTAAGTATTAGCTATTAAGAGAGAAATTATGGTTACTAATGAGTGATTTACCTGAATTCATGTTGTTTAAATGTATTTTAATGAATTCAACTAATGTTCTGCCTAAAAATAAGTGAAATAAAAAACAAAATCAAAAATAAAAGTTTTTCAGCCAGGCATGGTGGTTCATGCCTCTAATCCCAGAACTTTGGGAGGCTGAGGCAGGTGGATCGCTTGAGGCCAAGAGTCTGAGACCAGTCCAGCCTGGCCAACCTGGTGAAACCCTGTCTCTACTAAAAATAGAAAAATTAGCTGGGCATGGTGGTGTGCACTTTTATTCCCAGCTTCTCAGGAGGCTGAGGCAGGAGAATTGCTTGAACCTGGGAGGCAGAGGTTACAGTGAACCAAGGTTGCACCAGAGCACTCCGGCCTGGGCGACAGAGCAAGAATCCATCTCAACAAACAAATAAATAAAAGTTTTATTTACAGGAGTTTCAAAAGCATATAATTTTTAGAGTAAGTTTTAATCTCAGGTAGACTGAATAACAGTAGGTCCACAGTCATTGCATTATCTCAGGTCATTGGATTGCACCATTATCCTATTTATCATCCTTTGTATGTTTTAATAGACTCCCGTCTGTCTCCTTATCATAAAAGGAAAATGGTCTTCTTGTATTGATTTTTTAGATTTTTTGCTCTTGGGTCACAAACTCAAATGCCTTCAGGAGCTAAACAGAGAATAAGGCTTTGGTCTTAATGGCCCCACAGTGGCAAGGTCTTATCTTGCTCTGGTAAGAATGGACTGTGGGTTTGGTGACTTGGGAAGAGAGAATGGTAGAAATGTGGAGGCAGAGTGGTGATTCCTGCAATTCAGCCTTAGAAAAAAGAGAAGCTGGCTGGGTGCGTAGCCTCACACCTGTAATCCCAGCACTTTGGGAGACTGAGGCAGGCACAACACCTGAGGTCAGGAGTTTGAAACCAGCCTGGTCAACATGGGGAAACCCAGTCTCTACTAAAAATACAAAAATTAGCTGGGCATGGTGGTGGGTGCCTGTAATCCCAGCTACCCTGGAGGCTGAGGCAGGAGAATCACTGGAACCTGGGAGGTGGAGGTTACAGTGAGCTGAGATCACGCCACTGAACTCCAGCCTGGGCGACAGTGAGACTCCATCAAAAAATAAATAAATAAATAAATAAATAAAAGAGAGAGAAAAGAGAGAAAGGAAAGGAAATGGAAAGGGAAAAGGAAAAGGAAAGAGAAAGGGAAAGGGAAAGGGAAAGGGAGAAACTGAAGATCAAGACTCTGAAGCTTTAGGGTGTTAGGAGAAAGAAGCTGCCAGTGCTGAGGTCACAGCTGACAGCAGCAGGAGTATCTGGCACATCCAGCTGTGCTCTAGCCTGGAGCTGGCTGGCATAGCCATTGCTCCATAACCCCTGGGTGTTGGAAAACAGAGTGGAAGTTGCACCATTGCACCTGTGCCATGCATGGAGGCTTCCTTTTAGTTTAAACAAGTGTAGAAATAAAAGTTGCTCAAAGTGGAGCTCATCGAAAGTGATTAAATTTCTCTGTACTCCAAAAGCCTGGAGGAAGCCTCACCACAAACCAGGTATTCTGGTATGGTATGTTGAGTGCATCAGACAGTTATTAACTCCTTATTTAAAAAAGAGGCAGAGGCCGAGCTTATCCTTGTAATCCCATTGCTTTGGGAGGCCAAGGTGGAAGAATCACTTGAGCCCAGGAGTTCGAGACCAGCCTGGGCAATATCAGGAGACCCTGTCTCTACACAAAGTTAAAAAAAAAATAGCCAGGCATGATGGTGCACGCCTGTAGTCCCTGCTACTCAGGAGGATGAGGTTGTGCTTGAGCCTGGGAGTTTGAGGATGCAGTGAGCCATGATTGTGCCACTGCACACCAGCCTGGGCAACACAGCTAGACCCCATCTCCAAAAATTAAAAAAAAAAAAAGAGGCGGGAGGGGACAGGGAGGGTGAGAGAAAGAGACAGAGGCAACCAGAGAGACAGAGAAGGACAGGAAAGAAAAAAATGTGCTGACTTGCAGATTTTAGTGCCTATGTAAATTTTAAATTTACTGTGTAGAGGTAGGAGCTTGGATGGTGACAGGCTCAGGTACAGGATGTGAGGGAGAATCCACGTCAAGGGGCTTTGTGGTTCTTCCACAGACAGAATTGACACCAATAATACCTCCTTTTCAGCTTTGGAACTCCTCCAACTAGTCCATTCTACTCTTACTCCATTGAAGGTTTGGTGATGTGTGCATGGCCCAGATTTCCCGAACCTAAACTCGTGGTCATCACATGTTCATGGAAGTTGTTTGTATTTTTCCCTTTCACACAAACAAACACTTTGTGTGTTCCGTAAGGCCCCACGGTCAGTGGGCCAGTATTTTTTGGCAAATTCATTTTTTTTTTTTTTAGTTAACAGAATATATTTGGCACCGATGAAACATTCAAGAGACCATCTAACTTATCTGTATTTCTGGCTCTGTGACTTAAATTGATTTCCACTGTGTTATTTTTGTGGGACTTAAAGACAGCCAGAACTCTCACACATGATGAAAACAGAAATTCCAAAATCTACAGATACTGGCAGACTGTCATTAAATAAAGCTTATTTTTACTTTTAGTATGTGCTGATTACTTACACCAAGGAATCCCACAATTTTTATAGTGCTCACTGTAATGATCTTAGGCTTGGGTAGAGTTTCCATACTTAGGCTTGAGGTAGAATTTCTATTAACTCGTCTTCAGTGTGTTATCTCCCCATATGATAATTTTCATTAAGACATTCAAAATGTAATCATTTCCAAAGGTATTAAACCCTACTCTATGCAGAGACCTGCAGTAAGGCCTCCTAATGCTTTCTGAGTTACATTTACTCATTTTTTTTAATTTTAATTTTTGAGATGGAGTCTCTATCTGTCGCCCAGACTGGGGTGCAGTGATGTGATCTCGGCTCACTGCAACCTCCGCCTCCTGGGTTCAAGTGATTCTCCTGCCTCAGCTTCCCATGTAGCTGGCACTACAGGCACCTGCCACCACGATCGACTAATTTTTGTATTTTTGGTAGAGATAGGGTTTCACCATGTTGGCCAGGCTGGTCTTGAACTCCTGATTTGAGGTGATCCACCTCCCTCAGCCTCCCAAAGTTCTGGGATTATAGGCATGAGCCACTGTGCCCGGCCTCACTCATCATTTTTTAAATAAGAAATAACAAAAACCCCTTGGCTTTTAAACATCACCAATATAAAATCTTGCCCTTTCTAGTAAAGAACATTAGCCAACATTTCAGACTTAGATAAATTATCTCAAAGACTATCAGCGTCTCAGGAACGCTGACCTACTTTAGACTAATTTGTAAATGAAGTCTGTAAAAACCTCATGATGTACAGTAGAGTCGTATGCAGGAAGCTGTACCCCCAAAATAGAGATCCAGCTCAGCCCCTTTGTGACTTTGAAGAGGATGCTTAATGTAGGAGACCCTTCAATCCTGTAGGGGAGGAAATAAACCTGTTTCTCTACCCTCCTAGGTTCAATGGCTGGGCCCAGGAATCAAACTGATGAAAAACTATCAAGAGAGAACCAACAACATTTTAATTATGTACACACAAAGTTTTAATTACATGCATACAAGGGAATCCAGCAAAGAAACAAGACTCAAGGAGGTTGCCGGATGATTAAGGTTTATATACTATCTTTGGCTAAGCAAAGGAAAATGAGTTTGGGGCTTCCAGGTGGGGAAGGCAAGTTATAAGGTGAGGAGAAGTATGGTAAGTAAGGTTTGTCCTGTTATACAGGTAAGAGCCTTTCAGGTGATGACAGCAGTCTCCAGGAGTCGCTCTCTTCCTGGTACGGAGCCATCATTTTTATGCAGTTAGAGAAAGGTTAAAAAAAAAAAAAAAACTCTTCCTGCACTGCCGGTTCTCAATTCCCCACAGGTCAAAATAATCCATATGCTAAAGGGGTCTATTTTGAGGTGGCATCTTCTGGTACCTTTCAATCCCAAAAGACTGGTGGGTCATAAATACTGCTTGCTTCTGTTGACCCAAAACAACTGGGAGACAGGATGAAATGCCCAAACACAATGTGAAGGAAATAAGCAAAAACACCAAACAGAAACCCAAAGTCATGTTAGAGAAACTTAATTCTGAGGCTTATGTAGACTCTAGTGCTGGCTTTCAAGCTTGTTTTAGCAGTTGAACTCTTAGTGCAAATAAAAAGGTAAGCGAAACCTCTCCAATCCCTTCCTTTCCTCCCGTACAGAATCCGCAGGGCTCCACAGAACACAGATGGAAAAACCACTGAATTTTACTCCACATCATAATGAGAACCTTCAGGATACTGAGATTTCCTACAAACTGAGAAGGCCGTAGCTGGAAGACCACTTAGATCAATAATCAGCCAATCTCTTCATCTTACAAACGAGGACACAGAGGTACAAGAAACTGAGTGACACGCTGATGACCACATGGCTTGCTAGTGGCAGTCAGGCCTAGAACATACATCTCTCTTCCTGATGCAACACAGTTCTCCCTGAATGATCATTTTGTTATGTTAAAGTCTGAAAAGGAAGGGGTATTCTTTAAGAAAGTTACTCCCCAGTCTCTCCCACTCTTTCCATTCCTAGGTACGGTCTAATAGACTCTCCCAAGCCAAGCAGTGCTGGGGCTGAGGGACACTCAATTACCAGCAGACTCAGGTTCTGGGGAGTCCAGAGGCCTGCAGAACAATTCTTAGCCCTATATGAGTGTTCCAGAGTTGCCTGTTCTTCAAAAGGTGGTGCAGGAGCCAAGGCCACCTCCCTAAACCCAAGGCTGGGTATATGAGGGGAGAGGCCTCCTTTGGTTGCCCCAGTGGGGAACTAGTAAACCATTCAATGCTATATCTCTAGTCTTTACCTTCCTTCACCTGAAGGATGGAAGCCACTAATAATCTGATAAAGTTAAATATCAACACATTTAAAGAGAACCAATTACAAGAAGGAAGATGCTTAACACAATGGGGACCTGGTGATACAGGCGATACAGGCTCCTGGAGAAGATGGAAGTTAGAACTAAAACACAACATGTGCACTGAAGGATGGCCAAGTGTGTCTGGTACTAATACTCGATGATTTTAGAACTAACTTAGAAGATTAATTAAAGAACCATATGGCCATTGTTGAAGCCTGGATTAGTGGCCTGAAGATCAAATGCAAGAAATATCTCAAAGTACACATGTGCATGTATACACACACACACACACACACACACACACACACACACATACAGAGAGAGAGAGAGAGAGAAATAAGGGGAATCAGGGGAAAAGGCTGATATATAAATAGAGGAGATACAGCATGTGGCTCATAGGCATACAAAAAAGATTAGGTTTGCAAATAATACCAAAATAAAAAAAAATGATCCAAGTTGAGGGAAGAACTAAATCTATAAGGTGAAAAGGTACCTGAAGGTGAAGGCAAATTTGAAAAAACTTAGAGCTATATTCTGTAAAATTACTTAACATCGAGGAGAAAGAACAACCTCTCGCCAAAAAAATAGTTACCGATCAAGGAAAATGAATTAGATAGACTGGCAGAGATCTAACCAGCTGCAAGTACATGGTTGTATAGCCTATGGAAGACAAAGACTGAGGCCCAAGAATCCTTTACACACTCAAGAATGTTACCTGCCAGGGTGAAAGAAATATTTGCAGATATAAACAGACTTAGAGACTATCTTGCCTACTTAACCCATATGGGGAACATATTCATGTTTAAAGAAAAACTGTAACCAAACAGTAAATAACACTGAACACCATCAAAGAAGATGAGGGGAGAAGAAATAAGTGAGGAACAATACGATATGTACATGTGTTTCATGCACTCAATGTGGGTTTTTGAAATGGAAGTCACACATTACAGGGGAAGGTCTACTGAGAATCAATTACACGCATTCTCAATGGGAGCGATATTGCCCCAAAGGGACTGAAATAGTGTTACTCTTTCGATGACTAACACACAGATATACATAGAACACATATGCAGTATATCTGTGATATTATAATATCATGGGAGGCAGTATTAAGAAAAAATATATTAGAAGGCTCCTCAGGAAGATAATAATAAAAAACAGGTGGAGAAATGCTGATCTATGATCAACAGGATAAACAATCTCAGTAAAAGTTATACTAAAAATGGAGGTAGGCTTTAAGGTATTAGATGGGAAAAAGTGGGTCATTTTTATGAAATGACACAATTTATGGTGCTTTGAGAGCTGTAAACTGAGATGTACCAAAGAGCATGGCAACTAAATATATAAAGCAAAAATTAATAGAAATGCAATTAAGACACTATCACAATGTAATACTTCAAAATATATTTCTCAAAATTGGGCAGATCTAATAGAAAACAAATGAGACTATATAAAAATTATATATTATCCATAAACTTGATTATATGTATACTTTTATATACTTCTCACTCTATATATCAAATCCCCTCAAAACAATTTTTCGTTTGTGGAACATTTACAAAAATCTATCTTGTAACTGCCATTAAGAAGCCTGAACAAAAGTTATAATGAGATATTCTATAGGCTTCATTCTCAGCTCCAATCTAAGAAAGTTAGCAACAAATCATTTACATGTTTTGTTGAGTATAAAACAAATCTTACCTATTTGGAAATTTAAAACTCACTCTTAGATTATCCTTATGCCAAAGAAGAAAAGTAAATGTATGCCTTCTCTAGAAAGCTATGAATAGGTGGGTACCTCATAGCAAAACCATGAAAGGAGGCAATATCTGGTGTGGAAGAGAAATTTATAACCATAAATACCTTCAGTATTATTTTTAAAATACTATAAAATCATATTCATCATATTAACATGGTAGAGGGATAAGAATGTATAAATATAGAAGGGAACTTAATAGATAATCCAGAAATGGTATGCACAAGATTTTTTGTTTGTTTTGTTTTCTTTTTTAATTTTTAAGTTCTGGGATACATGTGCAGAACATGCAGGTTTGTTACATAGGTATACATGTGCCATGGTGGTTTGCTGCACCTATCAACCCATCATCTGGGTTTTAAGGCCCGCATGCATTAGGTATTTGTCCTAATGCTCTCCCTCCCCTTGCCCCCCATCCCCCAGCAGGCCCTGGCATGTGATGTTCCCCTTCCTGTGTCCATGTGTTCTCATTGTTTGAATCCCACTTATGAATGAGAACATGTGGTGTTTTGTTTTCTGTTCCTGTGTTAGTTTGCTGAGAATGATGGCTTCTAGCTTCATCCATGTCCCTGCAAAGGACATGAACTCATTCTTTTTTATGGCTGCATAGTATTCCATGGTGTATATGTGCCATATTTTCTTTATCCAGTCTATCATTGATGGGCATTTGGGTTGGTTCCAAGCCTTTGCTATTGTAAATAGAGGCACAATATTTTTATCAATAAAAAGACGCTATTTTAATTCAGTTCGAAACAGTTAAAAAGGTTTATTCCGGCACGTATGAAGGGACCTCTATATTATATTACAAGTAAAAATGTGTTTCCAGTCAGAATTAGTACACACTAATACTTTCAAAAAGATCCAGGCAATGATGTGTACTGTCTTGGAATGGGGGAACCTTAATCAGGCTGTTAGCAGGCTAAAAAATGGCTCCCCAAAGATAGTGCATCTGAATCTCTGGAGCCTGTCAATATTACCTTATTTGAAAATAGGGTCTTTGCAGACATTATTAAATTAAGGATCTTATGATGAGGGATTATCCTGGATTATCTGAGGATAATCCTAAATACAATCACAAGTGTACTTATAAGAGATGGGCAAAAGGGGATTTGACACAACTAGAGGAGAAGACACTGTGAAGATGGAGCAGGAAGAGATTGGAAGATGCTGGCCTTGAAGGCTGGAAGGTGCAGCAGCAAGCCAAGGAATGCCAGAAGCCACAAGAAGCTGGGAGAGACGAGGAATGCTGGCAGGCTCTGGAGCCACTGGAGGGAGCATCACCCTCTGACACCTTGGTTTTGATCCGGGGAAACTGATTTCGGGCTTCTTACCTCCAGGTCTGTAAGAAAATAAATTTCTGCTTCTTAAACCAAAAAGTCTATGGCAATTTGTTACAGTAGCCACAGGAAATGAATATACAAGCCAGCTATATAAAAGTAATAAAAGAATACAGACATATAGAATTATAACATATTTAAATAAATTATACTGCAAAAGATACTACAAAATTAATAAGAAAATCTGGAATAAATATTTGCTACACAAATGAGAGATGAAGGGATAATAGCTGTACTCTACAAAATGTGTTAAAAATTGGCTAGGTGCAGTGCTTACGCCTATAATCCCAGTGCTTTGGAAGGCCATGTGGGAGGATCACTTGAGGCCAAGAGTTTGAGACCAGCCTGGACAACATAGTGAGGGTCTGTTTCTATCAAACAAAAATAATAAAAGTCCCAAAACCCAGTAAAATGCAGGTAAAGTATGAGAACAGTCAATGATTAAGAAGAGCAAGCCTTGGCCAGGAGTGGTGGCTCACGCCTGTAATCCCAGCATTTTGGGAGGCCGAGGCGGGTGGATCACAAGGTCATGAGATCGAGACCATCCTGGCTAACACGGTGAAACCCCGTCTCTACTAAAAATCCAAAAAATTAGCCAGGTGTGGTGGCGGGCGCCTATAGTCCCAGCTACTCAGGAGGCTGAGGTAGGAGAATGGCGTGAACCCGGGAAGCGGAGGTTGCAGTGAGCTGAGATCGCGCCACTGCACTCCAGCCTGGGGGACAGAGCAAGACTCAGTCTCCAAAAAAAAAAAAGCAAAGAAAAGCAAGCCTCTATGGCCAACAGACATAGGGAGATGCTTTATGTAATCAAGGAAGCTCAAAGCAGCACAATAAAGAGACCTTTCTTTGTACTCAAAGAGACTAAAAAACATTTAAGAGTCTCAACACTTCCTCTCGTCAGAGATTTGGAGATTTGGGGAAATGATACTCTGACATATCGGCTTTGTTCCACCCAGGAATCCTACACCTAGAAATCTAACCCAAAGAAACATAAGCGCCCAATTGCAGAAGAGTTTATCTTGGATATACCATTATCCTACTTACACATACATATATATGTGTGTGTATACGTGCATATAAAGTTTAAATGAAAATTAAAAAGGAAATATAACTGATTGAACATATTAAACATTTGATGCTATAGTCATAAGAAAATAAGATTTAGGATTTAAGTCAAAGTGTTCTTTTGAAGCAATATACTAGCATTGATTTTTTTTCAAATTTATGACCTAAGAGGAAAGATCATATGATATATGAATATATATTCATATTCATATACATATGAATCCCCTTTGGGCTTAATTCATTAGTTTAATCAATTAAATTTGCTATAAGATTGATATTTATTTACTTATATTACTTATATTTATTTACTTACTTACTTATATCTTACTGAATTTTTAGTTTGTAGGATATACAAAGTTTGCCACAGATATAAGTATGAATGTTATTTCTTTGTATATTTGTCAGTGTCAGCCTTTATTCTCAAATGCCCTTGGATAAAGAGAAGTGACTTTTAGGCCAATTCATTCAAAGCATTTATTTACTGGTTGCTTCCTATGTGTCAGCGACCTGAAAGTACTAGTGATATTCAAGGAGAATATGTAGATGACAGATAAGCAAATACAGCCCAATATTCCAAATTCCAGGATGGAGGAAGACAGAGCAAGGGAAAAGCATAGCATGGCATCAATAACCCAGCATAAGGCCTCAGGGAAAGTTCCCCAAAGAAAGGTAGGGAAGAAAGAATGTTCCAGGTGGAGCCTATGGCAGAATCCAGAAAGCAGGCAGGAGACAGGAGAGATAAATGGGGTCACATGATGAAGGGCCTTGTAAGATGCATTGAAGAGTTTGGATCTCATCTGGAAAACAATGTGGACCCTCTGAAGCATTTAACCCAGTGAAGGACACAATCATATTTTTGTTCTAAGAAAAGAACTCGGACTGCAAATTGGAGAATGATAGTTACAGGGGAGAACCGGAGACTGAAAGAGCAATGAGGTTGGTGAAATAGGGAAGTGTCAATTGCAATGAAAAAAAACTGGAAAGAGCTGGATGTGCTGGCTCATGCTTGTAATCACAACCACTTGGTCAGGCCAGGCAGGAGGATCACTTGAGGCTTGGAGCTGGAGACCAGCCTGAGCAATATAACCAGACACATTTCTAAAAATATTTAAAAACATCAGCTGGGCATGGTGGCACAGACCTATAGTTCTAGCTACTTGAGAGGCTGAGGCAGGATTGCTTGAACCCAGGAGGATAAAGCTGAAGGTGAGCTTACGATTGTGCCACTGCTGCCCAGCCTGGGCAACAAAGCAAGACCTTGTTCATATATTCATATATATATGAATATTTAAATATGCATTAATATTTAAAATTATATATAAATTATATATACGTATTGTATACATTTGTATATATACATTTGTATATATACACAAATTATATATATATGAATATATATGAATATTTATAAATTGGAAAGAATCCAGGTACTGTTTATGAGATAACACAGTGATGAACCTGCTGATTAGGCTTGGAGCTTAAGAGAGAGAGGGGAATTGGAGTGGTGGCCAGAATATGCAAATAGCTCTAAGGATGTGCCAGGAGAAATATGGAATTCCTTATCCCAAACCCAGAAGATAGCGGCTGCTTCATCTCTTCACAGATGTCCCAATGGATCAATCAGAGCTTTAGGAGTTCAGTGCCACAGACCCAGCACCTTGATTGACAGTACTCATTTTTTGGCAATGAGCCACAAGGAATATCTGCTTGAAACCAGTGGAGAGTATCTGGCGTGGAGATATGCAGGCTGCCTGTCCATTCATCATAACAGGCTCCATCTCATTAGAGGATTTAATGAATCTGAACAGTTCATCATCAAGGCCTTGCTTAATGATGGTTATCTCGATGATGCACCCCGTGGGCATAAACATAGCCATCCCTGTCAGGGACAGATGAAGAGAGATGAATATGCTCATCATGCCAATCACGGGCCAGGAAATAGCAAGAGATTAATATCAGAAGCAGGAGGTTGGTAACCAGGCTCTCGGCGGCTGGAATCCTACAGTAGCTGAAAATTACCTGTGGGATTGCTCGAGCGTCCACTCTGGCTGCAGAGGGGACAGACAACATTATCTTGGTACTGCCTTTCAGCAGTGTCTGGAAGAGCACAGCTTCCACAGCCTGGTGTCGTTCCTTTGCTCCAGGGGAAAGAGGGGAGACCAAGGCAAGAAAGGAACACCAGAATGTGCCAAATATCCCCAATGCTTCCACAATCACTTATTCCAGGTGGGAAGAGGACCCCACGCAGAACGGACAGAGAATTCCTTCAAAACCTCACTGCACTGAGATTCCAGCATCCCCAGGGAAAAGCCATGAGAACTTGCCACATGCTCCCTAAATATTCCATGGTCTTAACAAGGCAGCTCAGATACCCTATCCTTACATTTTGAGAATTGATCTTGAGCAAATGGACAGTAAGAAAAAAAACGCACAGATATTTACTGCAGCAGCTCATTCAGAAAAAGGGGGAAAAGATAAATGCTTAAATGTCCAATAGAGGGAAATAGTTATATTAACTTAACCTGGTAAGTCTAGTACATTGTATGTTATGCAGCCAATTAAAATATGTTTACCAGTGTTTCTAATAAAATGGAAAGATGCTTACGTTGTAATGTTAAGTTCAAAATTAAGATATAATTCTTTAGGCTGGGCACAGTGGCTCACACCTGTAATCCCAGCACTTTGGGAGGCCGACGCGGAAGGATCACTTAAGGCCGGGAGTTTGAGACCAGCCTGGCCAATACGGTGAAACCTCATCTCTACTGAAAATACAAAAATTAGCCAGGCGTGGTGGTGCACACCTGTAATCTCAGCTACTTGGCAGGCTGAAGCAAGAGAATTGCTTGCACCCGGGAGATGGAGGTTGCAGTGAGCTGAGATCATGCCACTGCACTCCAGCCTGGGTGATAGAGTGAGACCCTGTCTCAAAAACAAACAAACAAACAAACAAAAGATATAATTCTTTTTATATAATATGAGCCTATGTATACAAATTATGCATGAAATATCAAACTGTCAAAAACTTTTTTTGTTGGTGGCCATTTGGAGGATTTGGTTTCTCTCTCATTTCTCCATAGTTTCCAAATTTTTGATCGTGAGAGGTTATTACTAATGACAAAGGAAAAAATCTGACCTATTCTATTTGAGTGAAAGTACCAAAAAAAATGGTCATAGAAAAATAGGAAAAACACAAATGAAGATACAGAGAAAAAATAAACAAGCATACAAGCAAACAAACTCAGATAAGACAATCTTAAAGAAAGTAATTAATACGAACAATTAGAAGGAATATCTTAGGTTCATGATTTATTCATGGCCATATGATTGGATTTAAAAGGAATCATAGAGGTTAAACTCTTACTAATGATAATGCTTATGAGTTTATATTAGAATAATGATTTCCCATAGAAATATGTTGGAAAGCAAGCAAGAACATAATCAGGATTACTCAACAGATGGGGAAATGGCAGCATGAAGCAGCAGCAGGAACACACCAAGAAAAAATAGGACCAACATCCACCGTGTGAGCTCTGCTGCACAGTTCAAAAGCAGAGGTAATCCCACATGAGCCAATTTGCTGAGAGCACCCCTCATTGTTGTTCTACTATGCTGTATCATTATAAATGGTTTTATGTTTGTCTGTCTCCCTCACCACACTTAGATGTTACTTTGAAATAAAGGGGCACTCTTTCCGTGAGGTTATGCTGTCTTTATGCTGACACTGCACCAGGAGTTCTACTGATATCATATGCAGCCTGGAGATGAAAAGGCTGAAGATAATCTACTGTTTCAAACCAAAAAGCAATCACTGAGCTCCATTTTGTTACTGGTGGTACGCTGGACAATAACACCAGCAGGATAAATACGACATGGGTCCTAGAGTCCAGGGCTATGTGGAATATTCAAGTACAAGCTGCTACTCATTTACATCACTACTGAGGGAACAATTTCAATCACAGGATTAATTTGAAACACACAGTTATGTTGACAAACCGGGGTAGGGACCAACCTGGCCCGATCTTGGAACCTATGAAAGTTGAACAATGTTTATTAGACCAGGATGGTTTAAAACAGTGATTCTCAAACCTGGGTGCCCAGTAAAATCCCCTCATCGTTTTTAGAAGTATTGAAGCCTGGGCTCCTCTCCAAATATTATGACCTAACTAGTCTAGGATGGGCTTGGGCATAAGCATATTTTAAAATCTCCCCACGTGACTCTGACTGGCAGCCACAGTTGAAAACCACCATATTGGGAGAGAAAAGTGGGAGTCTACCTGAAAAATATGTGTATTTTTCTGTCTCTCGTTTTTTTTTTTTTTCGAGACCGAGTCTTGCCGTGTCACCAGGCTGTAGAGCAGTGGCACAATCTCGGCTCACTGCAACCTCTGCCTCCCGGGTTCAAGCGATTCCCCTGCCTCAGCCTCCCAAGTACCTCGGACTACAGGCGCCTGCCACTGCACCCGGCTAATTTTTTGTATTTTAGTAGAAATGGGGTTTAACCATGTTGGCCAGGATGGTCTTGACCTACTGACCTCGTGACCCACCTGCCTCAGCCTCCCAAAGTGCTGGGATTACAGGCGTTAGCCACCACGCCCGGCATCTCCTTTCTTCACCTAAACCCTAGAGAGCAATTTGAATTGTATTCTGTGTAGAATTTTCTATCTTAACTTCTTTTCATATAAGTTGAAATCTTGACAGACAGCTGAATATTATTCTTGTTGTAAGATTACATAGAGAGTTGTGTCCACTAAATTTGAAAGTAAATGTCCTGCATCAAAACAACAAAAATGAAAACCACAGCTATCTTTTATAAGCTCCATTCTTTATTGTTTTACAAATATTATCTAATTGAATTCACCAAGCAATCAAATGAGATAGGCATTATTATTAAAATACCCATTTTATAGAGGGGTATAAATTTATAAATCAGAATTAATTTTAATTAATAAATGGGAACACTGAAGATCAGATGAGTTGTGACATTTGTTCAATGTGACCACAACTACTAAACTATTAGTCAATCAAATGTATAAATGACAAAGCCTATGATCTTTCCCCTGTAGTACATGGATCTGGAATAACACTGCAAATTTGCCTTTTCTATAAAACCAAGCGCTGAGAACTAAATATAAACAAAATACACAATTCTCACCTGAGCCAAATAACAACAGAGAATTTGTATGTATCCTAATTATGCTTTCATTAATTTATACATGTTTTATTTTTCCCTATGTCCTCATTAAAAATAGACAAACTAGATGGTAGGAAGTTTGCATAATATAGTAGAAATATGTATAAGCCCTCAGGATCTACATCAAAACAAAAATGAAATGTGTGTTTTTATGTTGCATCAGAATATCCTGCTTTCCCTGACTGCTTTACCCAACCTGCCACTTACAATAGGCTCAAAGAATTTCAATTATTTAAAGGATCCAGTCTCTACCAACTATGCCAATTTTTTCCAGGCAAAATGAAAACTAGGAAATGCTATGATGTTATTTTCTTGGGTTAAAAAAATTGTTAAGAAATTTTAATTAAATAGTCCATGTTCGGGCCACATGAGTATTAGATAGTTGCATCAGACTTTTATATGGGAGTGACATTGTCAAAAACAGGATTCTTCTGGGTTTCAGGCATAGCCCTGTGTTACCAAGTAGATGCTGACTGTTTGCATGATAAATGAATAAACAGTCTCCTTCAGAAGACTTGAAGAGGGAATGGAGACTTGCCTAGGACTGTAGGGATGGGCAAGAAAGGACAAGTAGGCTTAGAGAGCCAGGGAAGATGGAGAATGGAAAAGATGGCGGAGCCTGGGAACAAGAGGTGCTGGAGGCAGGGGGCCATAGAGGACTCCACCAGGCTGCGGACTTCCTTAGGACAGGTAAGAGGTATTATGGGCCAAAACATGCAGTGGTTATAATAGAAAATGTTAATAATATCATTTACAAATGAATCATAAGGATGGCTATGAAACAAACATGGCAAGGAAACGTTTTATAAGTTTGATGTAACAAAAGCCCTTGTCTGTTGGTTAAACTGCATTGATCGGATCAGTTAGGAAGAATATTGCAGAAAAGGAATGAGTGGGCTACCAGGTAGCGCCTGGAGACCTGAGTCACACATGGATACAGCTGCCTGAATCACAATGGCAGGGTCACATGAATGTTGCCAGGTCATATGGGTCTTCAATATAGAACAAAACGTCAATCAACAAAAATTAGGAGGGACTGTAGGTTCAAGAAGACAACATAATTTACTGTGTTTTCAAAATTCAAGATATTATTTGTCCAGAGGGAGATACACACACACACGTGTGCAAATATAGACTGTGGTTGTATTTTCCATTAAATGATAGTGTCCTAAGATCAAATATTTCACAATCTTACCAGATAACTTTGCTAGATAGTGTTTGGTCATAAATTTCAGGACAAATGGAGAGGTAAAAAAAGGTATTCTTAAGCTTGTAGAATTCTTGAGAATGGGGCTGTTTTGGATGGTGAGGGGGTGAACAGTCCTTCCGGATCTTTTCCAAAGCTGAAGTGCCCCCTGCTTCTCCAAAGATAGAGCAGCTGCTTCTCAATGGGTGTGTCAACCAATAACTGCTTGAGTAGATGAGTGAGAGTAAGACTGTGTGTGTGTGTGTGCGTGCACACACACTTGAAGATTTATAATTAATAAATCAAATGAAAGTAAGAATTCCACATACAATGATAATTTGCCTAATACTTCTTATCTACCCAGAGTCTCACATTTGCAGAAACTATAATCCCCTTCTAATTTTACACAGTAACCATCCCAATTTCTAGCACAGTGTAAGAGCCATAATAAGAACTTGCTAACAGAATAAACTTGAACCAGAGGTACAGTGTGTACACAAATAAGTGAATGTGAATAACAATATTCACGATCATAACAAACCCTTATATAGGCACTAAAATGGTCAAACACTGTTCTATACTCTTCACAGGTGTTAACTGATTTAATCTGCACAACAACCTATGAGGCAGGTTCTGTTATCGCCCTGATTTTGCTGTTGAGGAAACTGAGGCATACAGAGTTCATCCTCTTGCCCGAGGTTGCACAGCTAATAAGTAGGTCAAAAAACAAAACAAAACAAAAACCTCAGCTCCACTCCTGACTTGAGGAAATTGAGGCATAGAGAGTTCATCCTCTTGCCCGAGGTTGCACAGCTAATAAGTAGGTCAAAAAACAAAACAAAACAAAAAAACCTCAGCTCCACTCCCGGCTCATTTCTGCAGTCTTGCTAAGATCTGCTAACCACTGTGTAGAGGTAGGATCCAGGCTCGTACTTCCCAAAAACAACCTCCTGGATCACCGAGCTCTTATGCTTGCTATTTCAAAAATACTGTTTGATTTTAAAAAATCATAATTTCTCGAAATCAAACAATTCTGATGTATCATCAGTTGGCAATCACAGCTCACTGGTAGCTCAGTATCTAATTGATTTCACATAAATACATCTCCTTAAGATTCCATTGTTGCAGCTCATTATTTTATAGTTTCCTCACAGTGAATTCATAGAGTGTGAGATTTTTTTTTTTTAACCCAGTGAATTAGGTAGCTCTACTAATGAGCCTCTGTCAGTTATATTTCCTGACTGTTTCTGAACAGGCTTGATTTCATAAATTCCCATCATTTTGTCTCATAAATTAGCAATCAAGATGTCCCAGGAATTTCAACATTTTAGGGTGGCAACTCATCATCCAGACAGAAAGAAAAACCTTTTGTCTGACCATGTATTTTCATAAAATTCTAACATACAGTTATCATGAAACTCTAGACCTCAGCAGCCCTTAGCAGGCTGTGATACAGAGTAAGGGCACCATCCAGTTTCCTTTAGCACAGAAGGAAACAAACACAAACAGATTAACACCAGGAAAGAGACAAGAAAAACAAAGTGGGTTTTTCAGGGTGGAAACCCAAACAGCAACCTTTTGGAGGTACAGATTAAAAACACATTTTAAATCAACATGTCTGTTTCCATGCAAATGAAAAATAAAAAAGCACACATTCATCATTCCTGTTAGTAACAACCATCACACTCACTCTTACAAAATTGTTACTCTTCCAGAGACCAGACCAATAAAATGTGTGCAAAATAAAAAAGCGCATATTCATCATTCCTGTTAGTAGCAACCATCGCACTCACTCTAACAAAATTGCTACTCTTCCAGAGACCAGACCAATAAAATGTGTGCATCTGCTGCTGAGCTGTTCTGCCTACCATTGGCTACGTGGTTTCTTGGTATATTTTCTTATTGCTACATTATAAAAAACATCAGGGCTGCTTTTTGGTTATAGTCCCTCTTTATGTATGTGCCATCTACGGTTCCATTTAGGACTTTTCCGGCTCTGTTGGTTTAAAATTAAATGTCACATTTGACTGTTGTCCCCCAACTAAAAAAATATTATCTTTAAAAAAATTAATGAAAAAGAAGCTGTGAACCTGACACATTTTTTTTATCACACGTATTTGTGAAGGATAGTGTTTGGCACCGAAATATTTTAAAGAAAATTTAAATTTGGCTCACTTGAGTAATCAGGGTGTGAACTATTTTTTCCTAGCATATTTTTGCACGCAATAAACCAATGAGAGACTATCTGCCAATATTTATAGGGTCTTGGTAAAGATAAAAGGGCACACACAAGTCCAAAGACTGCCTGCCCAAAGTTTGAAAGGTTGGGTAGTCTTGAATTTCCTTTTCCATTTGAAAGATAAAATCAGGTAAAAATTTAAATCAAAGTAGCTTTCAGTTAGTGCCTTTTTATAGGCAGTGAAGTTTTAGGGTAAAACTTGGTGATTTTATCTGCAAAGAACAGGATATAGGGGTCCTTGAACTGCACCCAAAAAGAAGGAGTTGGCAGCAAGTACCTGTTTCCTTTCTCCATTCTTCATCACTTCACAATTATTCCCCTACCTGCCCAGTGAGAGGGGGAAAGGAGGGGAATAGACTCTAAAAATAATCTTTTTCTTTTTCCTTTTTTTTTTTTTTTTTTAATAGATACACAGAGTCTCACTCTGTCCCCCAGGCTGGAGTGCAGTGGCTCAATCTCAGCTCACTGCAGCCTCCGCCTCCCAGGTTCCAGCAATTCTTCTGTTTTAGCCTCCTGGGTAGCTGGGATTACAGGCATGCGCCACCACGCCCAGCTAATTTTTGTATTTTTAGTACAGATGGGGTTTCACCACGTTTGCCAGGCTGGTTTCAAACTCCTGATCTCAGGTGATCTGCCCACCTCGGCCTCCCAAAGTGCTGGTATTACAGGCCACCACGCCCAGCTCTCTAAAATTAATCTTTAAGTGCCCAAGAAATGCGGTCTTCAGATAAGTTCCCCAGGACCTTTTAATGCTAACCTGTTGTGCATACCTCTGTAGGGGTTGAGAGAGGGGAATCGGGGCAAGGTGAGAGGGAGCCACTCAGGCAACAAAACACCCTAAATTCTGCATGCTTGCTCTTTAAGACCATGGTCCATGCCTGGCTTTTGGCCAGTGGAGACCAAAGGCTTGGGATTCTGCAGAAACAGTCACTTGGCCACCAACAAACTAGAAGAAGAGGAGAAATTCCACTACCTTGTTGAAGTGAGAACCCTCTGAACATCATTGCTTCC
Organism: Homo sapiens; assembly: GCF_000001405.40. Lineage (NCBI taxonomy): Eukaryota > Metazoa > Chordata > Mammalia > Primates > Hominidae > Homo > Homo sapiens. The sequence goes on along the minus strand of NC_000010.11, from coordinate 38,313,813 downwards.
CCACAGGACATGGCCAGGGACAGACAGGTATGGGGAGAACTGCAAGATCAGCCTCACAGCACCTTTAATCCATTTAATTCCCAAAGCAGATAAAGCCCCTCTATCCTTCATGTTTGCAAAGGCAGATCTCCCCCTTGTAAAGAGGCAAAGCAAAATTAGGCTCAAAACTACAGAAAACCAACTGGTTTTACATTGTACAGAAGTCTGTTGCTATTAGGGAGATGAGAGGCAGCTAAGAGGTGTCTCTTTGGAAGGAGCAGTATGACTCTACCAGAATACATTATTCTAAACTAGGTCTCTTCCTAAAAGCTTGCCTGTGAGTTCAACGATAGTTAGGTCATAGGCAGTAAGTTGAAAAATTCCATTTGTTGGCAGCGGGCCAGTTGTTAGAGAGTGACTTGAACTAAGCTTCTAAGTGTTATCATCTTTCTACATCAATAACATCTAGCATCTACCTTTCTACATCAATAACGTCTACCTAAAGTCATATGGGAGACCGTGGTGGGTGGATGACTTGAGGTCAGTTCAAGACCAGCCTGGCCAACATGGTGAAACCCCATCCCTACTAAAAATACAAAAATTAGCTTGGTGTGGTGGCAGGTGCCTGCAATCCCAGCTACTCAGGAGGCTGTGGCAGGAGAATCGCTTGAACCCGGGAAGTAGAGGTTGCAGTGAGCCAAGATCATACCACCACACTTTAGCCTCAGCAACAGAGCAAAACTCTGTCTCAAAAAAATTAATAAGTAAATAAATAAAGCCATGTGGGATTGGGTCATGGTGGAGGCTAGCCTCTACTCCTATCATTCAAGGCTGGAAGAAGAGTAGGAAATTTCCTTTGAAGCCTTGAGAAAGGGCCATCTGTATTATGCAATGGCAGAGTGCTTGCAATAGTACCACCTGCTATAAAATAGAACATGGAAAATACAACTAATGAACTTGTGAAGCTGGCTGAAATTCTTCAGGCAGATTACAAGTTTTTGAAGTACTTCTATAGTAACTATAGAAGTAAACTACAGTTTACAATAATCTATTCTCCATTTCAAAATAAGTAGAAGGGGGTCGGGCACAGGGGCTCACACCTATAATCCCAACACTTTGGGAGGCCAAGGCGGGTGGATCACTTGAGGTCAGGAATTCGAGAACAGCCTGGCCAGCATGGTGAAACCTCCTCTCTACTAAAAATATGAAAACGTAGCTGAGCATGGTGGTGTGAACCTGTAATCCCAGCTACTCGGGAGGCTGAGACAGGAGAATTTCTTGAACCCAGGAAGTGGAGGTTGCAGAGAGCCGAGGTCGCACCGCTACACTCCAACCTGGGCAACACAGCGAGTCTCTGTCTCCAAAAATAAAATAAAATAAAATAAAATAAAAATATAAGTAGAAGGGAAGAATTTGAATGGTTCTAGCCTAAAGAAAAGACAAATTTTTGGCTTGCACGTTTCCAAATCAAGAGAAGCCCACATGAGAATCCTCACTCAGATCCAGACCTGATGCAAATAAAGAGACTCTGGATTTTGAGCTGAAGGAGTGAAGGATGTGCCATCTCAAAATATGTCAGGTTGGTATATTGGTGATTATTTCAAGTGGAAAACACTGGGAAAATTGTAGTTCAGTAAGGGATCGCTGACCTGTCTCTTCCTGTGGGCAGCAAACCATAAAGATTCTTCTGAGAAGCACACCCTCCCTGTACCAGGGTGAGAAAATAGCCCTTATCACCAGAGACGGGAAACTGGGGGCTGCCATGGACCTGAATAAATACACTTAATGAAGTAACCCTATCTCCCACTGGTTTTATACCCCTTCTATATCTCCTAGTGATTCCCCTAGAAATTGACTGCCCCCACACACATCCCCTTTGTCCTGTCATTTCTCCTCAAATTTATCGTTCTTTGTCTAAAAAGTATAAAAACATCTTACTTTGGCCACTTCTTTGGACTTCACTCTCTTGTGAAGATCCACATGTACGAGTAAAACTAATAAAATCTGTAGACTTTTCTCCTGCTAATCTGCCTGGTGTCAATTTCATTTCTAGATCTAGCCAAAGAGCCCACGTAAGAGCAAAAGGGGTATTGGAGGTGATCTCTGGCTTCCCTCCAGAGCCCTTGATGTAGTAGAATTCCCACTTTGAGGAATAAGGTGAATGTGTTTTGCATGTAAAAGAGAGATATGAATTGCTACAGCCAGAGAATGGGCTGTGGTATGTTATTTCCAAAGATGGCCACCAATAATCCTCATTCCTGTACTTGGATGTTGCTCCTCCCTTCCTGGACTTGAGACGTGCTTCTACCAATGGAATAGATTGGGAGCAACATGCTAGGATTCCAGAGCTCTTTGCCTTTTGAGGATCCAACCACCATGTAAAGAGCTCAAGATGATTTACTGAATCATGACAGAACATGCAGAGAGACTCAGCCATCCCAGATGTTCCAGTCACCCCAGCTGAGATACCAGATATGTGAGGAAAGCCATCCAGGATTCTCCATCCCCAGGCAACCCACCCCAGCCAATACCATATGGATCAGAGATAAGTCCTCTCTGCCAAACCCTGCCCAGAATCATGAACAAATAGATACTATTTCTTTAAACCACTATATTTTAGGAGACATTATGGAACAGTAAATCCTGAAACACTTACTTAAACTTTAGTAGAGATGGAAAAGTGTAGAACACAGTTAGTAAACTCATTCCATTCTTCTTTAGTTATGGCCTTCGTGTTTTTTGTTTTTATTTTCCAGTAACTTTTGACTTTAAAATAGTATAATTGAATAGATTCAATAGCTTTCAAAGTACCAATGAGATCATGATTATAAGCTTAATACCACTACATTTTGCATAAAAGGAGACAAAACTTATTTTGCCCTTGACTTACATATGATATTTAAGTGTAGGCCAATGGCTATATATTTAGATAGGGTAGCTTAATGTAAACTATCATGGTTGTACCAATATAAAGAAAAACACACTAAAATCACCAGCACCATTTTCTTACACCCAGAGCATTTTATTCAGAAATTGTTTAGATCATTAAGTCAGTTTTCTAAAGGTAGTTCTCTGAGCCTTACTTTTAAAAGAGATAAGCATATTTCTTTTTCCCATTCATCCAAATACGACAGTCGAGAAAAACAACTATCCTGGGAAATTTCACTCTATTAAAAAAATGTGGCTGTGGGTGAATTATAACTTGAAAGGTGAATTATAACACAAACTAACCAAATAAATGCCTCAGCAAGCAGTTACAGAATTAGAACTGTAAACATGCAAGTTAGGCGAAGCAGAATTCTGGACCATGCCATTGACAGAGATTATCATGTAAATAGCACGCCCTGAAGTTGTACAACATGGCAATTCTGTATAAAGAGCCGACTGTAGGCAAAGATGAAACATAATTTTGTCCTTGCAAACCTGGCATTCTAGTAGGAGCTGAGTGACATATGATTAACAACGACACATCTACATAAATGTAATAATGTACATGTACTCTGGGTGCGCATAGACTAAAATAGATGAGCTTGAGTTTGAGGAGTGGAGGAGCAGAATACTAAGGAGTGGAAAATGCACATAAGTAAAATCATCACACACACAGAGGATGTAGCTTACCTGACATGCTGACGGATGAGTGTGGTTGAGATCCCAATGGGAAGACACTATGTCAACAGACTTTTTGGCCATGTTGAGTAAATTCATCCAGCCTTGGAAAAGTGATAAGTGAAATGGTGCATTTTCTGAATAGTTAAGGCCTTCAGGAATATTTTCCACCAGGGCAATTCTTAGAAAAGATTTTGAAAAACAGACAAACAAAATCTAGTCAAATTAGAAGCCACAGATCTTTATATATGCATACAGCAGACATCTAAAAAATATTCTTTACTCATTCTGAATGCATTCTCTCCTCATAATTTACATTTTTTTCCACAAAAGTCTTCTTACACTTAACCTCTACTAACCTACTGTGTTCTGAGAGTTTATGCTCTATTTTTCCATAGTTAGCACTCATATTTCAGAAAATAACAGAGTATCTCTCTAATGTCCAGTTTCAATCTAGCCTGGAAAAAAAATTGTGAGCTTCCTACACAAGTACCTTCTTCTAGTAATATATTCCTTTATTTTTCCCTGGAAGCAATTCAATTCCTATATAAGATACTACTTTGCAAGCTATTTGAGACTATAAATTGAGTTTTGCCTATCTCCAGTTTCTAAAACAATGTGGGGCATACATTGGAACTCAATAAATGCAGTAATTATTGCTGAGCATCTACTGATGCTTCCTAGCCTATGGTGTAAAGTGACACTGAGAAGAAAATTATAAAACCTGATTGTTGCAGGGCTTTATTAATATTAGAGCTAAGAAAAGGATAAAATTATAGTAATAATCAAGCCCTAAATAAACTGCAATTGTCAATATTCTAATAAGTTTGTTTTCTTTTTATACTTTTTATTATATTGACAATATATCTGTTGTATTGTCATACCTTTCCTTGGCTGCCTTTTTTCACTTCTGAGTTAGGTGACAGATAACTTCTGAACAAAGGAATGAGCTATTTTTTCCAGATTTATTAAGCTTTATTTATTAATGTATATTCTCCTGCAATTCTTTTTTTGAGATGGAGTCTCGCTCTGTTGCCCAGGCTGGAGTGCAGTGGTGCGATCTTGGCTCACTGCAACCTCCGCCTCCCAGGTTCAAGCAGTTCTCCTGCCTCAGCCTCTCGAGTAGCTGAGATTACAGGCACCTGCCACCATGCCTGGCTAACTTTTTTTTGTGTTTTTCATAGAGACGGGGTTTCACCATGTTGGACAGGCTGGTCTCGAACTCCTGACCTCCCATGATCCTTCCCCCCAGCCTTGGCCTCCCAAAGTGCTAGGATTATAGGCATGAGCCACTGCACCCAGCCTCCTGCAATTCTTGATGGAAAACCTCAAGTCCTTATGAAAATACCTGCTAGGTACTTCCAGAACACCGATTTGCATAGTTGTATGCACAGAGCCAGAGACATAATTAGGGCTCACGAAATACTTATAGAATAAATTTCAGCTTTCAACAAAGAATTCAGCACTTCTCAATAAAATACTTAATTGTTACTCTTACTGAGACATGTTGCATTTAGCCAGCTTTTGAAACAAAAACAACACTGCTAGTAAAATGTTCTGTATTTGATCAACCTAAAATATTATAACCAGAATGGGCTCTGGGTATGTGGCTCAGATAAATTTGCAGTTTTGGAGTCCAATCAGCCTATCATCACCCAAAAATTTATTTAAAATTTGTTGAGCCTTTATAAGCACAGGGCAGGCAAATCACTATGTGCGACACAGAAATGACTACCACAAATCTCCCTAGCCCTCAGAAACAGAATTTAGTGGAAAAGCCTATCTCATATGTACTGACTCAAATAGGAGGTAGACTCTAATAAATGGTGAAGCAAGGGTAAGAAGCTTAATCAGAGGGAAAACACATCACTTAAAGAATCACTGGAACATGCGCAGGAAGGAAAAATTCTGATTGGGGACATCTAGGAGGAAGCTGGGCTTGAAATCTGGAGGAAGCTGGGCTTGAAATCTGGAGGAAGCTGGGCTTGAAATTAGTCTTCAAAGATGAAAATTTTTTATGAATGAGTTGGAAGAGAAAGATATTCTAGGAGGGAGGGAGGAGTTTGTAAAACATAGCATGTCTGTATATTTGTGAGTTAGTGAGCCAAGGGGAGCGTGAAGTAGGAAAGTTACGGTAGGAGCCTGTGATGGTGGAGAAAGCTGGCAGCATATGTAGGGACCACACTGCAGAGGTTGTGATCAAAGGAGAAGAGTTTGTACTTAATTTTGTTGCATTTGGGAGCAACCAAGTGTGTTTAAGGGGGCTAAGTCTGACAGCACACCTGTACGCCACTGGCATGGAGAAACGGGAAATAGAAGATAAGTCAGTAGAGAGTAAAGCGCTGCAATAGACCAGGGGGAAAAAAGAAGCTTGAATTTGGTCAGTGAGAATGAAAAGAAGCATGCAGTGGACATTTTCAAGGTCAAATCTTAAAAGTATGAGGGGCAGGTAAAGCAGAAACAATGAGGACACAGATTTTCTTGCAAAACCAACATATTGTCTCTTAACTGGGCTGTATAACCCCCTCCAATGGTCTCCTCACATGGGTTCCTGCCCTTCTCCAAATGATTTTCCCTACTAGAGTTGGATTAATCTTTTAAAAATGTGAATCTGGACACTCTGCCTGCTGCCTAATGGAACTTCTTATGGACCTCCCCACTGTCTTTAGGATGATGCCCTTGACCTGCCCCCACATGATTGACAAGTGTTTACCAGCCTGGCCTGCCTCTCTGCAGCTTCACTGGATTCAAATGCCCTTTTTGAATTCCATACCACAGCCATATTTGTCATCTTTACTTCCTTCCCCACTATTCTTTCTGACTTTTGCATTTCACATGCATTGTCCTAATCCCAATTCCTACACTGGTTATTGAGCCATCTCCCAGTTAACCTTTAAAGTTCCAATCAAAACTTCACTTCTCCTGATTGGCTTCCTTATACCCCCAAACTAGGCTAGATCCCCTTAATATCAACTTCTGCAGTGACCTGCTCCTCCTCTTTCACCCTACACCTCACTCCTGAAATTACTTGATTAAGGCCTTCCTTGATGGATTATAGGATGTGTGAGGGCAGGATGTTTTGTTGGTCCGGAATTGTATGCCCAGTGCCTAACGTAACTATATACTATAGTATAATTGTGCACAGTGAGTGTCCAAAGAATGCATGTTGGGTGTCGTTAAAATCTCAACTGGGAGGTGGGGAGCTGGGATCCATTAAAACTGACAATGGGCCAGGTGCGGTGGCTCACACCTATAATCCCAGCACTTTGGGAGGCCAAGGTGGGTGGATCATGAGGTCAGGAAATCGAGACCATCTTGGCTAACACAGTGAAACCCCGTCTCTACTAAAAATACAAAAAATTAGCCAGGTGTGGTGGTGGGCACCTGTAGTCCTAGCTACCCGGGAGGCTGAGGCAGGAGAATGGCATGAACCCTGGGAGGTGGAGCTTGCAGTGAACCGAGATTGCACCACTGCACTCCAGCCTGGGTGACAGAGCGAGACTCTGTCTCAAAAACAAAAAAACAAACAAACAAACAAAAAAAACCTGACAAAGAACAGGGGAAATAATGTAAATTGGGGATTGGGAGAGTATCAAAGAAGAAAAGACCATGAGAAAACCAGTCCAAAGCCTAAAGTGAGGGAAATGCCTACTGGTGGTTGAGTGAAACAGATGACAGGGTTCAGAAGAGAGACCTTTAGGGAAGCAGGAAGATGAGAGGGGTCCAGGAGAAGCAGCGTTCAGGAAGCCAAGGGGAGAGAGAGTTACAAGATGGAAAGGGGATTATTTGATGTACCTCGAGGCCTTCGAAGGCAATAGACAGAGGTTGAAGTTGGATATCTTAATTCTATCCACATTTAAAGCCCAATTATCTATGTTAATAGAAGCTAGTCATAGCATGGATAAATAATCCCAGATACTCAGTAGTTTCTGCCTCCCCTACAACCGATGGATATATTTAAAAAAACAATCCAGTAAACAAACAAAAACATCCCTCCAACAAAACAATGCCAAAACACAACAGCTGCCACCAAATAAAGAACTAGCTAGTTTAAATTTTGCTTTGATATGATATAAAAGGTATATGGAGAAAGACAAGAGGAGACACAGGAAGCCCAGATAAACCAAACATATGAGGGGAGGAATATAGTATAATTGTACAATTACAGATGGCTCCATAACATCGCCTTCTTCGTACTGTCCCTATGGCTTCTCTTGGGCATACAAGTAAGTCACAATTCCCAATCTTTTTTGGAAATCCTTAGACCAGGTGTTCTTAAACTTGGATCTATGGGTAGAATTCAGGGGGATCTATGCACTTGAATTCTACATCTTTATTTTCCCTAGTCACTAACTAAAATGTAAATTTCCCTTCAGTTATGAACATAGGCAACAAACCATAAGAACATTAATGAAACCTGCAATTTTGTCTCCACTAAAAATTTTCCTCCTGTGGTACGGTTATAGACAACATTTCCAAGTCCTTCTCACTACTTTGAAAGTGTGGTAGTGACTGGATCTTGTTATTTCGTGAATATGTACTGCAGGATACACATGAGCATATTATAAATGTATTTCTAAAAATATTCTGCTCACTTTAACATTTTTGGTTTCCTTTGCAATCCTCTGTATTTTAAATCATGGATTTAAAAACATGATTCAGGGAATAATGCATAGGTTTCATCGACTGTCAAAGGGGTCCATGGCTAAAAAAGGGGTAAGAAGCCCTCATTAGATGGATAATGTTAACATCTCTTCCCTTTTCTTTGATTACATGCACATTCTTAAAAGATTTTATTTTCCTTAGTGATTGACGCTTTAGAAGTGGGTAAGATGATCAAGACAGATTTCTTTAAAAAAGAGAATAGAGTCAAAGCCAAATATGGAAAACATCTAATCAATCCTGGTTGGTAGAGAAAGTGAAGCAAGAGAAGATGACAAAGAAGAAAGTACTGGAGATGTTGGAGGAGGAGGAGAGTGAAATTCCCTGGGAGCCAAGGAAGACCGAGTTTATGACAGTAGTCTTCCTTACCCTTGGTTTCACTTTCTACAGTTTCAGTTACAGTCCAGCAAGGTCTGAAAATATTACATTCAATATGTTATTTTGGAGCAAGAGACCACGTTCACATAACTTTTATTATGGTATACTGTTATAAGCATTCTGTTTTATTGTTGTTAGTTTCTTACTGTACCTATTTTATAGATTAAACATTGTCACAGGTAGATATGAATAGGAAAAAATATAGTACCTTGTAGAGTTCCATAGTATCCAATGCTTCACACACCCACTGGGGGTCTTGGAACACATCCTCTGAGGATAAGTAGGGACTACTGTGTTACCGTTATTTGTTTTTTAATAAATATCAGTATAAACCATCAATTTATAGTAAAATAAAAATAGAGGCAGCACTCAAGGTCTGGAGACTACACTTTGTGCAGGTAATGAATTCCAGGGAAAAGCTTGGAAATAATGATCCTATTTACCTGCTCACTCTCCTCCTCTCTCTTTACCCAGACATGTTGATTGCTCCTTCTGGGACACATGGCTGTTTCTTATGCTAGAAAATGTCTCTAAAAACCAGCTTTGAAATGACTTATTTCTGTGACCTATAGTTTTATTTCTTTTAAAAACCAACAGCTGGCTACTCTCCAGAGGGCTGATCTAATTAGCATAGGAGCAGAACTCATTTACATGCCATCACAGCCCTGAGTAAACTCATACTTCTCAAGGTAAGAAAGAAGTAGGCAGATCTCATTAAAATTCACCTTTGGGCAAATCCCTGGAATGCCTATTTGCCATCCACAAGAGAACTCTACCTAGAGGCTGTATAGCACTATTTCTGACACCTGATAACTAGGGGAAAACTGGATATATAGGAATGTAATACAACAAAAATATTTTTATACTTCTTTTCTTGATATTTTAAGGTAAACTGTGAGTCCAGGGAGCTTAGGTGGAATAAATACAAGAAAAAGCTTTTTACATTGTTAATAGAATTTTAAATAGAATTCAAACTGTTCTTATTAATAGCTTGTATTTATTCTCCAAACTTAATGTGATCATCCAAATTTCACTTTCCATCCAGGAACAATATTGTATCTTCTCAAAAGAACTATTTGTAGTTTCCCTTTAATAAGCTACTAAAAAATGAAGTCCATGTATTTGACAGCTTTAAAAAGTGCTGTGTGTGTCTGTGTTTTGGTAAACAGAAGAATCTTTATAAAATATGATACCTTCATACTTGATTTTGGCATTATTGTAGAGAACAGTTTAAAAGGGTTTGTAATAAAGTAGACAAAACACAGCTCTGCCAGTTATGAGCTGTGTGACCTTCAACAAATTACTAACCTCTTTCAATCTGTTCCCACTTCTGAGCAGAAAAAAGGTTATTACAAAGATTAGAGGAGGGAATCTAAGTGACATGCTGTGCTCAATGCCTGCTTCCTAGTAAATGCTAAATGAAAGACATTTTTTAAAGTAACTTAGTCTGAAGACTTATAATTGAAAAAAATGTCTCCAAGTTTTCAAACTCATAAAGCACAGTTACTAAAATGCTTCTACATATACTGGCTAAAAGGAGCTTTAGAAACTGGTGCCTACATGACATTTTCAAAGTGACTGTGAGCTTTCTTTTGTTGCCTAATGCACTGGATCAGTTATCAGGACCTGACCTTAAAAAGGTGCATGGCAGTCAATGCACTCACATTCATTCTTTAGATCTTGATTTTCTGGTCACATTAATGAAGCTGAACAGATGATCTCGGCTCATCAATACAGTCAGGTTCACACTCAAAGTCAAGTGATGGGGTTTTTTTACCCTTACTGTGGTCATATGGCTAAAATTTTAATTACAGATTCAGGGGTACACACGCAGGTTTCTTGCATGGGTATACCTCATAATGCTGGGGTTTGGGCTTCTAGTGATCTCATCACCCAAACAGTGAACATAGTACCCAACAGGTAGTTTATCAATCCTTCCCCCTCTTCTCCTCTCCTCCCTTTTGGGGTCTCCAGTGTCTATTATTTCCATCTGTATGTCCTTGCCTTGGATACCCATTGTTTAGCTCTCATGTGTAAGTGAGAACATGCAGTATTGAATTTTCTGTTTCTGAGTTATTTCACCTAGGATAATGGCCTCCAGCTGTATCCACATTGGTGCAAAGGACATGATTTCACTCTTTTTTATGGCTTTGTAGTATTGCATGGTATATACATACCACATTTTCTTTATCTAATGCACCACTGATAGACACTTAGGTTGATTCCATGACTTCGCTATTGTGAATAGTGCTGAGATAAACATACAAGTGCAAGTGTCTGTTTGATAAAATAACTTTTTCCCTTTGGGTAGATACCCAGTGATGGAATTGCTGGGTCAAATAGTAATTCTATTTTTAGTTCACTGAGAAATTTCCATGCTGTTTTCTGTAGGGGTTGAACTACTCTACATTCCCACCAACAGCGTGTAAGCATTTCCTTTTCTCTACATCCATGCCAACTTCTGCTATTTTTTGACTTTTTAATAATAGCCATTCTGACTGGTGTGAAATGGTATCGCATTGTGGTTTTAGTTTGCATTTCTCTGATAATTAGAAATGTATATTTTTATAAAATATGATACTTTCATACTTGATTTTGGCATTATGTAGAGAACAATTCAAAACAAAAGGGTTTGAACTAACGTAGACAAAACACAGCTCTGCCAGTTATGAGCTGTGTGACCTTCAACAGATTACTAACCTCTTTCAATCTGTTCCCACTTCTGAGCAGAAAAAAGGTTATTACAAAGATTAGCGGAGGGAATCTCAGTGACATGCTGTGCTCAATGCCTGCTTCATAGTAAACCCATGTTTACCATGATGTTGGGCATTTTTCTTATGTTGGTTGCTGATATGTCTCCTTTTGAAAAGTGTCTGTTCACGTACTTTGACCACTTTTTTCTTGTTGGTTTAAGTTCCTTATAAATTCTGGATGTTAGTCCTTTGTCAAGGCATAATTTGCAAATATTTTCTCCCATTCTGTAGATTTCCTGTTTATGCTGCTGATTGTTTCTTTTGCTGGACAAAAGCTCTTCAGTTTAATTAAGTGCCATTAGTCTATTTTTGGTTTTGTTACATTTGCTTTTGAGATCATATGGCTACAATTAAAAGCATTGGATCGACAAGACAAAGGCTAACCTTCCCAACGAGATACTGGAATTTCTGACTTAGAAGGTGACTCGCTACCTATGTGGCAGATTCACTGACCACCTCTAGACATGGAAATAGTTGATACAGACCTAGGGACCTTGCTTTATTTCAGCTGAGATGTATATTTCACTTTTTCCCCAAGACTTTGGATCAGAGTGAATTTACTTGTGAAAAATAGCAGAAAGAATACCAGCAAGAGCTGGCTGGCTAACAGTATGCTGATTATTTTTTTTTTTTAGAGATGGGGTCTTGCTATGTTGTTCAGGCTGAAGTGCAGTAGCTATTCACAGGCATGATCACAGCACACTGCAGCCTCAAATTTCTTGGCTCAAGTGACCTTCCTGCCTTACAGCCTCCTGAGTAGCTGGGACTACAGGTGTACGCCACTACGCCCAGCTAATTCTTTATTTATTTACTGTTGTAGAGATGAAATCTCCCTATGTTGCCCAGGCTAGTCTTGTGCACCTGGCATCAAGCAATCCTTCCAAAGTGCTGGGATTACAGGCACACACTACTCTGCTCTGACCATTCTATTATTTGTTAGTTGGCATTCTTCCACAAAGAAAAACGTCCCCCCTGGCTGGGCACGGTGGCTCATGCCTGTAATCTCAGGACTTTGGGAGGCCAAGGCAAGCACATCATGAGGTCAAGAGATCGAGACCATCCTGGCCAACATGGTGAAACCCCATCTCTACTAAAAATACAAAAATTAGCTGGGCATGGTGGCATGTGCCTGTAGTCCCAGCTATTCGGGAGGCTGAGGCAGGAAAATTGCTTGAACTCTGAAGGCCGAGGTTGCAGTGAGCCAAGAGCGCAACACTGCACTCCAGCCTGGGCGACAGAGTGAGACTCCTTCTCAAAAAAAAAAAAAAAAAAAAAGGAAAGCTTCCCCACTTTTCCTATCACCCTTCAAGACTTTTTTTTTTTTAAGGCAGGGTCTTGCTCTGTCATCCAGGCTAGAGTACAGAGTGATCAGTGGTTCACTGCAGCCTTGAACTCCTGGGTTCAAGTGATCCTTCTGCCTTAGTACCCCTGAGTAGCTGGGAGTACAGGCATGCACCACCACATCCAGCTAACCATCACTTTTATATTAAAAAATGTTTAATTAGTATGGATTCATGTTTCTTAATTCAAAGTTTTATAACCTATTACTGTCATCATTCATTATTCAAATTGTTGCATATATTGCCAATGGGAGCCCCTGTAAGTTGTATTCTGTGTCATTTTGATGTATTTCTTTCCATTTTTAATACTTTATTTTTTGTCACCAGATGTTTCCTTTTTATTAACTTTTAAATTGATTGTCAAAGACAATTAGCTGCAGAGGACATGATAGTGAGTTTGAGTTGGTGGTAGCAGATTGCTGTTTCTGTAATTCTAGATGATTCAGGCAGATGAACGCCTCATTATTTCCAGGTCTATAATTGTATATGTGAAGAACAACTATGGTTTGTTTTTGGAGCGAGACAGTATGGCAGTGGAGGAAGCATAACTGTAGCTATTATTTGTTGCTTACAGTTTTAAAAGTACTTCTGCAGATATTATTACATAGCATCGTCAACAACAACCCTGCAAGACAGGGAGGATCTTACTTTGAGAGATGAAGAGAGCAGGGCTCCCAGCGGCCAGGGGTCATCTAGCTAGAGAGAATGCCACTGAGCTGGGATTTTAACTCAGGATTTTGTCTGAGCTTGTGTGTTTGACAAAGCTAGATTTGGCCTTTGTCCTATCTTAGAGGATATGCTACAAGCACACTTTGGGTCGACAGAGGAACTAAGCAGAGTGATTTTGAAAGCAGAGGCTACTGTCTTAGAGGGGAAGATCAGCTTGGACTGAGATGCTTATCCTGTCTGGAGAAGAGGGGAAGGTGCAAGTGGCAGCTCTCTTACCTTATTCTAGCAAGGAGCCCCCTCCTTATTCTATAAGCCACTCTGCCAATCTTACTGACCAGGAAAACTGTGGTGACAGAAAGGCACATTTTTAACTGGCTTAATATTTCTAACTACTGAGCCAGAAAGGAACAATCAGAAAGAAACTTGAGGAGGATGAAGACAAAAGAGGAAAACGGTGGAATGTAATGCACCTACCTGTTGATATTTCACTAATATAAGATGTGGCAAAGGAGCAGGGACCTCATTAATAGAAAGATCTTGACACTGTCCCCAAAGAGCTAACACAGTAGAAAGGCAGGTGATTGAAGAAAAAAAAAGTGGTTACAACTTATAAGGCAGTTACTACCCTCCAACATCTAGCAAAATGTAATTATATTATTACCTCTATTACTTAAAAAAATTTTTTAAATATTTTAATTTTTTAAATTTTTGTAGGTACATAGGAGTATACATTTATGTGGTACATGAGATGTATTGATACAGGCATGCAATGTGAAATGAGCACATCATGGAGAATGGAGCATCCATGCCCTCAAGCATTTATCCTTTGAGTTACAAATAATGCAGTTACACTCTTTAAGTAATTTTAAAATATACAATTAAGCTATTATTAACTATAGTCACCCTGTTGTGCTATCAAATAGTAGATCTTAATCATTCTATTTTTTGTACCCATTATACTCCTGTTACTTCCAATGAGCATTTATTGAGTTCTTGTTTTGTGTCAGTCACCACGTTAAGTAGATTTACTGACTATATTAATTAATGTTTACAATAATTATCAGAAGTAGTTATTGTTATTATCCACATTTTTATGGATAAGAAACTGAGACACAAGGAACTTAAGTAACTTGCCCAGGGGCACACAGCTAGTGAGTGATGAAGCCCAGATTTAAGCCCAGCAATATGACTATTGAGTGTATCGTCTTAATCACAACACTCCATTGCCTCTTCCAAGTTTCAAAATAAAATATCCAGGCAGAGGGACCAAATTCTGGGTGTTTTTCCCCCAAGTCATGAATGTCCTGGGACATGAGGTCCATGACAGTGAATTCCAGATTCACTAGCAGAGTTGCTTTCTGTTAGGACATATTCTCTCACTGCCAGGTTATGTTTGATTGTTTTTGTTTTTTACAAAAGACATAATCATTACTTCAACTGTATTCTCTGAATTAAAATTCAGGACATAATCTGTCTGATGATTTTGGGGTCATGTATTTATACCCTCTAAATTGATATTTATGGAATGCCAAATCCATGATGAGCTCTCCAAGTTCTGAAAGGCACCCAGGCAAAACCCCTGTTTTCATGGGGCTTACTTGCCCTGGGTGAGGAAACAACGAATACATAAGTAAACACACAGATAAAAAGATGGCAGGTGTGAGAGAAGTAGGATGAAATGACAGACATTAAGGAAAAGGTTGCTTCTTTAGAATGCCAGCCAGGAAAGCCCTTGCTGAAGCTGTAACATTGAGATGAGATGCAAAGAATTTGTGAGCAGAGTGCTCAGAACAGAAAGGAACATCAACCAAGAAGCTATCAGCCAGGCATAGTGGCTCACTCCTATAATCCCAGCACTTTGGGAGGCCAAGGCGGGTGGATCACCTGAGGTCAGGAGTTTGAAACCAGCCTGGTCAACATGGTGAAACCCTGTCTCTACTAAAAATAAAAAAAAAATTAGCTGGGCATGGTTGCAGGCACCAGTAATCCCAGCTACTTAGGAGGCTGAGACAGAAGAATCATTTGAACCTGGGAGGCAGAGGTTACAGTGAGCCGAGATCATACCATTGCACTCCAGCCTGGGGTGGGGTGGCAGGAGAGGAGGAGGAGGAGGAGGAAGAAGAAAGAAAGAAAGAAGAAGAAGAAATCAAGGCAGAAATGAGGTTGGAGTGTTGGAAGAACATCAGGAAGGCCAAAGTGGTTAAATCTAGGGAGTGACGTGGGGCAGAGTTGGGGGGACGTCAAAGGGGTTGGTGAAGAGTTAAATTACACAGGGCTATTGGACACGGTGTGAGGTTGTGATTTATACTGTGTGATGAAAAGACACAGTGGATTGGACAGGGGTGGAACATGATCTGATTTACCCTCCACAAGGATGACCCCTGATGTTTGTCAGAAATGGGTTGCAGGGGGACAAGGGTCGCAGCAGGAGAACAATTAGAAGACCGCTGCAATAGCATGGAGCCTAGACGAAGGACGGTGGCAGCTTGAACCACCGTGTGAATGCTAGGGATGGGGAAAAGTGGAGAGATATGGAATACATTTTTAAGGTAAGGCAGATAGAAATATGGGCACCATTGAGGGAAATTCATCTGCTCCATTCCTAATGCCATCTTCCAGGTTCAAGGATGCTTGTGTGATGTGACGCGAGCTTGCCTTTCATCTTTCTCCAAACCTTTACTCACACTGCCCTAGGAGGAGGAATGAATGAGCTGATTGTGAGACTGAGGAAGAGTTATCAGCTTGTTCCCTTGCTTCTTCTTGGGAGACCTATCCCACCCTCAACACCCATGCCTCAAGTCTTGCCTGGACAAGCCCCTTCATGTCCAGATGTGCCCTAGTCTAGCACTGGCTGTGCCTGGGTGATAAGCCTACCTAGTTCTGGGGTTCAGTGAGGAAGATGTTTGGATCTCACATTAAGCTACATCTTCCAATTTAGCCTTTGTCATTAAGGCGATCATTTGGCCTCCATCTGCTACTCCTTGTCAGAATTGTCAATTTGTTCAGGAAGAAGGATGCTTTTGAAGGGGAGCAGAATATGCCACCTGAAAATATGCCACTTTGGCAAAAGGATTATTTTGAGCTGAAGGCAATAGAGAAGAAAACACAGGGAAATATCTCTGTCTCCCCCATTTGCCTAAAAGCAGGACATGAGTTTACAAAAGTGTCCTCCTCCCTTCTCTACCAGGAAGGACAATGTTCAACACCAGAGACAACTTTAGACTCTTATCAGCCTGGAGACCAACCCCAGAGGAATCTACATAACAACCTTAATTAACTAGCGTTTATCTGTCATTAGTTTCTTATATAGTCATGCATTTTGGTTAACGGATCACATATATGATGATGGTCCCATAAGACTGCAACAGTTGTAACACTGTGTTTTTGCAGACCCTTCCCTAGGTTTATTTTTATTTTTTAAAACATTATTATTATTATTATTATTATTATTATTAGAGACAGAATCTTGGCTCTTGCCACCCAGGCTGGAGTGCAATGGTGAGATCTTGGCTCACTGCAACCTCCACCTCCCGGGTTCAAGTGACTCACCTGCTTCAGCCTCCCGAGTAGCTGGGATTACTAGGGCCTGCCATCACACCTGGCTAATTATTTTTGTATTTCTAGTAGAGACAGGGTTTAACCATGCTGGCCAGGCTGGTCTCAAACTCTTGACCTCAGGTGATCCACCCACCTTGGTCTCCCAAAGTGCTGGGATTACAGGCATAAGCCACTGCACCCAGCCAACAGTACCTTCCCTAGGTTTAGATACATTTGGGTACACAAATACTTACCATTGTGTTAAAACTGCCTAAAGTATTCAGGACAGTAACATGCTGTGCAGGTTCGTAGCCCAGGAGCAACAGTCTCTATCATATAGCCTAGGTGTGTAGTAGGCTATGCTAATGATGCATTTCTCAGAACAGATACCCATTATTAAGTGATGTATGACTGCATTTGCGTTCCCATGATTTGTTGCCTCTACAGACTCTAGGTCTTTTTCCTTTGTCTTGTCACTTCTCCAAAAATGTATTGTTATTTACTGAAGATGCTATGTAAGCCAGAGTTAGAAGTCACCTTTTTGAGAATTTCTCATTCTCAGCTGGGCATGGTGGCTCACACCTGTAATCCAATCATTTTTGGAGGCTGAGGCAAGAGGACTGCTTGAGGCCAGGAGAGTAACACCAACCTGGTCAACACAGCAAGACCCTGTCTCTACCAAAAAACTTTAAACATTAGCCAGGTATGGTAGTATGTGCCTGTAGTCCTAACTACTCAGAAGGCTGAGGAAGGAGGATTGCTTGAACCTAGGAATTTGAGGTTACAGTGAACTATGATCATGCCACTGCACTCTAGCCTGGGCAACAGAGCAAGACTCTGCCTCTAAAAATTTTTTTTTAATTAAACTTCAAAAATGAGAGAGATTTGCTCATTCTCTGGGTATCTCCCAAATACATATGAAATGTACATATAAGCTTGTGTTTGTTTTTTTCTTCTTCTTAATCCGCCTTTTGGAGCAGGTGATCTCAGCCCAGAATTTAGAAGGGTAAAGGGAAATTTTTACCCCCTTCCACTATTTATTAAGCCATCTCAGAGACCCCAAAAATAGAGTCTGGACATGGGTTGGGATTCTTATATATGAAATTCTCCTGGATATTTTGATGGAGTAGGGGACCAAATATCAGAATCTGTGATGAACTCAGTGCCTTAGACCACTCAGCCATCCTGACACACCAGAATCGGTGATGAACAATTGCAATGGACAACATAAGTTTCAGAAAATGATCATGAGGGAGGCATTGTTTATTAGCTCAAGAATTCCAGTTCTCTTCCTGAGTTGATAGAAAAGTTATAGCCAAAATAACAAATACATGCTGCCTCTCCTGACTCACACGCCCAATGTTGGCAATGATAGTCAATCACGCTGTTCTTTCCTGAGCCTGCCCTTGGCCTCGCCGTCTCTCTCAGCCCATTGCTTCAAGCAGCTACTAACAACTGAGACTGCCCACAAGATGAAATTGAAGTTACAACTTGGAGGCAAACTAGGAAATGGAGCTCATTACATTTTCTAATTAAGCCAGACTCATCTAGAAAATCATTTTTATTTCAACCCACATTAAAAGTATTTCTAAAATGTATAAATGCTATTTTCTAAAACTGAAATTATGACATCCGAGTTTGCCTTAGGGCCTCTGAACTGTACTTAGTAGAAGACACAGGAGGTTGGTCCATCTGTAGGTTCAGGATTTATCCTTGGATTTATTTATTTTAAAATAAATGCTTGACTCAAGCACATTTTTGGATTCAAGTTGCCTCTTCAAATTAAAGCACAGTGACACTGTTAGGAACTGAGGACTTACCATCAATTATTGCTAGTATTTATTTCCAAACAAAGAGCCAGGAAAAAGATAGTAGAGCAGACTCAAGTCCTTGACACCAGATCTTACCCAGTAACTACAAAGCAATTAAACTCTGCTCTATCATTGTTCAAGGATGATGGCAAGTGCTTTTCCACGAGAGGGAGATTATATGTGATTTTTTCCCTTTCCTCTAGTGTCTTGAATCTCAGTAATTTTCATAAGTTGAGGCTGCATTAATAAATTCCATTATTTGCAAATTCTTTTTTGCCCACCATGGGCTCTGTCAAATTGACATGTACCCCACCGACACCAGCTAAATGAGAAGCTGACTGATGGCTACTTTCAAGTCTGATGCTTATCTGGGGTAAATTTTCTGTGCCTCAGTAAGACTCCTCAAAACCTTGCAAGAAACCAGATCTGGGAAAGATTCCTCAAAGGAATAGCATAACTTCTTGCTTAGAAAAGTTGTATACAGCTGCCATTACCTCCAGAACCAAAAAATGATATTCAAAAGCATAAGTGTCAACTATGTGGCCCAGCTGGGTGCAAGGACTGTAAATCATAAGTTTTCTCATGAGTGCACATAATGGGCCCTCTTCACTGCAGATTGGCCACACAGCACAGAAGACAATTTTGGCTGCTATATTTCAAGTCCACCAAGGGCGATCAGCATCATCTGGCCAAATATGTGCTGTTTCCAGAGGTTTAAAATAGTTTTTCTAAATGTATCTTTTCACAGTCTGAATATGGCTTAAGTTTCTTCCAAGTTGACACATTGAAGGAGATGAGACAATTCTGTAATGAGTGAATCTTGCTAGATAATCATATAAGTTCTGCAAGTTGGTTCACTTTCAGACCCCCAAAAGTAGCACGTAAGCCTATGCAGGAATATTTCCCTAATGCAATAAATTAGTTTCTATAAGAAACATTCTATGTACATAGAATTTTAATTAACAAATCTAAATTTGAATATGTCAAAGTTTTAAAATCCGGTATTTTTTCATTTTATTATTTTCTTGATATAAAACTTCAGGAAAAACTTCAAATGGTTTTGGCAGAACAGATTTCTTCATTGAATGTTTCTATAAAACAAATAACAGTTTTCGGTAATGAAAATAATTGTGAGCTGGATTGGTGGCTCATACCTGTTATCCCACCATGTTGGGAGGCAGAAGTGGGCAGATAGCTTGTGCCCAGCAGTTCAAGACCAGCCTGGGCAACATGGCGAAACCCTGTCTCTACAAAAAATACAAAAACATTAGCTGGGCATAGTGGAGCATACCTGTAGTCCCAGCTACCCCGGAGGCAGAGGTAGGAGGATCATTTGAACTCGGGAGGCAGAGGTTGCAGTGAGCTGGGATCACACAACTGTACCCCAGCCTAGGCAACAGAGGGAGACCCTTTCTCCAAAAATAAAATAAAATAATTGTGACTTAAATCTATTCATGCACTTTTAAGATTCCAGCAAACTTCTTATTTTTAGAAATCATTACATGCATAGGTTAATAAACTTCAAAAAGTACAGATGATCCCCAGTGTAAAGTAATCCCACTCCTGATTGCTGTGAGTTCCAGCGTCCTGCCCCAGGGTCACCAACTGGTACCAGATGCTATTTTCTGCAACTGTAGTTATTGTTATTTCCTGTACACACATTCCTTTGTAGCTAATCTATTTTCTATTTAAATATTTCCTGCACACACATTCCTTAACTTTCTATGTTTGAATCTCTCAAAACATGCAGGATAATTTACTAAGATACATATTTCCTTCATTTCTTCATCTGAAAGAAGACAGGACCTCAAGACAGTTTTCATCCAGGGCTAAAAGCAGAGACTGTGCACAAGCCACTTCCATTTCTTTTTTTTTTTTTTTCTTTTTTGAGACGGAGTCTCGCTCTGTCACCCAGGCTGGAGTGCAGTGTAGTGCTCACGGCTCACTGCAACCTCCATCTCCATGGTTCAAGCGATTCTCCTGCCTCAGCCTCCTGTAGCCTACTTGGACTACAGGTGCGTGCCACCATGCCCAGCTAATATTTGTATTTTTAGTAGAGATACGGTTTCACCATGTTGGCCAGGATGGTCTCGATCTCTTGATCTCATGATCCGCCCGCCTCGGCCTTCCAAAGTGCACTTCCATTTCTATATAGTATTTTGTCTTCCCAAATCCTGAGCTGTTGAAGAGATGACACAGGGTGTCTGGAGAGGAATGCCTTGGAGATGCACCAAGGTAGAGAGGAGAGGGTCCTCATGACTGGAAAGGGGGAGAAGTCCATGGGTCTTGCAAGGACCAAAGGACCCGCCACCTGGCCCCAGGCCTGCCTGGGAAGATGGCAGACTCTCAGAGGTCAAATGTTGTGTGTACCCACAAAGGCTGGACTCTAGGCCCTGGGGCTCCAGCTTTGCCAGTCCCCAAAACTGAAGGGACATGAGGCTGTGCTGATGGGTTCTACTGACAACTAGCTGGGACAAACACATATAACCAGAGGGGTCCTCAGCTGCTGGGAAAGACTCCAGGATCTTGTACAACCTTTGTCAGTCAGGGCTGAGACTAAATTCCTGCCAGTCATCAGCTTGGCAGGTAAGTAAAGATTTGGAATGGAGTATCTTTTAAATCTGAGTTGCTGGGCTGAGATTCACACCCACCACACACACATAGTACTTGATCTTCTTAGGATGGGTCATATGGTTACTGTGATCCTGAACCTCCCCTTCCATGCTCCAGCCTACTAAGCTTATGATCAAGGGATTCCCTGTGGATTACATGGATATCCCTTGACTGAAAACGGCTCATGCTGGCAGGGATGAGAGATCAAGTTGTGAAACTGTTCTGGAAGCAAGAAATGGTGGTCTCTAACCAGTGATATATATATTTTTAACATAATCTAAGCTTGTCTGCCTGCACAAAGAAGCATTTGCTCCTAAGATAAAAAGGAAAGAACATACAAAATTAAAATTTGCCATTTATCCAGAAATGAACCAACTCGCCCACCATGTAACAAACAGAAAACTCCACTCATATTACCAAGGAATGCTACACTGAGAAAGAGAATAAGAATTTATTAAAACACACACACACACACACACACACACACACTCACACACCCCACTTATGCAAATGAACTCTTTTGTAGGTACAGGTGCTAAAAACAGAAAATCCACATAAAGCTAAACCCATTCCATGAAACACATATGCTATCACATACTTATCATTAATTTTTGATATCCTGGAGAAGGAATCAAGGAGTTAGTTAAGAGATGTGTGTTAGGCTAAGTCGCCATTTGCTCTTGTTTCATTATCAATTTGTAGGGCAAAGTTTTTTTCAATGGTCTATTCCTTGCTGGTGAGAGATTTGAAAAGTCACTGGAAAGAAAACCTCTGTCTGCTAACTGTGCTTGTGGTCTGGACACAGAATATTAAGTTGGATTCTCCTGTATTTTAATAGCATGCAGTGCCATGAGGAGCTGAACAACTTCCAGATTATATAACTGATGGGTACCTGTCAAAAGGATGCTGCTGCTCAACTTAGAAAAAGGTGAAATCAAGGGATGGTCAAAATTATGAACACTAGAAACTATTCCTAGAAAAATGCACATAAATACTCATATAGTCATGCATTTCAAAATAGCAAAACAATGATGATGGTGATGATGATGATGATGATGATGATGATGATGATAGTAATCGCTGCCACTTATTTAGAGGCCCATAAGCCAAGTACTTTGCAGACATGATGACACTACCTTGGGACACAAATCTTAGCATTCTCTTTTTTAAGATGAAGACAATGAGGTTTGGGCAACTGTGTCATGTATTGGGCCCAGAGTCACAAGTTAGTAGCAGAACCAGTTTTCAAATCTTGTCTGTCTGCCACTAAAGTCTGGCGTGCTCAAACATCCCCCCTTGGAAGCTTCTCTCACACTGTGTGTATGTGACTGTATCACGACAACAGTTCAAAACCAGCCCTGGTATGGACTAGGAGGTAAGGATGACTGAATGCTAACAGAAATAAACATTTGCAAGTCAGGCTTCTCCTTTGTTCTCCTTTTGCTATCTAATAAAACGTATTGATTGTCACCACCAATAATTGTCTACACTCCATTAATACATGGATGGATTTCTATCCCTGAAAGGACCACATTAAGTCACCAAATCTAGCTTCAATTTTCACCAGGAGCTGTTATCAATCCTTCAAAAGAGTGTTCAAGGCTCCAAGAGATATAATTTCTCTACTTGACATGTCAATGGATTTTGACATATTTTAAAACTAATGAATTCTATTATACAATATAACAGTTACTGGGTATTATAGACACAAGAAAAATGAACATCCAAGTGTTTTCTATGAAGTTTCTTATAAATGTGTATATATTTTAAATAATGAGCAATAAACTTTTCATTCATATTCACATTATAATTAACTTTTTAATTTAAGTAGCATCCTAGAAGCTATAAATTCAGGCTTCTGATTCACTTCCAATCACCTTCTAATTTATATTTGCTCTCATTACAACTAGTCTATGAAAAACTTCAATCTTGCAATTCTCTAATCTTGGAAGTTTAAAAATTCATAAGATATAATTAGAATCTGCGTGGGAGACATTAGGGTTTAGTAAAAGGAATGATGAACTAGGAGTCTCAGGAACTGGATTCCAGGCTGAAGTCTGTCTGCTACTCAAATTATTTCTTTGAAAATACTCATCTGTAAAATGATGAGAGTGCAAGAGATACTTTTAAAGGTACCTTCCAGAGTTAAGACGATGAATCGTATCTTTTAAAACTCATAAAATTATTTAAACATATTAAAATTATTACAAATCAAGTTGTATATACAGAAGTGAGTGTGCATATGCATATATACATATACTATATATATCAGAAATAATTTGCTCATAGAATGAAACCACCATTAGATGTGAATGATATGATTTCAGTTTAAAATACATGAAATGAAAAAAATTAAATTCGAAACCTCTGAACATTTTCAGACTATTACTACTGGGAGTCACAAAATTAGTCCTTTTTAAGAATTTAACAACTTTTTAACAGTCTTTAATCTTTATCCTAAAGGGAAATAGTAATAGCCTAATCACTCAAGTTTGGGAAAAATAAAAGAATCACTCTCATTCTCGCTTGCTTAACCCTGACCACCACTCTCAAGCTTGAACATGCCATGTATTCTCTTCTGCACTCGTTATTTTGGGATTTGGAGGAGTGTGTGGGAGGGGAGGATGGAAGGAGGAGTGGGGACGTAAGGGGAAGAAAGTGGAGTGGGGAAAAAGATGAGAAGATGGCCTAAGGCAAGAATAAGAGAGGAAGAAACTTATGAGAAATCAAGGAAACAGTGGCACTTCCGTGAGAGGGGAAGATCATATTTAACAAGTGGAACCTTGAATGGAGGGAAAGAATACATTCAGGAAGAAGAGGCCATAGAAAGCATGTAGAGCAGGGGTGCCCAAGGGAGAGAATACAGTCATGGCTTCTTAGTTTCTGTGTCTGGTCTGGTTGGGCCAGTAAAGCCCCTTCCTCATCCCACTTTTCTGCTTACTACTAGAGACAGAAATTAAAAACCATGGCTTCGGGCTGATAAAACCCAACAAAACAGAACAACAACAACAACAACAACAACAAAATAAGGAGGGTTGGGCAATCTTGACGTAGACTATTTTTCTTTTTTTTTTTTCTTTTTTTTGAGATGGAGTCTCACTCTGTTGCCCAGTCTGGAGTGCAATGGCGCTAAACCTCTGCCTCCTGGGTTCAAGCAATTCTCCCACCTCAGCCTCCCGAGTAGCTGGGATTACAGGTGCATGCCATCATGCCCACCTAATTTTTGTATTTTTAGTAGAGATCGGGTTTCACCATGTTGGCCAGGCTGGTCTCCAGCTTCTGACCTCAGGTGATCCGCCCACCTCAGCCTCCCAAAGTGCTGGGATTACAGGCATGAGCCACTGCACTTGGCCTATTTTTTTATAATTCCAACTTTGTTACAGGAAATACTTCTCCTTCCAATTCTCTCCTGTCCATGATTCCCTAATTGGAATTCAATCAGTCATTTCTAAGGTTGAAGATGGAAATTTCCAAGGCTTTTATAATTGCTCAATATAGATATTTTGAGCAAGCTCCTGCCTGACGGGAATAAATAATTTATTGAGTTTTTTTATTCTTAGAATATGGAAAAATATTTTACCTGGAGAAGGTCAAAAAGAACACCTTGTCACAAGAAAAGGCAAAATGTACCATTTAAAGTTTAAATCAGGATAACAGCTCACTCAACAGTGGGTTTTCAGTCTTCACACTTAAATGCCAAAGCTTACTTGGTTACAGGATCAACAGGACCAATTTTTTTTTTTTTTCAGCAAAAAGTCATCCTCACCAGGGGCTCCATACCAAAAGCATCCTTGCACAGCTGGGGCATAAGTCAGCAGCAGCAATTCTACAAGATGCTATCAAGACTTAGCGGGTGCATTGCAGGAAGTGTCTCATTCTGGTCTCATGTTCCCTAAACACACATGCTGAGAGCAGACAGTCTATCATCTTGGGTCCTGTCTCACTCCTCTTCTACCGGCTGTGGACAGACAGCCTGTGACTCCTATCTCTTGGATAGGAGACTCCTGGATATCTTCCCAGAAAGACCAGTGGGATTCTTTTATTTCTTTTCTAGCATACTTAATAAAACCAAGTCTCTCTGAACTTAGTGGGTAGTAACAGTGCCTTAAAAAAAATTGTCACTCCTGTTCTTAGGCTCCCCTATAACACAAATAATCATGATTGAGTTTGGGGGAGGTCCTTTTAAAAATATTTATGTATACACATGGTCACACCACTTAGTTTTCTTGCACCAAGATAAGAGAGGAAGATGGAAAGCATCTTATAGGTTGGTGCAAAAGTAATCGTGGGTTTTGCCATTAAAAGTAATAAAAATCACAATTACTTTTGCTCCAACCTGATAATATCAAATGAAGAGTAACCTGCTGAGAAAATAACAGAATTAAAGAAATAACTAAAAATCTGTGCTCCAAGTATGTTCAGGTATATCTCTAGTGGATGGGGCTGGAGGAGATTATGAGATTAGTTACTTTAATCCCTAGTTAAATAGGGAAGAAACCAAGGCAAAAAGAGAGCTCATTGCTTTTCAAGGTAGCAAGGTAGCAGAGTCTGGTTTTAACTCAGGCTTCCAAAATCATAGCCCAGTAATCTTTATTTACTGAAGTGATCCAAAATCTTTTATGTGAAACTCATAGGGCCACGTGTGTTTATTTTTTAATTTTTACTTCTTCCAGTGGCCTGTTACTAGAGCATATTTATTTATAACACATATACTATAAACAAAAAAACCCTCAACAGCCTATGAGACAACACACTGTCATTAAACACAATCATACCCTTACAATGAAACATGAATATTCACACTAAGCAGGATAAACAAAAACGCCAAGTAACCAATTATTAGTTTAGGTAAGAATTTTGCTACCACAAATGACTAAAAAAAAGTTTTTTTGGTGTTCAGAGTTTTCTGAATTTTCAGAATTGCAGATAATGGGTTGTGGTCATATATGGCTATACTTTTATGAGAAGAAAAAGAAAAAATCCTCAAGCATTTTCAAGCAGTGCATCCATTGTATAATGGTTAAGAGCAGTTCAAACATCTGCAGGTTTTATTAAAAGACATTTCTGATTCAGGAGGTCAAGGTGAAGCCTGAGAATTTTTACTTCCACTTCTGACCAGTTCCCAGGTGATGCTGATGTTGTAGGCCCAGGGACCACACTTTGAGAACCACTGGTTAAGAGAATGAGCTTTGCACTAATGGGCCTGGGTTCAAGTCCACCTTTTCTTAGTTGTTTGGTTTCAGGCAAATTACACAATTCCTGCTGGGAAATACATGATAATGTTATTGAGGATCCTTTGTACGTGGCAGGCTACTTTACCGCTTTCAAGATTCTCTCTTTGTCATTGGCTTTTGACAGTCTAACTTGGTGTGGGTCTTTGAGGTTTATCTCAGATTTCTTTGAGCTTCTTGCATTTGTACATTTATGTCTTTCCTCAAATTGGGGGTATTTTCTGCCATTGTTTCTTCAAATAATCTCTCTGGACTCTTTCCCTCTTCTTCTGGAACTTTCATAATGCATATGTAGGTCCACTTGATGGGATCCTGCAAGTTCCTTAGGCTCTGTTCATTTTTTGTTATTCTCTTTTCTTTTTATTCCTCAGACTCAATGATTTTAAATGACCTTTTTCAAATTCACAGATTCTTTCTTCTGTCTATTCAAGACTGCTGTTGCATCTCTGGTGAATTTTTTAAATCACTTATTGTGTTCTTCTGTCCAGAATTTCTATTTGACTTTTATAATTTCTACTTTTTTTATATTCTCATTTTACTCATACATTCTTTTCTTGATTTCCTTTAGCTCTTTAAGTGTATTTAAGAGAGTGGTTTTAAAGTCTTTGTCTAGTAAGTCTGATGGTTGTGTTTCTTCGAGCTTTTGAAGATTTATTTTGTTCCTTTGAATAGGCCAGATTTTTTTTTTAATTTTAATGTCTTGTGATCTTTTGTTGAAAATTGGGCATTTGAAAAAAATAGCCACCTCTCCCAGTCTTTGAAGACTGACTCTAAGCAGAGGAAGACCTTCACTAATAGGCCCTCTGTGAAGGCCTTTTCTAGCCACGTATCTTCCTTGGACCTGTGTGCATGCTTTTTTCTGATTCCCTCATATACACAGCTGGTTAATGTCTCAATTTCTCTAATAGTCTCACCTTTGCTTCTTCTTGGGGTCTCACCTGTTCTATTGTATTGCTCAAAGATCTCTTGCCCCAGATATCTGTGGGTCTATAAAACCCTTGTGATTTTCACAAGCCATGCCTGCTTCTTCTCCTATCTTCCTCTAGCCTGAAATTCAAACTGTGACACTTTTAGCTGTCTGAGCTCCTAGTTAAGCAACGCAGAGGTCAATCTCCCAGGCTTCTGTCATACAGGGTAGAACATTGCAAATATGGTCTAAATCTCTCCAATTTGCAGAAGGAAACTGGGCAGCAGGCCATCACATCCCCCAGACTGCCATGCTGCCTTGGGGCGGGGTGGGGCAAGGGTGAGTAAAAATGCAATAAAATTTCCTGCCATGTTTAATGTGGATTTTTCTTAGTTGGGTATTTGCTTGGTTCTTATAAATTTTTGACTGATTCCCAGAGCTTCTATAAAATTATTTAATCAGTCTCTTATTTAACGTTTCCTTGGGAAAACAAGGGCCTAAAACTTCCTAGTCTGCCATCTTCCTGATGTCCTCATCACATATCTTCTTAAGCTTCATTCCTTATTGTACCCACTACACAGGGTTTTCCAGATGATTAAATGAGACAATGTACATAAAGGATTTAGCACAGACTTTGCATATAGGAAAATCTCAATAAACTTTGGCCACTATCATAAAAATAGTACAATTGCAGAGTATAAATGTAGTTCCTTATCTTCCTTATCTCCGTCAGGAATCTTCAATGCATGTGGCACAATGCTGCCTTAATTATGCTTTAATCACAAACTTTTCCTTCCCCAACACACCCACAAATATCAGTTGCCTAATCTATGCTATGCCCATCTTCCTCTGTAGTGCTATTGTGTATCTCTCATCCATAAAGGGTACATGTTACTTAACATATGAGGTAGATCTTTTGCTCTCATGTTTTGTTTTCCTAAGTCATGCTTGTTCACAACTTTTAAGAGCAGTTTCTGTTCTCATTACCTATCTAAGGTCTAATGAAGTTTTTATTCTAGTGGCATTATGAGAAAGTTACACAATAAGACTTAAGTCTTACCTTTAATATAGGCCTGGCCAGGCTTAATGTGAATATACTCATGCTTGATAAAATAATAGAGGGGTAAAGGCACCTTTTTCTCTCTTTGAAGCTATCTTCTACTTCTCAAATAACCCATGTCCATTGTGTGCCTCCTTCATTTCCCACATTTTGGTCAAATGCTGAGCCTAGTTCTACCTTTTCCAACAAAAATCTTCCTTTACTTTTTGCCTATCTTCCATTTTGATGAACAAATACAATGCCTTTTTTGTTTGTTTGTTTCTGCTTTTATAGAGAATGTGCTTCATTGGTCTTGCACTAGGGAACACGCTGCTAAGTCAATGAGCTGCAGTGCTGGGTGCAACAGCATCAGCCATTGCAGGGTTTTCAAGGTGAATATCACCTTGAGATAACAGAACTTGGCAGCAAGAGATGACAGTGAAGGTCATAACAGAGCAGTTATCTGAGCCAGACATCAAAGGCATTTTTCCTAGACTTACTGGTCACTTTAGTGGTCACCTGAGAAGCAACTAGCAAGAGAATCCAGGAACATTAGTCTCGTGGTCAAGGTTATTGGTATTGCTGAAAGAAATTTCCCAACCTCGAGAAGGTTGGCTGACCACTCAACCAGATCCTTACCAGTGGCTAAGCCTTGGTGAATCCATCACCTCAGGGTCAAGTTTTCAGACGTGATGATGGCTCAGAAACCTGATTTGATCAGCCCGCTGAGATTGGGATGTGAAACTGCATTAATCAAGCTTAAAGAGATACAAGCCAGATGGCTTTGCATTAATCTACCACAGCCAAGAATGCACAAGTAGGTCTGGCCAGTAACTATCCTCACTGTTGACAAGCTGCTTGAAACCTCAGTGATCCAACATCTTGTGTAAGAATGGAGTCAGCACAAAGGGAAGATCATTGGTCTTCAGAATTGTTTCTGATCTAAGGTAGCTTGAATCACCTCACCTATTACAGGAACAAACTTGCCCAAGTGTCCTCTAGTTCCCTCCAGGAAAACTCCTTCTCTCCCAACTAGGGCTTGCCTTTGTGCCTCTATGTGTTTCCATGGTAGACTAACTCTCTTCCTATCGCTTCTTTCTCTTTTCTTCTTTTTCCTCCAAATAAGATACCATTTCCCATTTCAAATTCTAATCATGGAATAGCTCTGCTTTTCTGAAAATATACCCATATCACCTTGACTGGAGTATTGGGTGCCTCTAAAGTATTCAGGTATATATTTAAAGATGGATCTCCTGACTCTCTCCCACAGATGGCTCCTGATTTTAATTGTTTTACTAATTTAACTCTGATCACAAACTTTTTTTTTTTCTAAGTTGGAGTGGTGGCTTTGTTAGCCCCTATTGTATGCCAACTGATAGAAAGCTGCATTTTTACATAGAATCATTTAAAAAATCTAAACATTGAATTGTCACTGCAGCCTAAAATGCTTCCTAATTTCTGTAAATGAAATATAACACATAGAAGAGCTGTGCATTTTCCTTATTGTGTTCCCACATCATTTGGCCAAGCAGTTACCCACTTGAGGATTTCCGTATTCTAACACACAGCCAGACTTGCCCCACTGCTGTGGATGACTAAAAACTCCTGGGATGGTGTTTTTCTCTGGCTCTGTCAGATGTTTGGCCTCTGCAGTGGGGAATTTATGCTGTCATGGCTTTTAACAGAGAAAACAAACACTATAAGGTAGGCACCAAAACTTAACTAATTAATCAACACCAGATGATTCAAATAAAAATAAAAACCTACTGGAAATTAAGACACTTTAAATTCCTTTTGGAAATAGATGGAGTCTAAATCAATAAACAATACCGGAAAGGACATTTGCCTAAATTTGCAAGAAATTATAAATTTCTTGGTAGATATATTTAGTGTGTCAACAAACATTTATTGAGTACCTACAATGATTTAAAAACTATGCTAGACGTTGGGGAAATACAGAAGAAAAATGCACTTCTACCCTTCAGGCTTACTCACTTATCTTGCCTGGGGAAGAGTCTTCAACATCCTTGGCAGCTCTAGGATTCAATATTTATATTATTGAATTGAAATAATAACGCAGTTCCAGTGGGTATTGAGATCCTCAAGTCCTCAACTGCAGTTGCCTTGACAACTTACTGGAGGATAACTTTTTTTTTTTAAGAAAAGGGATCTTGCTACATTGTCTAGACTGCATTTGGACTTCTGAGCTCAAGCGGTCCTCCCAAGTAGCTGGGAATACAGGCATATGCCACCATGCCCCATTCCTTTAATTTTTTGATGCTCTCTGCTGCATTCTGGTTGGGTTATGATGGCATAAAGCACAAGATTTGAATCAGAGATCTGCTTTAAGACTCCACTTACCTTGGGAAAATTAGTTTGATAAGAGAGCCTCAGTTCTTTATATATAGGAATTCAACATATACTTAATAGGGTTGAAGTGAAAAGTATAACCAGTGGCTTGGGTCCTGAAGTCAAATGGGCCTGGGCTTGAATCCTCAGTCAGTCATTCTCTACCATGGTGACCTTGCGTAAGTTACTTAAGTCCTCTATACCTGTTTCCTCGTGTGGAAAAAGGAGGGGAAATTGTATTCCACAGGATTTATGTAAGGAGTAAATGCCACAATAAATGTAAAGTGCTTAACACAGTGCCTAGCACATGGTGATTATGTAATAAATGCTAGTTGTCATTAGTATTTGAGCATTAAACGATTTACTGTATTTTAACCACAAAGCACGCTTAAAATGAGTGCCCATTTTGGGGGCAGCAAATTTTGAGACGCCATTTTGTGCCCAATAGAGCTTATAACAGAGACCTCAACAGTGGAGGGGCTCCATCAGGTAACAGTGTGCTCTGTTACTGGAGCACATTCTCTCCTGGCAGAGGGCCCTCCACTACTGCAGGCACCTTCATGGCTTTCGGTTGAAGCTGGAAGAACAGGTCTCCTGAACTAGGGAGATGGTTATACGAGATATTTTTGAAACCTCTCTTCAACTTTTTCTCATTTTATGCCTTGTAATCATCTCTGGTTAGATGAATAATTAGATAATAATTCTATATTAACATTGAGGTAATATATAAACTTTATTAATTATTGAATAATTTTAGATTATTTAACATTTAATAATTTTAAGTTCAAGGTTACAAGTGCAGGCTTGCTACATAGGTAAACTTGTGTCATGGGGGTTTATAGTGAAGACTATTTCATCACCCAGGTATTAAGCCTACTACCCTTTAGTTATTTATTCTGATCCTCTCCCTCCTCCCACCCTCCACTCTCAAGTAGACCCCAGTGTCTGTTGCTCCCTTCTTCGTGTCCATGTGTTCTCATCATTTAGCTCCCACTTATAAGTGAGAACATGCGGTATTTTGTTTTCTGTTCCTGTGTTAGTTTGCTAAGGATAATGGCCTCCAGCTCCCTCTATGACCCTGTAAAAGACATGATCTCATTCTTTTTATGGCTGTATAGTATTCCATAGTGTATATGCACCATATTTTCTTTATCCAGTCTACTTTTTTTTTTTTCTTGAGACAGAGTCTTGCTCTTTCACCCAGTCTGGAGTGCAATGATGCAATCTTGGCTCACTGCAACCTCTGCCGCCCGGGTTCAAGTAATTCTCCTGCCTCAGCCTCCCAAGTAGCTGGGATTACAGGTGCCCACCACCATGCTTGACTAATTTTTGTATCTTTAGTAGAGACGTGGTTTCGCCATGTTGTCTAGGCTGGTCTCAAACTCCTGACATCAGGTGATCCGCCTGCCTCAGCTTCCCAAAGTGCTGGGATTAGAGGCATGAGCCACTGCGCCTGGCCTCCACTATTGATGAACATTTAGGTTGATTCTATGTCTTTGCTGTTGTGAATGAACATACATGTGCATAACATTTAATAATTTTAAATTATCTAACACATTCACTTCATTTTTTATAAAAGAATCTATAATTGGGAAATATTCAAGAATTTGTAAACACTTTTTCTCTAGAAAAATATAAGTCTCTTCCCTTTCCTACATCCCTAACAGTTATAAAGAGAAGTTCAAATTGAGGCAAGTTATCTCATCTCAGAATGAATGGTGATTTTCTTTTAAAATTCTATGTTCTATTACTTGTTCAATCTCCTGAAGCAAGAATCATGTTCTTTGTTAGTTCTGCTTCTGGTGGTAATATTATGAACTAGGTCAGAAGGTAGTTAAAAAAGAAATAGGTCCATAGCTAAGAATCTCATTTCAAAGGGGAAAAAAAAAAAAACCTGGCCATGTTCCATGTTCAAAATAAACTCTATTCTCTATTACAGGGCATTCATGATATTTCTGAGAAAAATGCCAGAGAAATGTTCCACAGGGAGGAAGAAGGGTTGAGAGCCTGTCAGCCTGACCAGGATGCCAGCCCTTTCAATGGGGGATCAGTGACAAGTCACTTTCCCTTTGCTCTTCAATGCCTCTGAATGCTACTATTCATGGGACTGCAGTTCTGGGAACTTAATACTGGGTACCTAGTCAAGGAGGCATAAAAAAGCTTTGCTTATATCGATGCCTTTATCTGAGCTTGAAAGGGGAGAAGAGGTTTGGAATAGGAACATTGGAATATTTTTTAAAAGTGGCTCACCTAAGAAGAAAAACAAAAAGGTAGTAATAATGGCATTGTGTAGGACAAAATGACGTGCCCTGGGGCTGTGAAGGAGAGTGTGAGTGTAGAAGAAAGGGCAGTGCTCAGACAGGCTGGGATTAAAACACTTCTTCGCCCAGGATAAAAAGAGGACCAGAGGTGGGATGGCCTGCAGAGGGCATGTTCTTCTACAAAGCCAGCACCCTGAGTCCCACCGTGTTCCTCCTGCAGGAGGGGAGGCCAGATTTGCTATTTTTCTGACTCCTCTGCTGTCACACCTGCCAAATGCTGCCAGTGGGCACTACCAGAACCTGGACACTCTTGGGCCTGCTGCCAAACAAGTGTGCCTATGGGAGAGAGGAGAGCTCTGTGACCAGCAAGCCCTGACACTTTGTTAGGCCAACTGGTTTCTTAGTTTGCATCTTGGTTCCTGGAACCATCTTGTACCTTGTGAATCCCAACGTGGGATGTGGAATGCCTGCCAAAGGGAAATGTCAAGTTTGCTGGTCAAGAAAAAGGATTTTATAACTTTTTGGGCTTTTGATTTTTTATTTTTTTTTTTAATATGTGGTCTTTCACTATGTTGCCCAGGCCGTCCTTAACTCCTAGGCTCAAGTGATCCTCCTGCCTTGACGTCCCAAAGTGCTGGGATTACAGGCATGAGCAACCTCATCTAGGCTCTAACTTTTTAAAATTGTGGGAATGTTGCTTTTACTTCAGAAAGGGGGAACAAGAAGAGAAAAGGGAAGAAAGGGATAGAGAAAAGTAATACTTTATTTTAGCACAGAGGTAGGAGAGGCTAAATCATGAAATTACACCTAGTGTTGGGATGTCCAGGGGAAAGGGGTGGAGGCAAGTGACTCTGTCTTGCTGATTTCAGTCTCCCCTGATGTCACTGAGGGACTTGGACTATGAGCAGAATTGGGGCAGGAGGGGCTCCAGAGAAGCCCTCCTCGAGCATGGGGGCTTCCAGCCTAACTTACAGTTCCCAGGGTTGTTTGTGGTTGTTTTTAAATATCATGGACCATCAAAATTAAAGAAAAATAACCTGAAGACAATACTGAATCACCCACTTTTTATTTTGCCAGGGAGAGAATCCCAGAGCTTCAATTATAACATTATCAACACAGTATCATTTTAACATCTCTCACCTCCATTGAAAAAACACACAACTGCATGATAAAAAGAGTCTAAGAAAGTTCAGCTGACCTCCAGACTGATTATTTGGAAAGATTATATATAGTCACTATAAATAAATACTGATACTTACAAATACACATCCATAAGTGTATATGTGTGCATACAAATGATTGTGTGTGTATATACTATGAAAGGAAAATAAATCTTGGGACCCCAAACTCTCTAAGGCAAAGGGGAAAGTTAAGCTGGGAACTGGGTCATGCAAACCTGCCCCCCAGTTTTGTTCCTAAATAAGACAGCTACAGAGATGAAAGGGTATATACCTCCCTCACAATTTTCCCACAAGGGAATTCCTGGTTGGCCCCACAATCTTTACCCTAAAGCAGTTCTGTTGAATTTCACTCTGACCGTGTAAATTCATCGCTGATCTTCTCAGGTATGGGACAAAGGACAGAACTGAAAAGTCATCTCTCCACTCACCTGAGACAAATGCCTATCTTACTGCCTCCTCTACCCTCTGTTTATTTAAGGTTATGTAATAATGCAGATTCACTGAGGACAAGTTGAATGCATAAGTGACTATTCCTCTACCCCCTCTCACATGTAAAATGTAGATTCAGAGAATGCTGATCCGAGACTAAAAAGGATGCAACCTCTTGCCACTTTTATCTACCACCCTTTAAAAAGATTTTTCTTCTTCCTCTTTCCCCCAATACCTGCTTTTTTCCCTTTAAATATTGAGGTCCTCAGATTCTCTTTGGAAAAAAGCACAGACCACAGATTTTTCCTATGATTTTGTGTTCTTTTGTCCTAGGCATGTCCTTAACCTTGGCAAATAAACCTCTTAAAATAATTGAGACTTGCCTCGGTCATCTTTGATTTACAACACACATACACTGAGACGTATGAATAGGTTTAAAATATAAATACAAAAAAATTAACATCCATTTATTGACGGTATTATATTGCAGGTGATTTTTTTAGAAGTGGGTCAATTAGTGGTTCATGTTGAACCGTGCAACATGAAGTATAGCTCAAATATCTACTTGTAGACATTTTTCTGACCACATTTTAAATATAAGCTTATGCATAAGCCTCCTGATGAAAATGGAAGCACTATGGTTAGCTGATGCCATGAAAGTGGTGGAGGCAGCCCGGCAGAGCTGGCTACAACTTCAGGAAAGGGGGTGCTGAAGGACACGCTCTGCTTTCAGAGCCCTGCGGGGCTGCATCTGAAGAGTGGTTGCCCAGAGCAAGCATCTGAGAAGGCTGCTGCACACAGCAAAGCTTGGTCATGAGCCCCTCTGCTTCTGGACCTGGAGTTTATGAACCAGTCACCAATAGAGCTGGAATGAGAAGATTGAGAAGTGTTGCAGAAAGTTCCAAGGTCTTCTGAGCCTTTGAGACATGATAATATGAAGAGGCAGAAGCCAACGTATCATAAGAAAAAAATAAATATACTTAGCATCAACCTTGGTGACCAGTGGGAGTTCTCGTCCCTGGCATCCATTAGAATCACCTGGGGAGCTTAAAATCTAATAGCAGGTCCCACTCCCAGAGGTTGGGATTTAATTGATTTGGGGTGGGGCCTGGGTAGCAATATTTTCTTTAAAGCTCTCCAAGTGATTCTAACATGCAGCTAACTTGAAAACCACTACTTCAAAGACAGAAAAGGATGCAGGAAAAATTCCCTCTCATCAGAGGTTCTGAAACTGATTCCCAAATTCTCAAAATTCCCTCTCATCAGAGATCTGCTAACTATTTGTAGTAGGACAAAACATTCTACTATCAACTGAAAGAAATAAAAATATTTTACCCCAAAATGTGTTTCTTTGACATAGTTTGAGACTGCTTGCTCAGAGACCCAGCAAACAGAAGTAACTCTGCAAAGCTGTCTTTTGTGGGGGACTTTGACACCTACAGAGAATCTAAATTGATGCAGCCAGGCCTCCCCTTGCCCCACTCTAAAAGAAAAATAATGGAGAGTTTGACACCTTTAAAGGTTTAAGAAGAAAAAAAGCGTTTACCATCTATTCTTTCTTTCTCTCTCTCTCTCTTTTTTTTTTTTTTTTTTTTTTTTTTTTGATGGAGTTTCACTCTTGTCGCCCAGGCTGGAGTACAATGGCATGATCTCGGCTCACTGCAACTTCCACCTCCCAGGTTCATGTGGTTCTCCTGCCTCAGCCTCCCAAGTAGCTGGGATTACAGGCACCTGCAACCATGCCCAGTTAATTTTTGTATATTTTAGTAGAGACGGTGTTTCACCATGTTGGCCAGGCTGGTCCCGAATTCCTGTCCTCAGGTGATCCACCCGCCTTGGCCTCCCAAAGTGCTGGGATTACAGGTGTGAGCTACTGTGCCCAGCCCCATCTATTGTTTTTGAGGGCTGCTACCTTTGCTAGCCAGGCCTCCTCTTCTCTCCCTCCCATAACCTGTTCTGCCATCATTACCTGTTTTCGAACCCCCATTTTTTTCTGTACATCAAGATGATATATAAGCTTCTACACTCCCCTGGTGGTTGGGGTAATCACTCTGTGGTTCTCCCTTGTGTGCATGTTTATAAATGTTTACGCCTTTTCTTCAATTAATCAACCTTTTGTGACTTGACTTTTAAACAATCCTTTAGAGGGTGAAGGGAAAGTTCTCTCTTCACCCCTACACAGTTGTGTAGGGATTCTCTTTTTTCACTGAAAACCTCACCATAGTTAACAGGCAAAAAGACACCCTGCTCATCAAAACACCAATGAGATGGTACAATGTAAAGTAGCATTATGAAAGCCACAGGCATTAACACAACAAATGTCAACAGTACAGAAATTCCACAGACCACCTAGAAGCCACCAGCCCTTGGTTACCTTGGGAAGTGTCTGCAGGTGTGATGGGTGGGGTTGGCGTGAAAGCTGGCTGAAGGCAGAGCCGGGGCTTTACAGCTTTGGAGCGTTGATTCCGCACCAGGCACTAGGCATACCACACATTCTTGGTATAAATGATCTCATCTAATGTACGTTTGTTCACTCTGCCTTGGCTGCACAGTCCTCCTGTTACTCTTCAAATATGCCAGCCATGTCACCACCCTTCATCCACCTGGAACCCTCTTCCCCAGATATCTACCTTTTTCAAGTCTTTGTCCAAAATCCACAGACTCTGTCAGGGCTGTCTGAATACCCGATTTAAAGATGCCCGCAGTTGCTCTCTCTTCCTATTGATTTCTTTGTGCTTGTGCTACACTTTCTTCTTTTCAGAGCTTTTATCACTTTCTAGCATCTGTCTATTTATCAGCTATATATCTATGTGATATGGTTTGGTTCCGTGTCCCCACCCAAATCTCATCTCGAATTGTAATCGCCACTTGTCAGAGGCCTGGTGGGAGGTGACTGGATCGTGGGGGTGGATTTCCTCTTGCTGTTCCCATGATAGTGAGTGAGTTCTCACAAGATCTGATAGTTTAAAACTGTTATTTATATCCACTTCCTACTTCACTCTCTCTCTCCTGCTGCCACGTAAGACATGCCTTGCTTCCCCTTAGCCTTTCACCACAAGTGTAAGTTTCCTGAGGCCTCCCCAGCCATGCAGAACTGTGAGTCAATTAAACTTTTCTTTATAAACTACCCAGTCTCAGGTAGTTCTTTATAGCAGTGGACTAATACATATGTGTATATATATACATGCATGTATGTGTGTATGTATGTATCTATTTATCTACCTATCTATATTACTGTTTATTATTTGTCTTCCCCATTAGACTCTAAGCTCCACAAGGGCAGATAGTCTCTCTCTTCCACTAGACAATGTCTAACCATGCCTGGCATTTAGTCAATAAATATTTGTTGAATTAACAAAAATATGTACTAACACTACAGTAAATTATTATTGTTATAATTATTTAACATAAATCTTCGCTAAAAAATAAATGCTTTATTCTTTAATAAAAAGAAAACAAAACAGATAAAGGAAGAAACTGAAAATAGAGAGAAGGGGGGGAAAAAAACTCCAGGTGGCTGTTGCTGATATTTGTATCATAAAATTATGAGCTTTGTGATTAATGGAAATATAAAAGTCACATGTGTGGCTCATAAAACTGAGGCTGGGTGATTTATATCCTCAGTTATTTTCATTATCCTCCCTTTAGGTAATTGTTTTTTTGTAGTTTCCAAAGTTGACACCTGATAGTCACTTTCTTCAATTTATCAATAGGAATCTGACATCCCAAAGGCTAATGTCTTGATTTTAAAACAGAAATCCCTTCCAAGAATTGCTCCCAAAATACATGCAGGTTGTTCCACTGCCTTGAAGAGTGAATATGCCTCTCTAATATTTATTAGGAGTTATTCTGAAAATAAACGGAATACAACAAATCACTCCAGTCCCTTTTGCTGACAATGCCTGCAGCCTTTCTCCAGTTCCCTAGGTGCATTGGAACTGCTGTCCCCATTCAGAATTCTGCACGCAAGCCTGCAATCTCTAAAACTCTTACTCAGCAGAAAAGCACATTTAAACATTTTACCTTTGCTCCCAGTGTAACAATAGAAAATAATTTTATATTTTTACAAGATTTTCACTCTTCTAGTACTAAAATGTTTAAATGGACTCTGCATAGAGGATCAGAGGTTTCCCAGATGGTCAGAAGATGATTATGGCAGGCAAGGAAGAAGCAGAAAAGTCATACATGACTTGATAAAGCAAGAAATACAGTTACCAAATGTAGTGTGTTCAAGGCAGGAGACTGTGAAATCATTGTATTTTCAAAAAAGAGAGAGTAAGTACATCCCTGTAGAGTCAGATCTTTGCAGTTAAGCATCAAAATCTTTATCTTCACCAGATGCATAAAATGGAAAATACAATTTTGACACAGAGAGAAGGAAACACAACCAATTTCAGTTTTACCCTCCCCTTCACAACAAAGCAATTTGTTGTAAATGCATTTAAAGAGGCACCCTTCACCACTACTTTCAGGCAAATGACAGCAGGTTAAAATGTAAAAAGAGCTTTCAGTCCAAATCCAAAATAAGGAATAAATCCAGATAATGTCAACTCACGTGAGTAAAAAGCAAGATGATTTCATTAGAATGATCAAAGGCAGTACAGAATTTCCATTAAAAAATGAATTTGCACGCTAAGCAAAAGTGATTTCAATTACTTTTTGCTAAAAACAAAGTTTGTAAAGTGCATACTTTGCGTGAAATCACCTTTTCAAAAACTGTGACAGCAAAAGAAATATGACCTAACTGACTCTATCTTGCTTCCAATCTCCAAGCTGCCCTGTTCTTTCCTGGGTGTAGGTTGAACTAAGTTTAGAAGAAATTTAGTTTATAGTTTAACTTTGAAGTAAACATGATAATAGCCCCTCCCTAAAACAAACCTCTTCTTTGCTTGAGGACCACACAGCCTTTGTAAAACTAACAAATCATCCACAAGATTAAGAATTATGTCTCAGGAGTCAGGCAGCCAGAGGCCAAAAGATTCCTAACATCTCCAATTGCTCCCATAGATAATATTACTACTATAAAACCTAAAATTGATGTTTGAGTATTTTTCAGACTCTGCATTCTGATGGACCAGCTGGCCCCACCCAGATCAGTTAACTGGCTGATCAGGTCTTGTGGCCACCACCCAGGAACTGACTCAGCCCAAGAGGACAGCTTCAACTCCCTGTGATTTCATCCCTGACCCAAACCAATCATCATTCTCCATTGCCTAGGCTCCTGCCTGCCTAAATATCTTTCAACAACCCTAGTCTCTGAATTTCAGAGAAGCTGATTTGAGTAATAGCAAAACTCTGGTCTCCTGGTTAGCCAACTCTATGTGTATTAAACTCTTTCTCTATGGCAATTCCCGTGTCTCAATAAATTGGCTCTATCTGGGTAGCAGGCAAGAAGAACCCACAGGGTGGTTACCAGTGCTGTGAAATGTGTATCGAGCATAAGGCTAGAAAACATCCTACACCTCCAGAAAGTGGTTCTATGTCATCCATAAAAGTAAGCACAAACTCTAGTTTATTATTTTCCAATCTTACTACATTCTAAAATAACTATTTATACACCAATGTGCTGTAACTGTAAAGCAGGGATCTAAATGATGGTGACTGGGCTGACTCCATAGGTAAGGGTGTTAAGCCTGCATGGTGAGATATATATATAGGGAGAGAGAGGGAGAGAGAGAGAGGGGTGGGGGGTAGAGCGAGAGAGAGAGGCAGAGAGGGAGAGAGAGAGTGGGGGAGGGGGAGAGAAGAGAAAGAGAGTCAGAGTCAGTCTTGCTCTGTCGCCAGGCTGGAGTACAGTGGCACGATCTCGACTCACTTCAACCTCCGCCTGCTGGGTTCAAGTTGTTGTTGTTTTTTTTTTAAATTGAACTTGAACCCTTTCATGCTGGCAAGCATGGACTCTGGTCCTCTACAAATTCTAGCCCTTGCTACAGTTTACACATTTCCCAATGTCTGGACCTTGAGGGTTTTTGTAACCTGGAGTAATCAGAATGGGCAGAAGACATCCACAGACCTACACCTTCCCTGCCATCCCAGAGCTCTCAGAACTTATGGGAAGCTCTTCTTAAACTACTTCAAAAGCCAGTTATAAGTCAGAAATTCTTATTTTATTATAGTCACATAGCATTTATTTTTCTTTTTGTTACTCTTAGAGCTGGGATCTCATTCTGTC
Organism: Homo sapiens; assembly: GCF_000001405.40. Lineage (NCBI taxonomy): Eukaryota > Metazoa > Chordata > Mammalia > Primates > Hominidae > Homo > Homo sapiens. Next base: position 38,272,896 of record NC_000010.11, on the reverse strand, counting down.
ACCCAGGTTGTAGTGCAGTAGTGCCGTAATACCTCACTGTAACCTTGAACTCCTGGGCGTAAGTGATCTACCCATCTCAGCCTCCTGAGTAGTTGGGACTACTGGCATGTGTCACCACATCTGGCTAATTTTTAGAGACAGGGTCTCATTATGTGTCCAGGATGGTCTTGAATTCCTGGCCTCAAATGATCCTCCCCCCTCCCTCCCAAAGTGCTGTGATTACAGGTGTGAACCCATGTGCCTGGCCTCACATTGTTGTGATCAGAAATAAAATTACTCAGGTTGTTCATGCCCCACTTTTTCAAAAGCATTTGCTGGGAAGGGCTTTGACTGGTTTCTGAAAGTCCCAAGTATCTGCTAAGTATATGCATACTAAAGATAAAGGTACTGTGGCTGCTAAGTATATGCATACTAAAGATAAAGGTACTGCGGCTCAAAGTTGTTCTTCCTTTAGGTGAAAACATGAGGTCGTGCTAGAGTCATAAGAGTCAGGGACTGGATTCCTGGTTCCTGTTTGTATGTGGATAAGTTAACTGACTTCTTTCAGTCTAATCAAAATGAGAGAAGATATCGTTTATTTAAAGATCCTGACATATACTCCTTCAGATAAGCCTTAAATCCTCCCCCATCCCTCCTTCTGGCTTAGGAAAACCTACAACTAAAAACTACAGCCCAATCTCTGCTTGAAACTTTGCACTGCTGAAAAAGATCTTGATATTTTGCTTATATTCTCTTTTGGTTATTAGTTATTTCTTTCCATCTTTTATATAAGTTGTGTGTGTGTGTGTTTTGTTTTGTTTTTGAGACAGGGTCTCACTCTGTCATCCAGGCTAGAGTGCAGTGGCGTGATCACAGCTCACTGTAGCCTTGACCTCCCTAGCTCAAATGATCCTCCCACCTCAACCTCCCAAGTAGCTAGGACCACAGGTGTATGTTACCACATCTGGCTTTTTTTTTTTTTTTCTTTTTTTCGAGACAGAGTCTCATTCTGTTGCCCAGGCTGGAGTGCAATGGTGCAATCTCGGCTCACTGCAACCTCCGCCTCCCAGATTCAAGCGATTCTCCTGCCTCAGCCTCCTGAGTAGCTGGGACTACAGGTGCACACCACCATGCCTGGCTAATTTTTTGTATTTTTAGTGGAGATGGGGTTTCACCGTGTTAGCCAGGTCTCGATCTTCTGACCTTGTGATCCACCTGCCTCAGCCTCCCAAAGTGCTGGGATTACAAGTGTGAGCCACACGCCTGGCGCTAATTTTTTTTTAATTGTTTGTAGAAACGGGGTCTCACTATGTTGCCCAGGCTGGTCTTGAATAGCTAGGCTCAAGAGAGCCTCCCACCTTAGCTTCCTAAAGTGCTGGGATTGCAGGCATGAGCCACTGCACCAGCCTCATCTTTTATATGAGTTTATTTTTTAAATATATATGACTGCATAGCTCATTTGGTGGATTTCTTCAGTAAATGAGTAAATAGAATAATATTTTGACAATATAGAGTTCTTTACTGACTGCTATTTCAAACTTAAAATATAGTGAGCTTCAATTCCTTGTATTAGCCCTAGAACAGAACAATGCGCTGAACAGCCCCTCATTATTTGTTAACAGTTTTAAATGAAGCTAATTCCAAATAATAAAACTCGAGATAGAGAATTTCAAATATGCTGACTCCTTGAAAATGTTATAACAGAGCTGCACGTTTCAAATTTACTAGAAGGGAAAAAGGCCATCCTAAAAAAACAGACTGATGAGTTGTAGTTTGTGGTCTAATTGTCATCATCTGCCATATGAAGTTCAGTGCACTTGGAATTTTAACTTTCAAAATGTAAATTATTTTATCCTGAAATGTTCTTATTCTAGAGAATAATAACCATATTGATATTTAAAACTCTATCAAGAGACAGGCACAGTGGCTTATGCCTGTAATCTCAACCTTTTGGGAGGTTTAAGCAAAGGATTGTTTCAGCCCAGGAGTTCAAGACCAGCCTGTACAACATAGCAAGAACTTGCCTCTCTAGTTAGAAGAAAAAAAAATTAGCTGGGTGTGGTGGCATGCACTGGCTGAGGTGGGAAGACTGCTTAAGCCCAGGAGGTCAAGGCTGCAGGAAGCCATGGTTGCACCACTGCACTACAGCCTGGGTGACAGAGGAGACCCTGTTGCTAAAAACAAAACAAAACAAAAGCAAAAAAAACTTTATCAAGGAATAAAGACGTAACTAAATAGTCAATCATTAACAACTAGAAAGAAAACTATTAGGAGTGGGTGTTGGTTTTTGTACTAAGAACCATCCTTGTGATTCTCCACAGGACACAACCATTTCTAGATTACCAAGATGAACATATATATATATGCACATATATATGTATGTATGTTCTACATATGTGTGTTCTACATATGTGTTCTACGTGTGTGTTCTACATATGTGTGTTCTACATGTGTTTTCTATGTATGTGTGTTCTACATACATGTGTGTTCTACATGTGTTCTACATATGTGTATTCTACATATTTATGTGTTCTACATACATATGTGTTCTACATATTTATGTGTTCTACATATATAAATGTTCTACATATATAGAGAACAGTTATATAGTTATATATATGTGGCCATCCTTAAAACACAGTGATGAGTTGTAGTTTGCATAGTACATTTGATGTATATATAAAAAATAGTTCTCGAGAACAAGAGATGCTTGGAAGTATTCTTCTCACTCAAAGAGTAGTAAAGAACTACTTTCTGCCTCTGAGGTTTTATTAGGCAATTCAGGTAAGAATACAAAGCCAAAGATACCAATATTTCTCCAGAATCAACCTGCCACCCAACCAGCTACCATGGCCAAAGAGCCCATCATTGGCAAGACAGAATTTCTGCGTTAGAGCAACTTTCCATCTCACTTGATTTTACTATGGCATTTGACAGTCTCTTTTCAGGGTGTTTCTCAAGTAAAGCCCTCTCCTGGTTTTATTCCTACTCCTATTTCTTTTCAATTTTCTTCAATCTTTTTTTTCCTAAAAATTTTTTGTTTTATTTACTTATTTATTTTTTGAGACAGAGTCTCGCTCTGTCGCCCAGGCTGGAGTGCAGTGGTGTGATCTTGGCTCACTGCAACCTCTGCCTCCCAAGTTCAAGTGATTCTCTTGTGCCTCAGCCTTCCGAATAGCTGGGATTACAGGCGGCTGCCACCACACCTGGCTAATTTTTATAATTTTAGTAGAGACGAGTTTCACCATGTTGCGCAGGCTGCTCTTGAACTCCTGATGTCAGGTGATCCACCCGACTCAGCCTCCCAAAGTGCTGGGATTATACGCAAGAGCCACCGTGCCCAGCCTTTTTCCTAAAACAATTTAGAATTTTGGTGTTTATGTGAAGGTGAGTCCTGAAGCCTCCTCTTATCCTCCACCTCATCCATTCCTGGGGGCTATGTTCTTTTCAGCTACCACTTGCCAGCACACTCTGTATCACCACCTCAGGCTTTTTTCTGAGGTCCTTGTCCACTATGCAGTACCTGCTTCTGGTCATCTCCACTCAGGTGATCCATGGGACACTACCATGTTCAAAATAGAACTGCATTCTCCATCTACACTTTGATATAACCAGCCATCTGAATTAAAACTTTAAGAATCATTTAGGTCATTGGATATCCCCTTTTGTATATCTTGACTGTCTGTCTTAGGAGAAGGGGAGTTAACTCTTACTGGCTCTTAATCCATATCATCGGGGGAGTTTCTTGAGTCCTCTACACCTTATGCATGGAGTTTGAGTAAGTTCTCTAGGTGATTGCAATGTGCTCCCAAACTTGGTACATTAGATGCTTTATGTATGCTATCTCGACTAATCCCTGCTGAAACCCCATGAAGCAGGTACTCTTAAACCCATTTACAGAAGGGAAAACCCAGCTTCACAGGTGTTGAGTGACTTAGCTAAGATCAACCGGCTACTAAGGGACTCACAGAGATTCAATGTTTATGAGTTTCCTGCCACTAACTCTCCATTCTCTTACCTAGTGGCTCCCACAGTTTAAACTGCATAAGTTGTAAGACAGTTTTTTTTTTAAATGTGGGTTTCTGAGGCAAACCCATTGAAATTATGATCCTCTTGAATTAGACTGAACGCTAAGCACATGCATTTTAATAAGCACCCAGGGGATTCTCCAACAGGCATCTAGGTATACTCTTCTGAGAAAAAAAAATGGTTCCTTCATCAGCTATATTATTATTAACTTTTTCCATGAAGTACAAATAGAATTGTGTCCATGTTCTTGTTGTTTAATGGCTCCCAGTTAGTTTCAAAATAATTCCCAAGCCTGGTGTGTGTGACTTTCACATGGTGGTCACAATCTTGTTTGTGTCTCCTATCCCTCCTTCCCTTCCATCCTGTGACAACATTGAGCATTTTCACATCAGCAAATCTTGGCACATGCTGTGGCCCTTACTTGGAATCCTGGAATTGTTTGAATCCAGTTGCCTGCTCTGTCATCCCCTAGAGTCAGCAGCTCCTTCCTGTGACTCCCTAGCACAAGGGACATCCCTCATTGTAGCATTTTTATGCTGAAGGGCTGTTGTTTCTTAACTCATTGATCTTTTACATATTCTTGATGGTAGAAACTGATCATCATTCCTCTTTGTATCTCTAGCATTAGCACAGTCCTTACACAAAGTAAACCTTTATTAAATATTGACAGATTGAAAAAATAGAAATCCATCCATTGAACATTGACAGATGTTAAAAAAAAAAAGCTAAAGGCTTAAACATTCTGTGGCTATACATGAGTATTTTTCATACATGTTAATAAAATACATCATCACCTATCTCAATCTTTTGGCATTTCATAGACATATTTTTAGAGGAAAAAGGGATTTTGGAGGTCATCTTAGATGATCTCGTAATTTTACAGATGGGAAAATATAAACAAGGAAAAATTAAGTGGCTTTCTCAATTTTCCTCAGCAAATTGAGTGGAGATTTGAAAGCTTCCCTTTCCCTGGTCCAGTTTCCCCTTCTTACCCCAAACCACTTCCTTCTTCTTCTTCATCCTTTATCCTGGTTTAATATTTTTTTGAGCACTCGCTCTGTGTGGGGTACTACTGGGTCAGATATGCTATTTCAACACTGCATTTGTTCAATATTACTGACTCAGCACTTGAGCACATGACATACACTGGCACTGTGCCAGCTGCCAGAAATGCAAATATGAATGAGCCAGAGTTCCTGACACAAACAAGCTTGCGTTCTAGAAGGGACGACAGTTTAGCGTGCAGCGATTAAGACATGGTGTCTCAAGTTTTGCATTACCAGCCTAACCAAACGGGCACCCCTGGACAGCAGCAAAAGACCTTGCTCTCCACAACATCTTTAGGATTAAACATGGAATAAAAACTTGACAGTAATGTATACAAAGGACAAATGTCACTGCTGCCTTCTTCACCAAAGTTGTAATAGGAAGGAAAGGGTCAATCAGAAAAAGAATAACAAAGCACACCACTGAGAAGGATTGTCTTACCTCATCTCTCATGGAAATGCCAAAAAATAATTGCCCTCTGGAAGGGACCTTCTAACATCCCTTGATTCCCAAGACAGAATGAAAACTGAGGCCTCTGAAACATAATTGCTAATGCCTGAACCTGGAAAGAGACACAGCAGATACAAAGCAACATAATCAACGTTTAATATTACATTTCCAGGCTAGATTGATTCACACATAAATTGAGTATATTTTACATTGTTCAAAATACCCCCCGATTCAACTTTCATTAATCTCAGACCAAAGTCCGAACTCAATACTCATTCATCGAGAAATATTTTGAGAGATCCCTGACATTTGATGTTAATACGTCTAGAGTCCTAGAGTGCCCTGTGCATAATATTCTTAATAAATTAAAACTAGGGGGACAAAGTCCCTCACTTAGCAATGCCTTTTATTATACTTCATGTCCTGGGATACATGTGCAGAATGTGCAGGTTTGTTACATAGGTATACATGTGCCATGGTGGTTTGCCGCACCCATCAACCTGTCATCTACACCAGGTATTTCTCCTAATGTTATCCCGCCCCCAGCCCCCAACCCCTTGACAGGCCCCTGTGTGTGATGTTCCCCTCCCTGCATCCATGTGTTCTCACTGTTCAACTCCCACTTATGAGTGAGAACATGTGGTGTTTCGTTTTCTGTTCCTGTATTAGTCTGCTGAGAATGAGAGTTTCCAGCTTTATCCATGTCCCTGCAAAGGACATGAACTCATCCCTTTTTATGGCTGCATAGTATTCCATGGTGTATATGTGCCACATTTTCTTTATCCAGTCTATCATTGATGGGCATGTGGGTTGGTTCCAAGTCTTCACTGTGGTGAACAGTGCTGCAATAAAAATACATGTGCATGTGTCTTTATAGAATGATTTATAATCCTTTGGGTATATACCCAGTAATGGGATTGCTGGGTCAAATGATATTTCTGGTTCTAGATCATTGAGGAATCGCCACACTGTCTTTCATAATAGTTGAACTAATTTACACTCCCACCAACAGCGTAAAAGCATTCCTATTTCTCTGTATCCTCTCCAGCATCTGTTGTTTCCTGACTTTTTAATGCTTGCCATTCTATCTGGCATGAGCTAGTATCTCATTGTGGTTTTGATTTGCATTTCTCTAATGACCAGTGCAATGCCTTTTTTAAAATAACAATACAAAAGGAAAGACAACCAAAGTCACAAAGAGCTTTTACATCAAGTGGCTCAGCTCAATATTATGGACTGAGCTAAAGTCTGAAGTGCTTCTAGTCCACATTTCTGACAGGAATTTTCAATGACTTTGTGATACTAATTTTGTAAAATAAGACTCCTATGAAGACTGGTTACATTACTGAAAAAACTAATACTTGACGTTCACTCGTAGATACCAAGTACTATAACAGAGGTCAGCTCTGGGCAGTGTGGTAGCACCCAGGACAGGAACCTCACAGGGAACAAGGTGAATGAAGCACATCTCCTGCAGGAGGGGTTACCTCAGGTGAAACCCAAGAGAGAGAGACAAGGAGGAAGGCTGTGCCCAGCCAACAAAGCAATAGACATGAAGGCATGGAAGCTGGGAGAGCTTGGTGCTTTTAGGGCCCATGAAAACATATGGAATGACCACAGCTGAGCATGGAAGTTGCTAAAAGAGGGATTGTCAAAAGATGGAGCTGTTCAGGGAGCAGGGGACTTGACTGTCAGGAGCAGCAGAACTCTGTACATAAGAAAGTAGAGGATCCTTTTTTGGTTCCATATGAACTTTAAAGTAGTTTTTTCCAATTCTGTGAAGAAAGTCATTGGTAGCTTGATGGGGATGGCATTGAATCTGTAAATTACCTTGGGCAGTATGGCCATTTTCACGATATTGATTCTTCCTACCCATGAGCATGGAATGTTCTTCCATTTGTTTGTGTCCTCTTTTATTTCATTGAGCAGTGGTTTGTAGTTCTCCTTGAAGAGGTCCTTCACATCCCTTGTAAGTTGGATTCCTAGGTATTTTATTCTCTTTGAAGCAATTGTGAATGGGAGTTCACTCATGATTTGGCTCTCTGTTTGTCTGTTGTTGGTGTATAAGAATGCTTGTGATTTTTGTACATTGATTTTGTATCCTGAGACTTTGCTGAAGTTGCTTATCAGCATAAGGAGATTTTGGGCTGAGACGATGGGGTTTTCTAGATAAACAATCATGTCGTCTGCAAACAGGGACAATTTGACTTCCTCTTTTCCTAATTGAATACCCTTTATTTCCTTCTCCTGCCTGATTGCCCTGGCCAGAACTTCCAACACTATGTTGAATAGGAGCGGTGAGAGAGGGCATCCCTGTCTTGTGCCAGTTTTCAAAGGGAATGTTTCCAGTTTTTGCCCATTCAGTATGATATTGGCTGTGGGTTTGTCATAGATAGCTCTTATTATTTTGAAATACGTCCCATCAATACCTAATTTATTGAGAGTTTTTAGCATGAAGGGTTGTTGAATTTTGTCAAAGGCTTTTTCTGCATCTATTGAGATAATCATGTGGTTTTTGTCTTTGGCTCTGTTTATATGCTGGATTACATTTATTGATTTGCGTATATTGAACCAGCCTTGCATCCCAGGGATGAAGCCCACTTGATCATGGTGGATAAGCTTTTTGATGTGCTGCTGGATTCGGTTTGCCAGTATTTTATTGAGGATTTTTGCATCAATGTTCATCAAGGATGTTGGTCTAAAATTCTCTTTTTTGGTTGTGTCTCTGCCCGGCTTTGGTATCAGAATGATGCTGGCCTCATAAAATGAGTTAGGGAGGATTCCCTCTTTTTCTATTGATTGGAATAGTTTCAGAAGGAATGGTACCAGTTCCTCCTTGTACCTCTGGTAGAATTCGGCTGTGAATCCATCTGGTCCTGGACTCTTTTTGGTTGGTAAACTATTGATTATTGCCACAATTTCAGAGCCTGTTATTAGAGCCCGCATCGCCAAGTCAATCCTAAGCCAAAAGAACAAAGCTGGAGGCATCACACTACCTGACTTCAAACTATACTACAAGGCTACAGTAACCAAAACAGCATGGTACTGGTACCAAAACAGAGATATAGATCAATGGAACAGAACAGAGCCCTCAGAAATAACACCGCATATCTACAACTATCTGATCTTTGACAAACCTGAGAAAAACAAGCAATGGGGAAAGGATTCCCTATTTAATAAATGGTGCTGGGAAAACTGGCTAGCCATATGTAGAAAGCTGAAACTGGATCCCTTCCTTACACTTTATACAAAAATCAATTCAAGGTGGATTAAAGATTTAAACGTTAGACCTAAAACCATAAAAACCCTAGAAGAAAACCTAGGCATTACCATTCAGGACATAGGCGTGGGCAAGGACTTCATGTCCAAAACACCAAAAGCAATGGCAACAAAAGCCAAAATTGACAAATGGGATCTAATTAAACTAAAGAGCTTCTGCACAGCAAAAGAAACTACCATCAGAGTGAACAGGCAACCTACAACATGGGAGAAAATTTTCGCAACCTACTCATCTGACAAAGGGCTAATATCCAGAATCTACAATGAACTCAAACAAATTTACAAGAAAAAAACAAACAACCCCATCAAAAAGTGGGCAAAGGACATGAACAGACACTTCTCAAAAGAAGACATTTATGCAGCCAAAAAACACATGAAGAAATGCTCATCATCACTGGCCATCAGAGAAATGCAAATCAAAACCACTATGAGATATCATCTCACACCAGTTAGAATGGCAATCATTAAAAAGTCAGGAAACAACAGGTGCTGGAGAGGATGTGGAGAAATAGGAACACTTTTACACTGTTGGTGGGACTGTAAACTAGTTCAACCATTGTGGAAGTCAGTGTGGCGATTCCTCAGGGATCTAGAACTAGAAATACCATTTGACCCAGCCATCCCATTACTGGGTATATACCCAAAGGACTATAAATCATGCTGCTATAAAGACACATGCACACGTATGTTTATTGCGGCACTATTCACAATAACAAAGACTTGGAACCAACCCAGATGTCCAACAATGATAGACTGGATTAAGAAAATGTGGCACATATACACCATGGGATACTATGCAGCCATAAAAAATGATGAGTTCATATCCTTTGTAGGGACATGGATGAAATTGGAAACCATCATTCTCAGTAAACTATCGCAAGAACAAAAAACCAAACACCACATATTCTCACTCATAGGTGGGAATTGAACAATGAGATCACATGGACACAGGAAGGGGAATATCACACTCTGGGGACTGTGGTGGGGTCGGGGGAGGGGGGAGGGATAGCATTGGGAGATATACCTAATGCTAGATGACACATTAGTGGGTGCAGCACACCAGCATGGCACATGTATACATATGTAACTAACCTGCACAATGTGCACATGTACCCTAAAACTTAGAGTATAATAAAAAAAATTAAAAAAAAAAAAAAAAAAAAAGAAAGTAGAGGATCCTGCAGGATCTCGGAGTTAACCCCTATTTAATGTACAAAAAACAATCTCCCGACCCAAGCCTTCAGATGAATTTGGGCTATAAGAAAATGCAGTGCAAGGATTTATATCTTAAAGGCTTGCAAAATTCAGAAACATATTTTTTTTTCTTTTTTTGAGTAGTGAAATCAATGGAGAAGTTTCAACAGTCAGCAATGCATTCACTGGAAAGGTCTCTGTCTTCTGGGCAATGCCTCTGGTGGGTCCTTAGGGAACCACTTTGAGACCTCAGGACCATGGTCTCCCAGAGGACGAGGGCAGGAGTGTACCAGGGACTGGTTACGGGAAAGTTTCTTTTTCTAAAAACAATATTTTAAAATGTACCATTTTTACCATTTTTAAGTGTAAGGTTCAATGGTAATAAATCCATTTATATCCTTTTCCCTACTTTGTCCACTCTCTCCTTCCTGGCCCCTAGTAACCACCAATCTACTCTATATCCTCCTGAGATCCACATTTTTAGTTCCCACATATGAGTGAGAACATACGATATTTGTCTCCTTGTAGCTGGCTTATTTAACATAATGACCTCCAGTTCCATCCATGTTGCGGGAAATTACAGGATTTCATTCTTTTTATGGCTGAATAATATTCCATTGCATATATATATATATATATATATATATCATATTTACTTTATTTACCCATCCATTGATGAGCACTTAAGTTGATTGCATATCTTGGCTACTGTGAATAGTGCTGCAATACACATGGGCATGCAGATAACTCTTTGATATATTGATTCCCTTTCTTTTCAATATGTACCCAGTAGTGGAATTGCTGAATCAGATGGCAGAGAACTATATGTCTTTAGTTTCCTGAGGTACTTCCATACTGTTCTCCATAGTGGCTGTACTAATCTACACTCCCACCAACAGAATATGAGGAAAAAGTTTCAAGGTGGGGAAATCCAGAGAGAAGCCCAGTGTTACCACCTGGGATACAGTATTGTATGGGCAAGCTTTGTGAGGGGCTATAGTGATTCATAACCAACATGTCTTCCTGGGGCTCATTTCTGGGATGTAAGATACTTCATCTACTCTCATAAAACCTGAATCTACACCCACTATACATTTCTATCCCATCCCAGCGGGTTCAGGAAATGAAGGTGGGTATGCATCAACAAATGAAGTCTAATGATTGAAGATGCTCATATTATAAGGATAAAATAAAAGAAAAACACTGAGACAGAGACCAATAGCAAGATGTGTGCTACAGGAAACGCCGTGATATGAGCTTCCCTGGGTCATGGAGGCATGCAGCATGTTGGACAACGTAGCAGACATCATGGCATCCCTCTGCCCTTTGGTAGGCAGCCCTCATCGCAGCAGCCCTGACTTGGCCCTGGGAGCATAAAAATCAGGTCAGCCCATCAAAGCTGGATTTAAACAGAAAGGAATCAGAATATGCCACCCCAAAATATGCCACTTTGGCATACAGACTATTTTGAGATGAAAGAAACCTTCTTGGAACCTCCCTTATCTGACTAAGAGCAGAAACTTCTGAGAAACGAGGACTGCCATGAATCCTTTTTCCCAGGGGACTTTCATGGCCATGAACAGTACAGAAAGTTGGCAGCAAGATGGGTCCGTAGAAACAAACTTTACTAAATTACCCTTATCTTCCATTAGTTTCTCACATTTATTTTTCCACAATTTACTTCCTCTAGAAGCTCAAAACTCTTTTTCTTTGTCTTGTTATTTCTCCACAAATTTGCATCCCTATTTCTTCTATGTATGCAAAGGACATGACCTGCCCTTTTGTAAAATTAGTATCCAAGTGTTTGGGTCTGACCACCTCTCTACAGTTTTTATTTTATTTCTGTGAGACCCCATCCACATGCATATGAAATAAACCTTTTTCTCCTGTTATCCTATTTTTTTGTCAGTTCAATATTCAGGGCTGCTGCCACTGAAACCAAGAGGTCAAGGAAAGAGTTTTTCCTCCCTAATGGAACTCAGCTTGACCCCTTACTAGGGTAGATTATTTAATAATGTTTAAACTTATTTCATCTGTAAAATTAGTATCACAATATCTGCCTTAGTATAAGAATCAATGAGATAACACTGGGTCCTTTTAGTGGCTGGTATATTATAGATACACAATAAGTGATAGCTGTCATAACACCAAATAATATCCAAAAATTGGTCACTGTCATGAACCACAGTCCACACCATTTGGAGATGTAGTTCTAGATCCTTTTGTAGTAAGAATGGAATACCAAGATCTGCCTGGAGACTAAATAAGGTGAAAATCAAGTCAAAATATGATAGTTGACTCTAACTTCAGTTACTAGTAAATAGCATCACTGAGAACTGAGTGGTAAAAATAAGAAAGCATCTGCATAGATGCTACATCTAGCGAAATGATTGAATATCCCAGACTGCAATATTTCTAAAAGAGTGCTCAGAATAAAGTACTTCATTTATAATAAGGGACAGCCCTGATTCATCTTATAGAGTAAATGTTACAATTATTGAAGCAAAGAGCTCACAGTGAAAGTTCACCTTATATATGCACAAATAATCAATTTTCAATGTTCTATGAAGGTAAAACATTAATAACTGCCTATGAAAATCTCCTACAAATTGATATTTCTAATATGATGAAAAAGGCTCCAAAATCTAATTATATCTCTCTGATAAATTAGATGTGCTCTGTGAGTGATGTTAGTTATTTTGTTACTAATACAATAATTATTTGGATTACTGTATTGGTCTCATATGTTGAGGTTTTACTGAATCCTCTATCAAACCATATTTCTCCTATGTATGCAAAGGACACGAATAGGCAAGCCACAGGTGAAGAAGTAAACATGTCTCATAAACATGTGAAAAGATTTTCAACACTCCTCATAATTTTTAAAAATACATTTTTTTCTTTTATCAGATTGGCAAAGATAAAGAATTTGATAATTTGTGATGTTGACAATCATGGGGGAAAACAAATAATCATAACATTAATGATACAGACTCTTTGGAATCCAACTTGTACTATCTGTCTATCCACAATTAAACCACATCTACCCTTTCACCTAGCAATTCCATTTCTAGGAATTTAAAGATATTCTACTACCTAGGCCAAACGTGTTCCAGGATCGATAAAGATCTCCATTGTGGCACTGGTCATTATGCTAACAACCAAACCCCCAAGGAACCTAAATGTCTTTCAAATCAACAAAGGACTAGTTGAATTATTTATATCATATTCATACAATGAGTGCCATGCAGCCATGGATCTATCTGTCTTAATACGTAAAGGCATGGAAAAAAATCGTTCATGGTACATCATGTCTATATGCTCCCATCTGTGAGAAAAAAGGGACTGATACATAAACATGCACAAATGTCCACATATAAAATCATATTTCTGGGAAGATATATAAGAAAGTGTTAGCAGTGTTTGCATCTGGGCAAGGGGACACAGGGCCTGCATTTCATTGTAAAACTGAATTGTTGACATTATTATCATCTGTATATATTAGTTTTTCTATTGCATACATAGTTACTTGTTTTAAAAGGCAAGGATGTAATGAAATAACTTGGAAATATGGATGTAATAAAACAAGCAAAGTTAAATGAGGTAAATCTAAGATGATGAGTTTTGTAGATTAACCTGGAAGGAAGGGATCTCTGACCTATACGTTTCTCTGTTTTGGTCAAACAAGTTACACACTATCATCCTTTTTTTTTTTTATAAAACTCTGTAGAATATGTACTAGTATGATCATCATTGTTCTACGCTCAAATCAAGGCTGCTTAAATGACCAAGTTTGCACAGTAGGTAGACGAGCTGAGATGCAAATCAGGTCTCCTGGATGTAGAGCCTGAGTGAGCTCTTGGGCATGTCTCACACACTTCACCTTGACCTCTGCTGCCCAGCGAGGGCCAGGCCACTGAAGCTTCTCAATGGCTTGTGATGGCTCTGAGAATTGCAAGGTAAATATAAGAAAGCATCTGCATAATACTTTCTATTTTCTCTTCTATTTTCATAAAAGTATAGACCTCATGAGGCAGTAGACTGTATTTTAACGATGACATTTCTCACATTGGATGCTATTGGCCTTTGAGAGTGTAGCTCAAAAAATAGGCAAATCGGCCAGGTGTGATGGCTCACACCTGTAATCCCAGCACTTTGGGAGGTCAAGGCGGATGGATCATCTGAGGTCAGGAGTTTGAGACCAGCCTGGCCAACGTGGTGAAACCCCGTCTCTACTAAAAACACAAAAATTAGCTGGGTATGGTGGTGGGTGCCTGTAATCCCAGATACTCAGTAGGCTGAGGCCGAAGAATCGCTTGAACCTGGGAGGCAGAGGTTGCAGTGAGCCAAGACCACGCCATTGCACTCCAGCCAGGGCAACGAGAGCAAAACACTGTCTCAAATAAATAAATAAGCAAGCAAATCATATAATACCTCACTTTGTAAAGCACTTTGCAGTCTTCTACACATGAATTATCTTATTTCTGTCTCACAGCAGCATGGAAGAAAACTTCTCATCAATTTATAAATGGGAGTACGGAGGCTGAGTTTAGATGACTTCCTCAGCTTGAAGGGACAACAGGAAACCTATCCTAGGTCATCTGAACCTACCTAAGTTTCATGTTGCAAACATATCGCTGCATCCAGGGTGAGTAATATCTGAAAACTGCTTTGGATTTGTAGTTCATGTTGGTTTGCAGAATCTTTTATTGCTTGCTACCATGCCTTTTAGACTCACAGTTCAAAGTTTCCCCTCTGAAGCATAAACCCATTCTGAAATGCTGCATTCCAACCTTGCAACCTGTTCTCAATGTCTAAATTCTATGGTTTTGGAAGCTGAGGTCCTATGAGTTCTTTAACAGATTTTTCTGTTGAAAATTTTTGTCAATATAGTCTTTGTGACCATGGCAATTACTTTAACTGGAAGTTCTGATTAGGAAAATTTCTAATTACAGGTCTATAACCAAAATATAAGAATACCCATCAGACACATCAACTCCAGTTTTCTCTTTATTTTTCTTCCCACTCCACTCCCTCCATCAATGTTCTTATTGCCTTAGGTTCAGGTTGGGCTCTTAGCTGTTACTATGAGAATGATTACACATAGGGCCTCTTCCTGACAAGGCAGCTGAAACAGGTTGTCTGTGGAAAACACAGCTATACTTTCTGTTTTCAACACTACTCATGATTATCAGATATGATTGTGCCCATAAGGGTTCAATGAACTTTTTGAAAAATACATATCACATTCAAATTATCTCTTTGGAGAACAAACCTGGTGGCAGGAAATGTCAACATCATTAATCATATATTAAGTTTCATTAAAATCAAAACTTTGAAATAATTAGCTTCTGCTGCTTCTCAGAGTGGTAATTATAGAACATCAGGGAGTGTCACACTCTTTCGGATTTCCTCCTTTAAATATTAAATGCTAAAGATGAAACATTATTTTTAACATAATCTTTTAAATTTTAGCTGTGGAATGTAAACAATACTTTCCGGATATTGGGCTAATCAAATCCCATAGTTCAGGAAATCTGAATCTTACTGGATTCAATGGTGAAATGAAAATATTAATACATGCCATCTTATAGGAGAGTAGAGTTCAGAAGCATAAAAATATCTGTATTTAAATGTGTTTGGAGACTTCTCTTTTCCTTCACTTAAAATCAAGCTATCTCCCATTTCCAGTTATTATTAACAGTTTATTCAATGCTAGTTAGAAAAAAATATAGCATCAGACTATTCTATTTCATTTTAACAATTCCCTTGCAAGTTTCTTTTTCTAACTCATTTCTACATGATAGTCTTTACATATATAATCTATAAACTATTGTATCTTCTCTCATAATTCTCGGTTTGATCTAAGGCATATTCTACTATGGAGGAATAATAAAGTAATGTAATAATACATATTACCTCAATGAACACTATTCTTTCTTTAATGTATACTTGTATTTTCATGGAAACTATTGCCCACTTAAAAAAAGGTATCCGCTCAGCCAGGTGTGAGAGACTGCATGGGGCACAGAGAGAGACAGATAGATGTGTTCCTTGTTCTCAGGGAGCTTTTGATCTATTCAGGGAAACAAACAAACAAACAGAAATGCTGATAATGCCAATAAAAGACCAAAGTTCCCATTACAGGAATGGACTTTTATTTGCAGAAAGGGGGCAAAAAAGTGAAGAATCAAAGAGGGATGAAGTTCTTCAGCTCAGGACTCTGGGAAAATGCAGATGACCTTCGAAGGCATAGAGGCTCAAAAGGGAAAGTGACATGTAGTGTTCATTTCTCCTCATTACAAAGTTTTCCCACTCCTCTGCCAGCCCTTGAGTCTCTGCCAAAATGCAAGTGATGGTAGCTGAGTCTCTTGCTATACAACTCAGAATAAATAGCCTTTGCTTTTCTCATGGGGTCGGCCTTCGTTTATTTCCACTGGATTCAGTGTGTTGACAGAGGGGCTAGTTTTAGAAAAGGAAAGGAACATCTCTTCCTCTGAGACAAAAATCGAAGGAAGGAAGGACAAATGAAGTCACTTGGGGGATTCTGAGTTGGAAAGAAAGCTGAAGGAGTTACATCAGGTGGACACCATCTTCTCAACCAAAGCGATCTCTAAACAGAGACCCAGGGAAGGGAAGGGGAGGGAAGTGGAAGGGATTTACAACTGGAAATGAGAGGGAGCCAATAAGAAATGGATCAAATGACTCACTTATGTTTAACATCGTGAATTAAACATAAATGCTTCTCTCTCCTCTTAGATCTTAGAACATTCCAGAAGAAATAGATACTGGCACTGATAAAAGGGAAAATACTTCAGAATATTATATAGGCGATAGGCTCACTGTCAGCTCAAATGGGGAAACTAGGAGAGGACATAAAGTAAAAGGCTCTAGAGACAGTTTTTGTCTTTATTCTACTCTTCATTGCTATTTTTCATCTAGTGCACTGGAAATCCATTTGTAGTATCAAGGGCTCTAGGCTTTTGCATTCTTCAGAGTTCCTCTGGAGTAGGAAGAATAAGTTAGACTACCTTCTTTTTCTTTTTTAGGCAGTCAGAAGAGTGCTCAGATATCAAATAAGGAGCCAAAACCAAATTGGATCTTCTAAATTTGGGAGCAACACTGTAATTTAAAAACATAGTTGGGTTTGTCAATACAAAGCAAAATAGATCAAAGTTAATGTAGATAAGGGGAAAATTTATAGTTTAAGAAAAGGGTGAAAAATGATAATAAGCTCTTCCCCATTTTGGAGCAAAGTAAGATGAAAGTAAAAAAAAAAAACAAAACTGCAAACACCTGCAATAAACTTCTGCCCCTTAATAAGAATAATAATAGTGGATATTTATTGAACATTTATTATATGACAGATGCTATTGTATCAAAGGTACTGACATTAACATATTCAGTCTTTACAGAAGCCTTTCACACAAGACCCAATACTTGTCTGCAATATACAGATGAAAAGAAAACAAGGCACAGTAAAATCAAGAAACTTCCCCAAGATTGTAAAGCTCCTAAGTATAGCCAGATTCAAACCCAGGTAATCTGGCCCTATAGTCCACATGCTTATGTCTGGAATATGAAGAAATGAAGGGAGAGGAAGAGGGAAGGAGGGAGGGAGAAGTACTATTCAGTCAGTGCTGAACAATTCTTTAGTACCATACAATTGTTCATTACTGCAGCTTAAGAACGTTTCCTGCGGTATCATTGTGTCTATCAACAATACCCTTGGACGACAATATAAGGACACCCATAGAACTTAGATTCTGGTCTTTAATAGAAGTCTTCATGAAAAGGAACCAGGGCTCATTTGAAAGTAGACAATACCATGTCTCAAAGCAAGCTAATTTAAAATAGCACTAGAAAAGCTTGCTGTTGCCAAAAAGCAAGGCTGCTCTTAGAGATACCTGCAATAGTGTCAAAAAGTACAAAAGGTGGCTCTCACTGGCCAAGTAGTGACAATTTGGGCATTAAAAGGGAAAACAATGATTAAAGTCCACTGGAGCAAGCTGAGTCTGTTAAGACCACTCTAAGGTCATGATACTAAACAGGAAAGTGACAAAATACTAGGAGGTAATTGTCAACACATAAAGTGGTCTCTCAATAGTGTCTTCTAGGAATGTCAAATATTGATGAACCAAATTATGTGTGTACTATGCTGAAGTGGCAGCTGAGTTATTGATATAAATCTAGATGTCTGTAGATATTTTTTAAGAAATGATAGGTCAGAGGAAGAGATTCAGCAAATAAAGTATGTGAAAAATATAAAGTAGTCAGCTTTTTAATAGAGAAACTTGAAAATTTAGAAAGGATGTATAAAAAGTCTATGTGTGAAGGGGTGGTATATTACAAAGTGAATTTGGCCCTTGCTATATTTTCTGTGACCAGACTTTGGTGATCTAGGACACTCCTTATTGGAGAACTGCTGTGGAAACTTATACATTGGTTACCCAGCCTATAATATTACATGGGACCCCTTTTGTACAGACCCAAATCTATTCAATTTAGGATGAAAGAAAATTTCTGGATTCAGGAATAATGGGGATTAGATAGGTTAGAGATAGAGACTGAGACATAGAGATACAGATAGATAGACTGAGTTGTTCCGTTTCCTTCATACTTCAGACTAAGTGAGCAAACTAAAATGAATGTGAAGATATGTGGGCAAGAGTGAGCCAACCTAGACCGGTAGCCACCCAGGCACGGGGGCTGATTCAGGAAGACGAGAGGCAAGTGTGAGGAGGTCTTGAACAGAGGCTGCCATAACTACCTAGATAAAATAGGTGACACATGCTCATCAATATGATTATATGGCAATGTTAGCCTACCCAAGATGGTATGTTTACTGAGCTTGCTTAAAGATACTTTGCAGAAATTAATTTCCATATTGTCATGAGGATTGGGCCTCAAATCAGGGAGGAGAAGGATGCTGACTGGTTCTGTGTGTATTTATCAGGGAGGAACAGCAACAAAAGTCCCTCTTCTAGTGAGTGTCTAATAGTGTCTCTAATAAGTGGTGGAGTAGCAACTGAAAATGACTGATGTAGGATAGCTCTGTGTAGGCGGAAGGGAAGATGGAAGTAGCTATATATACAAAATGAAGACCTCTCCTCTGAAAGGGGTGGGTGTTCATGTGAGAGCAGGTGTTCTGCAATTGAGCAGCACCTGGAGCTCAGCTCCAATGTCTCTGCTGGTCCCTGAGGACATGATGTGTGGGAAACTTCACCGTGTGTGGTTACCTCTCATAAGAATGAGGTACGAGGATGATTAGGGGCACTAGCGAATTGCAAAATAGCCAAGTCACAGGATGCATGCAACCTAAACTAGCAGTTTGAACTTTCCTTACCTGTCAGTGATGTCCCAGGCCTACTGACATGTAGGTTACTAGTAGAAACTAGAAAATGTGTCTTTCACCCCCTCAGGTAACCAAAGTGACATGGAGATTTAAAGTTATAAGGACCAAATAAATCATTTAAAACATATTGGGAAACGGTGGAAGTGCCCAGAAATCCAATACAAAGAGACAAAAAAAGGTCATTTACTGGCAAAGATCTTATTTTGGGGGCATTACAACTGAGGCTCATTAAAAGACATCTGGAAAATAAGTTTAGAGCCTTTGATATTTTGTAGATTTGTGAGGGAAATTATGATAAAATTATCCACTATCAGTACAGTAATCTAGCAGCAAAATAATACAAAGGGGGGAAGAAATAAAACAAGACAAAAAAATCATAAGGATTTTTTTATAGGGAGACATACTTTTTTAGAGAGGCATATGAAAGTTGGAAAAACATTGAGTGGGCAGAATCAATCAGAATGGGAATCTTATTAGAGGATAGAGAGGCTAGTTAGCAGAAATAAGATGAATTAAAGTACTATATTTAAGAAAGAGTACACCAGATGAAGAGGTCTTGGGGAGAGACTGTCAAAACTGTGATGAGATGCTGACAGACTGTAAATGTTGATATTCTTTCAACTTTCAGAAGTGAGGAGCGCTACACACACAGAGGGAGTTTAACGATAAAGTAATAAGATCTCAGCAAAGGTTGAACTGCGTAAGCAGCACTTTATGATAGTGACAACACACGGAGAAAAGCAGAAAGAGAACACATTGGACTTCAGAACAAAGTAATTGGAAACTGAGCAGCATGGGGTAGAGTTAGCGCCACCTTCAGGTAAAGTCTGGGAAGAAGTCCAGGGAGGTTAGCTCCAGGAAAGGGATGAAGTCATGAGAGGAAGGACTGGAATTTTCTAGAGAAACATTTAAGTTGAGACTGGCATGCTCGAGCTTCTGCAGACCAGTGGATTTTCCTACTGGTCTGTGTCAGCACCAGTATATTCAATGGTGCTTCTCCAAAAAGCCCTCACCTCTTTTACCAGGGACATGACTGCCTGGAGGAATCTAGAACTGAACAACAGTGGGACCCACTCTCCTACAGACTTATGAGGGCCTGGACCAATGGCTGAGGCTGCCCTGGGGACAAGGATGGGTAAAACCAGGAGTCAACCAGTTTAAGAATTGGCTGCCAGATCGAGGCAAAAAAAAATTCAAAAAAAAAATTCAAGTGAGATTTCAAGATGCTGCAGGAAGCATGGCAGTATGCTAGTCATGATCTGGCAAATGGATGGGAGGAAAATTAAGACAGAAGGGGTTGATAGAGGAGGAGGTTCAGGGAGGTAAGAGACTGAATAAACAAATGGACAATGGCCAAATCATATATGAAGGCTGCACAATCTGTAGCCTCCTGCCCAGGAAACTAACCCCTTATCTGCAATAACCAGCCCAGGAAGCCAGTCTGCTGTAAGTTAGACTTGTAGGAAATCAGATTGCTATCTCTAGTAACAATCCAGGAAGCTAAACAATAATTTCTGTAACAATTGGCCCCAAATGGCCGGGACTTGATTAATGACCAACAGCTTCCTTAATTTTTGTCGCTATTTCCAATTCAGGATCAACCAGAAAAAGTCAAATATGACCAATTACATAGGATGTCACTTCTCGTTATCCCACCTACAGCCTACCGAAGCCAATAGCCTCTAATCAGAGCACACCTAGAGCCTTCTTTCTTCCACTATGAAGCTTTCCCATTTCTCTGCCTGCCTTTGAGTCTCTGCAAAACACAATTGATGGTGGGTGACTCCCTTGTTGCAGCAAGCTCTAACTAAATAGCCTCTGCTCTCATGTGACTGGTCTTTGTATATTTCCATAGAACCAAAGACTAAAATCAGGATAGATTCGAGATAAGTGAAGACGTGGGAGGAAAAGGAAGTAGGTTGTGAATAGAGAAGAGGAATTTCTAGACTCTTTGGAGGAACAAGGAGATAATTAACATTTGCATATTATTTATTATGAGTTTCCTGATGCTTTGCCATGGGTTTATACAATTTACTGAATCCTCATAAACTTTGTGACAGAGATTTTTTTAATCTATGATTTTTAAGGAAAATGAAATTAAAAGAGCTTTCATAACCCATTAAGGGTGAAGAGGTGTCCCACACCGAATTTATTCATTTCACTATGTCAGGCCACTCTCCCAGACCCTCTCTGACATCCCCATTTTATTAGTCCGTTTTGACACTGCTGACAAAGACATACCTGAAACTGGGAACAAAAAAGTGTATAATTGGACTTACAGTTCCACAGGGCTGAGGAGGCCTCAGAATCATGGCGGGAGATGAAATGCTCTTCTTACACGGCAGTGGCATAGAAAATGAGAGAGAAGCAAAAACAGAAACTCCTGATAAACCCGTCAGATCTCGTGAGACTTATTCCCTTTCACGAGAATAGCACTGGAAAGATGGCCCCCATGATTCAATTACCTCCTCCTGGGTCCTTCCCACAACACGTGGGAATTCTGGGAGATACAATACAAGTTAAGATTTGAATGGGGCACAGCCAAACCATATCACCCACTGTAGTTGTGACCACGGTAAATTGCCACAACCGTCTCATGACTCTACTGCAACTCCTTGTGCAGTCTCTTGGTGCTCTGCCGATAGGGGATGAATGAAATAATTCAATTCATATCTTCCCCAAGCTTACAGTTAGTAAGTAGTAGAATGTAGATTTAAATTCAGATCTTCCTAATTTCAAAGTCCATGGTTGTTAACTGTGTTAGGCTAGCTTGGAAGTGGAGTTGCTTGCTGGCAGGTAGGTGTGAGGGTGAAGTGGATATTAAATGTATTGATTTGAAGTGCTTAAAAAATGGCAAGGCTAGAGTATTGGGAAGTAAATTCTTAAGTTGCTGGAAACATTGGCAAGGGATGAGATGGATGGGTGGAGGTCTGTTAGCCAGGCACAAAAGGCTCACTCCCCGGGAAATGATTGAGGAACTCCAGAAACGTTGCATCCACCTGGAGTACCCTCTGTTGGCAGAATATGACTTTCAGAAGGATTCTGTCAACCTTGATATCAACACTGACCTAAAGCCCACAGGTGTCCTCAGACCCTATCAGGAGAAGAGCTTGTGGAAGATTAAATCAAATTCAAATGAGAATAATCCAGAAAAGGTGGTGAAACAACAGGTTGGAAACTGGATTAGGGTATAAGGTAATGCAGCAACCCTACCTCCTCATCCTGTGCATTGGAGAGAAGAGCAAAAGCAGAAACTTCCTGGGGGTGAAGTTAGGGGAAGCAAGATACCAGTTCCAGGACAGACATACAAGAAGTGTATGTTGTAATGTTTGAGAATGCAGAACAGAAACACAGGGCACAGGGCAAGAAGCTGCAGAGGAAAGACCTAGAGGTGATGTATGTTTCAGAAAAGATCTCCCCCCCATATATATAATCATATATCATATGTAATATCACATATATATGATATATGTTATCTAGTAACCAGGGTAGTGAGTCCAACCACCCAAAGGAAAGGAGAATGCCTAGTAGCTAGAATAATATTTTCTAGATGGTGGGAGAAGTAGAATTAAGTCATTAGAATGTAGTTACTGATAGAAGAAATAGCCAGACCCTAATTCCAGTTGCATGAATTAAAAATAAAAATTAAAGCAAATTTTAGCTTCCTCCAAGTGAAAAAAAAATGACCTTTTGTTGTTGAAAATTACCAATACCTGATAATGTGCATTGAAATGAGCAGGTATTTTGTCTTAAGGAAACTGCTACGGTTTGACCTCTATTAAATTGCCTTCTAGGTGTTCGAGTTTGCATTTAAAATACACAGCACTCTTCACTTTAAGGTGAGGAGAGAGAGAAGCAGTGTGTTCTCACTTGGTAAATATGAGTTATGGGCCCCTTGTCTATGTATATTTGACAAGTAACAGCATTAGCAAAAGATGACAGTAATCTACTGTTCTTCCATTGCTTTCATTACAGTAATCACAAAACAATTTTTCATCCAAATCCAGTCTGGGAAGTAAATATATTTATGAAATACCTTTTTTTATTTCCAGCTTTTAAGTTCAGGGGTACAAGTGCAGGATGTGCTGGTTTGTTACATAGGGAAATGTGGGTGATGGTGGTTTGCTGCACAGATCATCCCATCACCCAGGTAAATATTAAGCCCAGCATCCATCAGCTATTCTTCCTGATGCTCTCCGTCCTCCCACCCCTGACCCTCCAACAGGCCCTAGGGTGTGTTGTTCCCCACCATGTGTCCATGTGTTCTCATCATTTAGCTCCCACTTATAAGTCAGAACATGCAGTATTTGGTTTTCTGTTCCTGCATTAGCTTGCTAAGGATAATGGCTTTCAATTCCATCCATGTCCCTGCAAAGGACGTGATCTTGTTCCTTTTTATGGCTACATAATATTATGGAATACCTTTCTAACATGAAGGAAGAAAATCTAAAGTGTGTTTTGATTTCTTTCTTTTATGCTCTGCTCTGTATGTAATACCTGCTGCCTGGTAACTAGACTATAAGGTACCATGGGTTAAAAATAAATGCCAATTGTCTTTTCAGAACATTTCCTGCGCCAGAACATTCAACCTCAAAGCAAAATATCCAGGATAAAACTCACATACACATTACCAGGTTGTTGTTTATTTTAAGCTAGGAAAGTTGGGGGGTGGTCTTAGGCTAACGCTTTCCACTGGGAAATATAACAATTTAAATTTATTATAAGCTCTAATTCATAATTACTGTTGTAATTTAGTGGCCTCACTTCAGCTTTGCAGCAATACATATATAAAAATAGACCTCTTATCTATCTGCCTGCTTTTGGTACTTTTCTTCACCCTCCCCGAACCTGAAAAAATGGTAGCAGCTCAGAGAAGAGTTTGATGAGGAGATTTCTGGGGTTGAGACTACACTGTGATGTCTCTGCCAGTCAGCAAGGCCCCCAGGAAATGCTACTTAATGTAACTGAAGAGACATAATGCATACATAAACCTGTAAAGCTATTGTAGTTTCTAGATTAAAAACAAACTGTGTGCTAAATTGGGACAGGTAGAGGAGCCCTGTGTCTTCTCATCAACACACTTACTTCTTCAATC
The DNA here is from genome assembly GCF_000001405.40 of Homo sapiens. NCBI lineage: Eukaryota > Metazoa > Chordata > Mammalia > Primates > Hominidae > Homo > Homo sapiens. The sequence continues at coordinate 38,248,468 of NC_000010.11, read as the reverse complement.
CCTAACTTTAAGTTGGAATTTTCCCTGAGACGTGTATTTTTTAACTTACATTTGATGGAACAACTAGCACAGCATTCTTTGTCCACTGGGGCACTCATTTTTACAGGCTCATCATGAACACCCAAAACAAACCTCATATACAGTGGTCTCCAGAAATGCTGACTGTTACAAAAATTTTTTTGTTCCCACCAGCCTGTAGAGAATATGACCAGATTGTAAAGTGAATTCAATCATTACTCATTACTTGCCCTAAAAGTAAGAGTACTAGTGGACAGACTCACACCTCAGCTTAAGCTAAGGGGAGCCTGGATGACTATGTGTGTTTATATATTCTCTTCTCCATTGTTCAAGGCCCTCTTTGGATTTCTTGCCCGCCCCCTAAAAGAGAATTTTTGTTTGTTACCTCCTACCAACATTTATTTTGGCAATTTTTTTCTGAGAGTCCATCCTCATCCTCTCCCATGATGTCCACGGCTGAAAAGATCAGTGCAACCAGAATGGCAAAGCAGCACACCAGGGCAAACATCATGATGCACTTCTGCTGGGACTGAAAGAGGAAACAAAAACAAAGAAAAGTAAGTGGTGCTGCTTTCTCTTGGGAAACTCAAGATGTGACAACTTCTCACCGTTCCATGAAAAATGGGTGGGGATATGATTATCACTGCCTAGAAGGAAAATCTATTCTCTAGTGAACATGCCAAAGATCTTTATGCTTATTTCTCAACACAGCCTTCAAACCCCACTCTAAGTGATAGACCCTGTTAAATAATTCAAGTGTAGTATCCAGGCTTCTGAATGAGTTTGCTCTTCTTCTTCTTCCTACTCAAAAGCAGTCCAGAAAAGATCACTAGATATCTATTGTTTCAAATTAAAAATGAAACACATATGCTAGCATCATGCTGTCAATAAAAACAGTCAGACTCTGTAAAACATTTGAAGATATTTATTCTCAGTCAAATGTGAGTGACCAATGGCCCATGACAGAACCCTCAGGAGATCCTGAGACCATGTGCCCAAGGTGGTTGGGCCATAACTTGGTTTTATACATTTAGGGAGACATAAAACATCAATCAATAGGCCGGGCGCGGTGGCTCATGCCTGTAATCCTAGCACTTTGGGAGACCAAGGAGGGCAGATCATGAGGTCAGGAGATCAAGACCATCCTGGCTAACACGGTGAAACCCCGTCTCTACTAAAAATACAAAAAATTAGCTGGGCGTGGTGGCAGGCGCCTGTAATCCCAGCTACTCTGGAGGCTGAGGCAGGAGAATGGCGTGAACCTGGGAGGCGGAGCTTGCAGCGAGCCAAGATCGCACCACTGCACTCCAGCCTGGGTGACAGAGCGAGACTCCATCTCAAACAAACAAACAAACAAAAAACATCAGTCAATACATGTAAAATGTACATTTGTTCAGTCCTGAAAGGCAGGATAGCTGGAAGTGGGGGCTTCCAGGTCATAGGTGGAGTCAAAGATGTTCTGACTGGCAATTGGTTGAAAGAGTTATTATCAAAAGCAAGGAATGTCTGAGTTACTATAAGGGGTTGTAGAGACCAAGGATTTATCACGCAGATAACGCTTCCAGGTAGGGGGCTTCAGAGAGAATAGATTGTAAATGTTTCTTATCAGACTTAGAGTCTGTTCTATCAGCAATTCCAAAAGGGAGGAGGGCACAAATGAGGCAAGTCCAGCTCCTCATGAATGAGTCTCAGAGATGGGCATGGTAACATGCACCTATAGTCCCAGCTAGTAAGGAGGCTGGGGTTGGAGGACTGCTTGATTCCAGGGTTTTGAGGCTGCAGTGCACTATGACTGTGCCTGTGAATAGCCACTACACTCCAGTGTGGGCATCATAGTGAGACTTTGTCTCTAAAAGAAAAAAAAAGGCCTTAAAGAGCTCCCTTGCCCCTTCTATCATGTGGGGATACAGCAAGATGGCACCATAGATGAAAAAGGAAATGGGCCCTCACCAGACGCCAAATCTACCAGCATCTTGATCTTGGATTTCCCAGCCTCCAAAACTGTGAGAAATAAGTTTCTGTTGTATATAAGCTACCGAGTTTATGATATTTTGTTATGGCAGCCCAAAAAGACCAAGATAAATTAGATAAATTCTGGATGGAGAAAGGAGGAAAAGCAATTTTAAAAGTCTACGTACAGCTTTTAAGGGTTATTTACAGAGGTGAAAGGGTCATCTTTGGTCAGGCAGTCAGGCATACATCACTCTGTTAGTGATAAATGTATGTATACACACGTACACACACACACACACACACACAGTTCAGAGCCTTTCTGAAACCAGCTGACTTTGCATCCTCTTACCACCCGGCTTCACTTGATCACCAAAGCCACATGATTTCCTAAGAATCCAAGGAACCTCCCAAACTCAGAGTCCAGGTCATCGAGAGGTATCCTTAAATGACAGTTTGTAGTTAGAAATAGATGTAGTCAAGTCAAAGGAATGAATGGTGTTTCTGTGACCAGGCACTGTCAGCCCACATGAGTGCTTCATTTTTGTTTCAAATACTCCTTCAGGCCTCATCTCCTACTGCAACCTCAATCCAAGTCCGCTCCTGCCTGTCATTATATTTTCTTACTCCTCCCTCAAACACGAAGTGATGAAAGCCAAAGAAAGATACAGCCATTATTCTTTCACCCTAGACCCTGCTTATCTATAAGACATGGATTCTGTTTTATTCTTTTTTTTTTTTTCCTTTTGAGACAGAGTTTCACTCTTGTTGCCCAGGCTGGAGTGCAATGGCGTGATCACCGCTCACCGCAACCTTCACCTCCCAGGCTCAAGCCTCAGCCTGCCTCAGCCTCCTGAGTAGCTGAGATTACAGGCATTGCACCACTATGACCAGTTAATTTTGTATTTTTAGTAGAGATGGGGTTTCTCCATGTTGGTCAGGCTAGTCTCGAACTCCTGACTTCAGGTGATCCACCCACCTCAGTCTCCCAAAGTGCCAGGATTACAGGCATGAGCAACTGCGCCTGGCCCTGTTTTATTCTTTCTATCCTCAAATAAACAGCACAACCCTAACAAATAGAAGGTGTTCAAGAAATAATTATTGTATAAATAGTGAAATGAATAAAATGAAAATTACAATGGCATATAATATGGTTTGACTGTGTCCCCACCCAAATCTCATCTTGAATTGTAGTTCACATAATCCCCATGTGTCATGGAAGGGACGAGGCAGGAGGTAATTGAATTATGGGGGTGGGTTTTTCCCATGTGGTTCTCATGATAGTGAGTAAGTCTCACGAGATCTGATGGTTTTATGAAGGGCAATCCCCCTGCACACTCTCTTGCCTGCCCCCATGTAAGATGTGCCTTTGCTCCTCCTTCACTTTCCACCATGATTGTGAAGTCTCCTCAGTCATGTGGAACTGTGAGTCCATAATACCTCTCTTTCCTTTATAAATTACCCAGTCTCGGGTATGTCTTTATTAGCAGCATGAGAACAGACTAATACAGCATCCTTCTGAGAATGCAGAGACACAAAAAATGTTTCTCTCAAAACTCATTTGTGACCTTTCTGAAAACTGGCTTGATTACATATTTTGGTGATTATAAATTTTGTATTTTATCCTTTTTTACTTTCTGCTGGTGCTACAGGCAAATTCATGGGCCACATTTAGCGACTATATAAAACTTGCAGAATAGATTGTGTATTCATCTTGCCATTTTATTTCTCATTCATCCCTTATTCCTAATTTTTTTAAAAGTTTATATTTTGACAAATTATAGTTTTATAAGGTACAAAGTGATTTTTTAAAATATAGGTAGAATCATAAGTTATAAAACTGTCCATCACCTTAAATATTTGACATTTTCATGATGAGAACATTGGAGCTATAGTCTCTTAATGATACAATGTACAGTACTCAATTATTATCTATATTCACTATGCTATGCAACAGATCTCAAAAAGAAGCAGACTTATTCCTCCAATCTTAGGCTTTGTACCCTTTGCTTATCATCTCCTCATCCCCTCTACCCACCAGCCTCTGGTAACCACCATTCTACTCTCTACTTCTATAACTGCAATTGTTTTATATTCCACATATAAGTGAGAACATGTGGCAATCTGCCTTTCTGTGTTTGGCTTATCACTTAGCATATGTTCTCCAATTCTATCCATGTTGCTACAAATTACAAACTTTCTTTTTTCAGGCTGAATACTATTTCATTGTACATACATTCCATATTTTCAAAACTCCATTCATCTGTTGATGGGCACTTAGGTTAATCCCACAGCTTGGCTATTATGAATACGGGTGCAATAAACATGGGTGTGCAGACATCTCTTCAACATACCGATTTAAAATCTTTGGGTAAATACCCAAAGGTAGGACTGCTAGATCATATGGCAAATCTATTTTTAGTTTTTTGAGGAATCTCCATACAGTTTTCTATAATGGCTACACTAATTTACATTTCTTCCAACAGTGCATAAGTTCCCTTTTCTCCAGACCTTGCCAATGCTGGTCTTTTGTCCTTTTGATGATAGCCACTCTAACAGGTGTAAAGTAATATCTTGTTGTGGTTTTAATTGGCATCTCCCTAATGATTAGTGATACTGAACATTTTTTATGTATCTGTTACCCATTTGTATGTCTTTAAAGAAATATCTGCGAAAGCCCTTTACTTATTTCTTAATCAGATTACTAGATTTTCTTCCCATAGAGTTGGGTTTCTTGTATAGTTTGGGTATTAGTTTTCTATCAGGTATATGGTTTGCAAATATTTTCTCCTAATCCCTAGGTTGTGTCTTCACTCTGCTAATTCCTTTGTTTTAAATAAGCTTTTTATTTGAATGTAATCCCATTTGTTTATTTTTGCCTTTGTTGCCTGTGCTTTCGAGGTGAAATCTAAAAATGTTATCATCCAGGCCAATGTCATGTAGCTCTTCCCCTGTTTTAGTAGTTTCACGCTTTCAGGTTTTATGTTTCTTTAACCCATTTTCAGTTGATTTTTGTATACAGTGTGTATACAGTGTATTTCTTTTGCATATAAATATCCAGTTTTCCCAATACCATTTATTGAAGACAGTGCTCTTTTTCCATTGTATATTCTTAGCACCTTTGTCAAAAATCAATTGACCACAGATGTGTGGTTTAATTTCTGTGCTCTCTCTTCTGTTCCATTGGTCAATGTGTCTACTTTTTTGCCAGTACTATGTTGCTTTAATTACTACTGTTTTGTAGTACAGTATAGATTGAAATCAGGTAGTGTGATGCCTCTGGCTTTGCTCCTTTTGCTAATGATTGCCTTGGCCATTAAGAGTTTTTTGTGGTTCCATATGAATTTTAGGACTGTGTTCTCTATATCTATGAAAAATGACATTGGGATTTTGATAAGAATTGCAATAAATCTGTAAATTGCTTTGCATAGTGTAATTCTTACAATATCTATTCAGGTCCTTTGCATATTTCTTAATCAGATTGTTTTCTTTCTATAGAGTTGAGTTCCTTAGGTATTTTGAATACTAATTCTCTATCAGATACATGGCTTGCAATATTAATTATTCCAGCCAGAATTATTTCCATATATTTGTGTCTTAAATTTTTTTCATTAATGTTTTATACTTTTTGGTGTAAAAGTCTTTCACCTCCTTGATTAAATTTATTCCTATTTTATTTTTTATAGTTATTATAAATGGGATTATTCTCTCGATTTCTTTTCCAAAGTTTGTTGTTAGTGAAAAGAAATCCTACTAATTTTTCCATGTTGATTTCATATCCTGTAACTTCACTAAATTTGTTGATAAGCTCTAACAGTTTTTTTTTTTTGGTGGATTCTTTAGAGTTTCTTATATGTAAGATTGAGGTAAGAGACCGGCAAGACTTACTTCCTGGTCACAAAACAAGATCTGGTCCAGACAGGATAAAGTGAAGAAACTGGCAGGAACCAGCAGATGATGATGAAAGTGATCCCTAGCTGCCCTCCTTGCTCATAGGCATAAGACACTCCCCACTAGCACCATGACAGTTTACACATGCCATGACAATGACCTAGAAGTTACCACCCCCTTTGCCAACAACCTGGAAGTTATGGCCTTTTTCCTAGAGAGTTCTAAATAATCCACCCTGAATTTGCATTGATCCACCCCTTAATTTTCCTATAATTGAAAGCAGATTTATCTGAGTATAAATAAAGTTGCCAAGATCCCTTGTGATGCAAAACCTGGGCACGTGGCCAATGAGTCAGCTGTGCTCTTCAAGGAGAAGTACCATTTAATATGATTGCTGTCTACCACCACTGGCTTACTGTTGAATTATTTCCTGGGTGAAGCCAAAACCCTCTTGGACTAAGCCCCAATCTGGAGTCTTCTGTCCTACAAGATCATGTCATCAGCAAACAACAGTTTCACTTCTTCCTTTTCTATTTGGATGCCTTTTATTTCTTTCTCTTAACTTACTCTTCTTTCAAGGACGTCCAATACTATGTTGAATAGAAGTGATGAGAATGGGCATCCTTGTCTTATACTGGATCTAGATGAAAGGGCTCTAATTTTTCACCATTGAGTATAATGTTATCTGTGAGATTATATATGGCCTTTATTATGAAGTACATTTCTCCTATATACAATTTGAGTGTTTATTTTTTTTACCATGAAAGGATGTTAAATTTTGTGAAGTGTTTCTTTCTGCATCTAATGTGATGATCATATGACTTATTTTTTCTGTCAGTGTGGTGTATCACATTTAATAATTTGTCAATGTGGATATATCCTTGCATCCCAGGGATAGATCCCATTTGATCATGGTAAATGATCCTTTTCATGTGTTGTTGAATTTTATTTGTGAGTATTTTGTTGAGGATATTTGCATCTATATTTATCAAGGATATTGGCCTGTAGTTTTCTTTACTTGTGATGTCCTTGTCTGGCTTTAGTACAGGGGTAATGCTGACTTTGTAAAAAGACTTTGGAAGTATTCTTTCCTCTGTGATTTTTTTAGAAAAGTCAGTGGGGAATTGGTAATAGTTCTTTAAATGTTTGGCAGCATTCAGCAGTGAAGCCATCAGGCCTTGGGCTTTTCTTGATGACAGACTTTTTATTACTGGTTCAATCTTCTCACTTGTTATTCATCTGCTCAGATTTTGTATTTCTTTGTCATTCAGTCTTGATAGGTTGTATGTGTCTAGAAATTTATTTATTCTAGGTCATCCAATTTGTTGGCATATAATAGTTCATAATAGTTTCTTATGATTGTGGTTCAGTAGTTATCAGTTGTAATGTCTCCACTTTTATTTTTGATTTTATTTGAGTCTTTTCTTCTTAGTCCAGCTAAAGGTTTGTCAAATTTGTTTAATTTTTCAAATAACCACTCTTAGTTTTATAGTTTTATTGATTTTTTAAATCATTTTTCTGGTTTCTATTTCATTTATTTCTGTGATAATTCTTATTTATTTTCTTTTGCTAACATTGGGCTTAGTTTGTTCTTTTTATGTTTTCTTAAGGTGTAACATTATTTATTTGAAATATTTTTTCTTTTTGATATAGGCACTTATTGCTACAGACTTACCCCTCAGAACTTCTCTTGCTGCATTCCTAAATTTTGGTATGTTGTGTTTCCATTTTCATTTGTCTCAAGACATTTTTTAATTTCCCTTTTATTTTGTTCACTGATCAACTGGCTATTCAGGAGCATGTTGTTTAATTTCAGTGAGTTTTCTGAAAGTCTTACTGTTACAGATTTTTAGTCTTAACCCATTGTGATCAGAAAAAAATACTAGATATGATTTCAATCTTCTTAAATTTGCTTAGACTTGCCTTGTGACCTAATATATGGTTTATTCTGGAAAATGTTCTGTGTGCTCTTGACAAGAATGTGTATTTGGTTGTTGTTGGTTTGGAATGTTTTGTGCATGTCTGCTAGGTCCAGTTAGTCTAAAATGTTGCTCAAGTCCACTGTTTTCTTATTGATTTTATGTCTATACAATATTGAAAGTGATGTATTAAATCCTCTACTTACATTGTATTGAAATATACCTTTCCCTTCAGATACTTTAATATTTCCTTTATAGATTCAGGTGCTACATTGTTAGGTGCATATATAATTGTTATATCCTATTGATAAATTGACCCCTTTATCATTATATAATGCCCTTCTTTGTCTTTTTAAAATACTTTTTGACTTAAAGTCTATTTTCTCTAATGTAGCTATCACTACCCCTGTTCTCATTTGGTTTCCTTTTGTGTGGAATATCTTTTTCCATCCTTTAATGTTCAATCTCTGTGTTCTTTGAAAAGTGAAGTGTGTAGGCAGTATGTACTTGGGTCTCATTTTTTTAGTTCATTCATCACTCTATGTCTTTTGATTAGAGAATTTAATCTATTTTCATTCAAGGTTACAGTTGCATAAAGATTTACTATTGCCATTTTGTTGTTTTCTGGTTGTTTTGTAGTTACTTTATTTCTTTCTTCCTGTCTTGTTGTTTTCCTTTATAGTTTGCTATGGTGTATGGTTTCCTGTAGTGGTATGTTTTGAATGTTTTTTCACTTTTTGGTTACCATGAGATTTTCCTAGAATATCTTACACTTATAACAGTCTACTTCAAACTGATAACAGCTTAACTTTGATTACATGTAACAATTCTGCACTTTTACTCCCCTCTTCCAAATTTTATGCTTTTGATGTCTAAATTAACATTTTATAATATATATCTCCTGACAATTTATTTTAGCTATAGTTGTTATTAATAATTCCATCCTTTAACCATTACACTAGGGATAAAATTATGTTACATACCATGATTACAGTCCTAGGGTATTCTGAATATTGCTATTTATTATGTATACCATTAGGTTTTGTGCTTTTCTAAATGTTATGTTACTAGTTAGAAGCATTTTTTTTTTTAGCTTAAAGAATTTCTTTTAGTAATTCCTGTAAGAGAGGCCTAATCATGATGAATTTTCTTAGCTTTTATTTGCCTGGGAAAGCTTTTATTTCTCTCATTTCTGAAAGCTTTGGTGGTTAGAGCATTCTTGGTTGGCAGGGTTGTTTTTTTTTTTTTTTCATTCAGCACTTTGAAAATACTATCGCACTGGCCTAGAGAGTTTCTGCTGAGAAGTCTACTGATGATTGTATTGAGACTTCTTTGTAGGTAATATATTGCTTGTCTCTTGCTGCTCTCAGAAATTTTTTGTTTTTGATTTTTGATAGTTTGATTATTATATGTCTTGGTGAACTCCTTTTTGGGTTGAACTTAGTTGATGACCTCTACATTTTCTGTACCTAGCTGTTGGTTTCTTTCCTCAATTAATGACATTTTTTCTTTTTTTTTTGAGACGGAATTTTGCTCTTGTTGCCCAGGCTGGAGTGCAATGGCATTATCTTGGCTCACTGCAACCTCCGCCTCCCAGGTTCAAGCGATTCTTCTGCCTCAGCCTCCCAAGTAGCTGGGATTACAGGTGCCCGCCACCACACCTGGCTAATTTTTTGTATTTTTAGTAGGGACGGGGTTTCACCATGTTGGCCAGGCTGGTCTCAAACTCCTAACCTCAGGTGATTCATCTGCCTTGGTCTCCCAAAGTGCTGGGATTACAGACGTGAGCCATTGTGCCCAGCCATTAATGACTTTTTGATCCAATATTTCTTTCAATATGTTTTCCGGCCCTTTTACTCTGTCTTCTCCTTGTGAAATGTGTATTATGCATAGGTTAGGCCTCAGTGGTGTCCCATAATTCCCACGGTCCTACTTTATTCTTTTTCTTTTTTTCCTTTTGCTCCTTTGATTGGGAAATTTCATAAGTACTGTCTTTGAGTTCATTCATTCTTTCTCCAATTTGATCAAGCAGACTGTTGAAGTTTTTATTGCATTTTTCAGTTCAAGCATTGTATTCTTCATCTCTAGGATTTCTATTTGGGTATTTTTTAATTGTTTCTATTTCTTTGTCAAACTTCTCATATTGTTCATGTATTGTTTTACACATTTTATTTAATTTTTATCTATATGTTTTTGAGGTTCACTTAACTTTGTTAAGAGGATTATTCTAAATTTTTTTGTCATTTCATAAATTTCCCTTTCTTTAGTGTCCATTGTTGGACCTTTGTTAGTTTCTTTTGGAGGTGTCATGATTTCTCAAATCTGTGTAATCTTTGTGTTCCTGCATTGCTGTTTATGCATTTTCAGAGAAAGCCACCTTTTCTGGCATTTATAAGAGTTCTTTGGCAGAGATAGACCTTCACTAGTTAGTCTATGCTATAATTCTGAATGGGCCAGCTGGTAATGAATCTGGGCAGGCAGAGCTTGCATTCAGGTTCTCTAGATGTCTGGGTCACTGCCTTTTCTCTGGATTTGGGTGGAACAGCTGGCTATGCTCTGCTATCCAGCAAGACCACCAGCTAAGCCCTGCTATGAGGCTGAGCTTCTGTGTGGGCACTAAAGTCACTTCTGATCTGGCTGGGCTACAGAGTATATTCTCCAGCTGGAATATACTGCTATCTGGACTCATCAGTTGGACAAAGTTGCAGGAGGGACCCTAAAGTTAATTGGATTGTGATGAATGGACTAAACGCTATGCTCAGTATATTACATTCCTGACTGTGGCAAAACTAATACCTGCTTATTGTCAAAATTTGCAGCAGTGATTGTCTTTCTCGCTATGTAGGGTCTAAGGGATAGGCTTTGGGGCTGTGTGAAACATTAAGCTTCAGTTTATGGCAGATCTAGTGTCTACTCGTTGTGGAAATTCACCGCCAGTGGGTAGGGAAAGGGTTTCCTCATTCCCTGAGGAGCTCCTAGGGGTAGGGTCAAAGGCTGGACATGGAGGCTGGCTATCGAGGGATTCAAGCCTAGTAGTCCTTCCCACCTCTTCTGGGAGTGACCAGCTTGACTTTGCAGGTGATCTATGCTATTACCTGATATCTCTGATCACGTACTCCTGGTAGGTACACTGAGCTTTCATCAAGATCTACCCACTGGTCTCCGTGGGCTCTGCCCTCTTGCTTTGTTTCGTTGTGACCCCAGGTGATCTGGCTGTGCCATGTCCTCCTGTTTCCTATTTCCTGTGAGGTGGGAGTGGAGTAGGCTTCCTGGGAAGTGTCAGAGAAGTTAGATGTCTACCTCCTCACCTCTCTTTTTTGACTGTAGGAACCATGAGCCCTGGGGAATCCTGTGTGGTGCTGTGGCAACTTGAGGAAGAGGGAAGGATGACATGGTCAAAGCAAGACTGTTTCTTTCAGCTTTCAATGGGGAATTTTATTTAGTTCCATGGAAATGAAGAAAAGCATTGACTCAGGCTTATTCCTACACTGTGGAGTTTCAATAACATATTTTTGTCTGTGGATAGTTGCTGGTTAATCTTTCTGTTGGAGGGAGTGAAGACTGGGGCCAACTTGCTGTTGTCACTCCACTAATTTCACTTTCAAGAAACACCGCAGTGAACTGTTTGTGGGCTCAGGCTGCAAAATAAGATTGCTTGGATTCTGCCATTTATTGGATGTATGCTCTTAGCAAGTTATTTAGCCATGTGCTTCAGGTTCCTTGTCTGTAAAATGGGGATTTATTAATAACTGTTTCATAGGGTTATTATTAATAATTAAGTTAAATGACATACTATAGGTAAAGTACTTAAAACAATACATAGAAGATAGATAGCAGTAAATGAGTCTTTGCTATTGTTAGTATATTGTTGCATTTTTAACACCTGTATTTACATGCCTCACATATTTTGGAGAAACAAGGTAAATATATAAACATTCAACAAAAACTGTAAGTTATGTGTAACAGAGAGGCAGAGAGAAATAGGGAGAAATAAGAGAGAGAAGGCAAATGTTAGATGGAAATTTTCTAGAATAAAATTTTTGAGAAATTGTTCTAGCTCAGTCTCATAACTCAAAATCCTAAAGCAATATTTCCCAAATTTAAGCATGGATCAAAATCACTTGTAAAAACATACATTGCTGGGCCCCAAGTATGTACTTGTAACAAGTTTTCAAGAGATGTTGCTGCTGCTGATCCCTGGGCCACACTTTTGAACCAGGGCCCTAAAGTATCATCTAAAATAAATCCTACTTAGTACATGTTCATCCATCAAATTTACCTGCCTTTAGTAGTTCATTTGTGAACATTAAAAGGATCATGGTAAATACACCCTAATGAAAAAAAACATAAATTTTGTAATTTATTTTCTTTGTGGTGGCTTAAAAAATAATTTTAAATAATATCTTTAAATTTTGAAAATGTTTTCTACTGTACATCAGTTTTCATTTATTTTAATGATATTCATTGTTTCTATAATCAGAAAACGTTTGCTTTTAACTGTGTTAAAAAAAGCCTTCATAATGAAAAAAGAAAATCACTCATAATCCTACTGAGACCTAACTGCCTTTTATATTTCATTCTTGTTCTTTCCTATATTCCATCTGCCTATCTAACAATGATAAAATTGTATCATGCTGTAATTAAGGTTTATATTCTGCTTTTTGCACTCAATGGTATGTTAGTGTCCTTAAATGTTCTTTCATAGCATAGTTCTAAATTTTTGCATAATATTCTAATACGTGGTCATATCATCATCTCCTTTACCCAAAAAAACTTTCAAGAAGCCACTCATTTTACAATAGAAAAAAGTGATTAAACTTTTTTTCATTTTATCCAGTTTCCCTAGACATTATAAATGGAAACAAACAAACAAAAAGCTTTTAGCAAGTTTTAAACTAATGTAATAATATTCATATTAATCTAGTCCAGAAGATACTCTAACCCAGGAAAATATAATTAGTTACCTCAATAATAATTCTGAAGAGAGCAGCTTGAAAATACCATACCAGGTACATAGTGGGCATTCAGTGAATGAATCCTAACAAAGACAATGTCAATGATTTGTTTTTCTTTATTCCGAATGCTGTAATAAATAACAATAAATAAGTAAGAACTCTAGCTACTTTGTATGCTCTTGGAAGTACTTTCATAACTCTCACAAATTTATTTTAACTTCTATTAGTTTAATTTTATATTATTAAATTCCATTAAAAGAAGCAGTTTAGCTAGTTATTTCCATTTTCATTTACCAAAGAAGAAAAATTCAGACTCTGATATTCATTTTTAAATATCTCCTTGGAACAATGTACTATAACAATATAAGCTCATGCCACTACTTTCCTTAGCCTCATTTAATTTCCACCTCATCAAAAGTGAAAGCTTACGTTCAAATGATAGAATAAGAGCCGCATAAATAATATCAAACTTCAGGGAACCAAGAGACATTAATTTTCAAATCCTTAACAGGTATAATTCCAGAAATCAATTCCAACTACACTTTTCTGTTTTTATTGAATTTAATCAAGGGAAGCAAGTTTTAAGGAGAATCCATAAACAAGTTTATCATCTAAACTTCACAAGACAAAACAAAATTTAAAATGCTATTACATAGCATCAGCATCAGCCAATCTGTACTTTCACAGTAGTTTACATGCATATGAAAAGAATTGCTTTCTTGGTCAAGAAGTAAATATTAAAAAATGTTAACATTCAAAATATTTGAATGTCATATCCTTAACAAACATGTTTTAACTCAAATACAGAAATAGAGATGTATTATCTCTAACTAGAGAAAGTATTACACTTGAAATTTTCAAGCTGGGCTTTTATATCATTGAACAAGCTCTTAAAAGGAATTTGCACCTAGGCTGGGTGTGGTGGCTCATGCTTGTATTCCTAGCACTTTGGGAGGCCGAGGTGGGAGGATTGCTTGAGGCCAAGAATTCAAGACTACCCTGGCCAACATACTGAGACCTCATCTCATTTTTTTTTGGGGGGGGGTATAAAAAAATTTTAAAGAGCAAAAAAAAGGAATTTACCTTTAGGAAACTATGACCCTAGAGGTAAAAAAGATAAATGTACAAAAATTATCCAAAAATTAAAATTATTCATATTATTTTTCATTTATTTACCATGACAATTTTTTTTAAAACAAAATCATGGTCAAGTCTTAAAAAGAACACTTTTTATGTGTACAGTTCTTAAAATCTACAAAGCCGAAAGTTCTAATACAATTATTCCCTATATGAAAAATATGCAAACTGGGACTCAAAGACATTTGGCTATTAAGCTGTCCAAGGTGAACCAAACAGTAGGAGACAGTCTGGGTGTTTAATTTAGGTCTAGAAATCCAAAATCTGTCTGTTTTATAGATGCAGACTTTTCCCTTTTTCATTTTCTTTTTGATTTCTTCATTTTCTACTTAATTTTCACTATAGTTATTGTTATTATTACCAGTTTTTGTTAATTTCCATGGTGGTCTATTAGTGTAGAAACTAAGGCTGAACACTGCCTTCGTGTGTGGAGATATGGTATTCCTGGCCCTATAGGCCTTTCCTGTGATTCTAGATGTGCTGTTATCTTGATCTCCTAGTGATGTTCCCAAAGGAAGCAGGTCACCCAGTAGACCCAGAGTAATCTCATCTGGTGACTTATCAAATTTCTGGATAATGACTACACTCTGGAATCATATCAGAAACTCTAGACTACAAATGGCTTAGGGGCATTTCTCTAAAATCCTTATAATAGACTTATCACTTCACTTCCTACATATATTTCCATGTTCCTTAGGGCTCTATCTTAGGATTTTCTCTTCTCACTCTGTACCCCTTTCCTGAGGGACTTTAATTTACTCCCAAGGCACCCCTCGTTGTACATATTGGTAACCTGCAAATGTACATCACCAGCCCAGAGCATCCTGCTGAGGGCCAGACCCACACTGAGTGAGCTTCCTTGCCATGGCACAGAAAAGCAGGACCTCAAAAGACTCCACCACAATCCCTAAGTTGAGGAGAAAGAGTCGGGATTTTAGAAAGGCTAGAGTTGGCAGGGCAGAAAACCAGAGAGAGAAAAATCCTCATAGAGAAGCAGTGAAGATCTTCAGGTCTCCTTGAGTCTTCAGCTGAGTGCTGATTGGCACACAGCTGTGAGGAGCTACCTGTCACCTGGGGCACACCTGCCCGGAAGGAGCAGATGGAATAATCGCCAACCCACACACAAGGCCAGAAAGAGTTGGCGTTCCACTCAGAGTGGACACATATCTTGTAACACATGAGAAATAGAGTAATTAGAAAGGTACTGTCTGGAAAATAAAACAGAAAACAATTAGCCCTAGACTCATGGCTGCTTTGGTCTCTCCTTAAAGAAAAAAAGAAAAAAATCATAAAAAGCTAGCCTTAAATTTGGGCACAGTGGCCTGCGAACAGCCACTGCACTCCAGCCTGGGCAACATGGTGAGACCCTGTCTCTTTAAAAAAAAAAAAAAAAAGCCTCAAAAAACCCAAATTGTTCACCAGTAAGTAGTAACTATACCTCATAACAAAAGGAAAGAATATTTTTTAAAATATGATAATATCCAGCACAGAATAAAATCAAATTCACAACCTCTGGCATCTAGTAATATCTACCAGACATGCCAAGAAACAGGAAACTATGATCCACACTGAGAAAAATAATTAAGCAATTGAAGTCAACTCAGAAATGACACAGATTAGTAGGCACAGATATTAAAACAAATACTGTAACTATACTGTAACTATATTCTATGTTTGAGAAGCTAAGTATGCTACAGAGAGATTTTAAAGGATATAAAAAAAGACACACATCTAAATTCTAGAAATAATAAATACACTGAATGGGATTAACAGCAGATTAGACACAACATGTGAAAAGATTAATGAACTCCATGAAAAGACAAAAAACAGTAGACTGAACAGAATATCAGTGACAACACAAAAAAATCTAATATATATGTTCTTGCAGTCTCTGAAGGAGAGGAAGAGACAGAAAAAATATTTGAAAAATATAATGGCCAAAAGTATCAAAATTTGAGACAGATGTAATAGAGTAATTTTACAATGGTAAAGGGGTAAATTCATCAAGAGGACAGAACAGAACTAAACTTTTATGCACTTAATGACCTAATGAGAGCTTCAAAAAACATAAAGCAAAAGCTAACAGAACTTGAAGAGAAATTCTAACGTCTTCAGTTATTTAGTGACTTTGAAACCCCTTTCTCATTAGTGGATAGAACAAGTAAATAACATTTCAATATGTACACAGAGGAATTAAAAAATACTATCAACCAGCTTCACTGAACTCACATTTATGGAGCACTCCACTAAATAAATAGAATTCCTTTATTTAAGAGCGCATAGACCATTTACCAAAATGGATCTATTCTAGGCTTTAAAACAAGTCTCAATCAAGTTAAAAGAATTTTAGAAAGCCAGGAACAGTGGCTCACATCTGTAATCCCAGCACTTTGAGAGGCCGGGGTGGGCGGATCACTTGAGGCCAGGAGTTCGAGACCAGCCTGGCCAACATGGTGAAGCCCCATCTCTATTAAAAATACAAAATTAGCTGAGTGTGGTGGCATGCACCTGTAATCCCAACCACTTGGGAGGTTGAGGCATGAGAATTGTTTAAACCCAGGAGGCGGAGGTTGCAGTGAGCCAAGATCTTGCCACTGCACTCCAGCCTGGTTGATAGAGCAAGACTCTGTCTCAATAAAGAAAAGAAAGGAAAAAGAAAAGAAGAGAAGAGAAGGGCTTTAAGTGATAAATGTATATTTTAAAAATGTAAAAAGGAAAAAGAACAAATTAAACTCAAGTAGACAAGGGAATAGAAATAATAAAGAGCAGAATTCAATAAAAGAGAAAACAGAAAACAAAACCATGCCCACAAAAATCAGTGAATCAGAAGTCTGATTCTTTGAAGATGTCGATAAAATGGATCAACTTTTAGCAATACAGATAAGGAAAAAAAAAGAGAAGATACAAATTCCAAATATCTCTATGAGAAACAGGACATCACAGCAGATCCTACACAAAATAAAAAATAATAAGGGGATGTTATGAACAAATTCACGATAAGAAATTTATCAGTGTAGATAAAATGAACAAATTTTTGTAAGATAAAAGTTACTGAAGCTCCCTTTCCAATTACCATGGCATGAGGAGCCATGAGCAGTAAAGTCTCTCAGGACACCCTGTATGAGGTGGTGCAGGAAGGCCCTGCATGGGGACGAGTGCAAGTGCCCCAAGTTTTTGGAGACTGGAGTTGCAGATAAGTTTGATGAACTATGACCTCCAGGGCAAATGCTTCTCGGGCACCATCAGGCTTAAGTCCACTCCCCGCTCTAAGTTCTGTGTGTGTCCTGGAGAAACAGCAGCACTGTAATGAGGCCAAGGCTGTGGATATCCCACACATGGACATCGAGGTGCTGAAAAAATTCAACCAGAATAAGAAACTGGTCGAGAAGCTGGCCAAGAAGTAGGATGCTCTTTTGGCATCAGAGTCATTAGAAAACATGTATCAAAACAAAACAAGAGGAGGGGTAAGGACAGCTCCAAAGTCCCAAGGCCTTTCACCAGTTTGCACAGGGAGAGGGAAGCCAAAAGCCCAACTGGTAAAACAACAACGACAACAACAAAACTTGAACTTTTTGCCAGCATATTGGGCTTCTGGGTTCCCTTCCCCTGAGCCCAATGCTAAGCCAACCAGTTTAAGGTTTGGGAAATTAACTTTTTCCAGTTCGGAGAATGCATCTGAGGAAAGTGTCCCACAGTATGGAGAGGACAGAGGAGGAGAAAGGAAAAGTTGTTTTTATCAAAGGAGTCCCAGTGTTTCAGGATGCATTCGAAAGGGTCACAAACTGAAGATGAATGGCTACCCATTTAGAAAGAAGGGAGCAGGCGTGCCTGGTTCCCCTCTCTTCCTAGCAGATATACCCGGGGTATGTGTGGGAGAGAAAGAAGAGTGTCCTCTTTCCCTCTTCCATCCTTGGATCCCTGAGTCCTGGCAACCTTGGCAGGTGCTGCCCATAGGTGCCAAAGCAGCTTGCACCCATGAAGCAGGGAGGACCTAGAGAATAAGAATTATCCACTCTCACCCATGTCTCTATCCCACCTACTCTAAGTAGCCTTGGAGTTCCCTAGACCTCATTTATGCCATGGATACTACTCACCCATAAAAAGGAACAAAATAATGGCATTCATAGCAACGTGGATGAAACTGGAGACCATTATTCTAAGTGAAGTAACTGACGAACGGAAAATCAAACATTATATGTTCTCACTGATAAGTGGGAGGTAAGCTATGAGGATGCAAAGGCATCAGAATGATACAATACACTTTGGGGACTTGGGGGAAAGGGTAGGAAGTGGGTGAAAGATAAGATACAACACATTTTTCAGTGTACAGTGCTCAGATGATGGGTACACCAAAATCTCAGAAATCACTACTAAAGAACTTATCCATGTAACCAAACACCACCTGTTCCCCAAAAACCCATTTAAATAAAATAAGATAAAAAACAAAAATAAAAAGACAAAAAATGTAAAGGTCTAGGATAGGAGAAAAAGAGGTCTTCTGAATCTGTAAGACATACTTCCGTCAGCATGCCTAATAGATTTACGTATTTATGTGTTATGTACACAATGTTTCTCTACTGTAAATAAAGAGCTCTAATTCATTGGCTTAAAGAAAAATAAAAGTGCATAAATCAACCATTTTATCAAGAAAAAAGACCAGTCAAATGCTTTTTCAAGTTCTTGTGACTTAAGTAAATTTTTTTATAAATAAGCTGGCTTTCAAATTATTGGCAAAACAATATTAGAAATGTTGTAAGAATTATTAGCATTTTTGTTTGCATTTGTTGATCAAGTGATTGCATGATTATTCCTGCAGAATACTGGAAGATTTGCCATAAGGGTTATAAAAGTATAAAACCCAGCCCAAGACAGAATGATCTTTGCTTGTGTAATTTTTGATAAATAGGACATGAAATATCTTGGTTTAATGAAAACAGATAAATTCTGAGTTATTGGTAAAAAGTACCCTTATATTTAACCTTAAGAGTCTCATTTAAATAAACATCTGAAATTCACAGCTATAAAAATGATTAACAGGGAATTCACTTTAAACAATGACTATCAAAGTTTTCATAAATAATCTAGGTAAAGTCGGGGCATGGTGGCTAACGTCTGTAATCCCAGCACTATAGGAGTCCGAGGCAGGCAGATCACCTGAGGCCAGGAGTTCAAGACCAGCCTGGCCAATATGATGAAACCCTGTCTCTATTAAAAATACCAAAATCAGCTGGGCACAGTGGTGGGCACCAGTAGTCCCAGCTACTCAGGAGGCTGGAGCAGGAGAATCACTTGAACTGGGGAGGTGGAGCTTGCAGTGAGCTGAGACCACACCACTGAACTCTGGCCTGGGCATCAAGAGTTAAACTGTCTCAAAAAAAAAAATCTAGGTAAAATATTAAATAAATTAATCTGGTAAATGTAATGGAATAAATGCTTGTAAAGAGACTTGCCATATGATTGGGGATCTAAGGTTATTAATAGATATTAAGTAGCTGGGTAATTTCCAACTTAAAAACACAGGAAAACATTTTTTAAATGTTCTTATTAAAAGGTAAATATCTCTGTTTAATTCAAAGCTTCTTTAAAAGTTATGTACAAAACCAGGTAAAAGAAACCAGGAAATAAGAGATGTAAGAAAGTTAAAGATATAAAGAGGTATTTTTGATAAGGTTAAAAGAAAAGCAACTTTACTAAGAAGGCATTTTGTGTGGTAAATTTTTTGTCCTAAAATGACTAGGTTGTTCAAGAAAGAGAAATATTTAGGCAAAACAGAAAGTTTAAGCATGCTGTGCATTATCTACATAGGTTGTAGAAAGGTTAGTTAATAGAAACTTTGTGGTTTTTTTTAGAAAATGAGGTTGTATACTTTAGCTGGGTATAATTAAGAAGAAAATTATAATAGTCTTTCTAGAGGTGGGTCTTTGATATTAACAAAATTACATGAATACCAAAAATAATTGGTTAAAACAAGATTTTATTTAAAATATTTTATTTATTTATTTATTTATTTATTTATTTATTTATTTTTAAGACAGAGTCTCACTCTGTCACCCTGGAGTGCAATAGTGCGATCTCAGTTCACTGCAACCTTTGCCTCCTGGGTTCCAGCGATCCCATCTATACTTCTGAGCTACTGTCCATAAATCATGGACTTCCATAACCCCCTTGCTCAAGTTTAATAATTTGATAAAACTACTCACAGAACTTAGCAGGGAAACTTTACCTGTGTTTCCCAGGTTATTATATAGGATACGACTCAGGAAAACCAAACAGAAAAAAAAAATGTATAGGACAAAGTAAGGCAGGGAAAAAATGGGGTGGGTAGTAAATCCTGGTAAACAGCCATGATTAAGAACCCTGCATCCTTTGTGTTCTGTAGGAACAGCTTACTGCAAATAAATATCCTTTTATTATGACTTAGATGCTGCTTCCTCTTTTAGATATCACAAATTCACAGACTCTCTAAATTCTCATTTTCCCCTCATCAACAAATAATTTTGTCTTCAGTGTTCAGAGCAAAATACTTGTTAAACGAACTTTACTTAAGTTTCTCTCCTTTCCTCAGGCTCCCGGACTCTGGTCCAACTTCAGTCTGAGCTAACATACACCCCACCTTTATGCCCCTCCTAAGAAAAGGCTGACTTTAGGGTGAAACATTTTCTACCCTTGAATCTGATTTTGCCATTCTCCATCATCCTCTCTTTCTCCCACCTCCCTTCTAATCTTGTTTGTTCCTCCATATGAAACACAGCCCTTTTCTGCCTCTTTTGAGATGCTTGTAGATTTGATGCTTGGTGCTTTCCCATTGCAATACTCCTTTAGGATAAAGTCACTTCTTACCTTCATCTGAATTTATTTGACAGTATCAAGAAACAGCCTCAGGATAATAACAATTACACCCTCACAGAGGACATCACAACCCGCCTCCCATCTCAGCTCTCACCATGTCTGCCTGTGCATTCCCAGCTTTCCAGGGCTCTGTAGCTTCACTCAATATAAAGCCTCCTTCAATGGCTGCTCTGAGCAGGCTGGGACAGCTGCAGGGGAAGCTCCCCAGGAAAAAAATAACTGTGCTATTCATGAACTCCTTTGACAGGTCAAGATTGGCCTTAGCCTGCAGTCAACGGGCTCAGGTCTCTAATTTCCAGTCAAGGTTATTCATTTAGTTTTTGTTTGTTTGTTTTGTCTTTTGAGATGGAGTTTCACTCTTGTTGCCCAGGCTGGAATGCAATGGCATGATCTTGGCTCACCACACCCTCCGCCTCCCGGGTTCAAGCTATTCTCCTGCCTCAGCCTCCCCAGTAGCTGGGATTACAGGTATGTGCCATCACAACTGGCTAATATTGTGTTTTTAGTAAAGATGGGGTTTCTCCATGTTGGTCAGGCTGGTCTCGAACTCCCAACCTCAGGTGATCCACCTGCCTCAGCCTCCCAAATTGCTGGGATTATAGGCATGAGCCACTGCACCCACCTACAGAATACATTTATCCACTATCACAAATACTCCACCGTACAGAAAAGAGAAACAGATTTTTTTTTTTTTTTTTTTTTTTTTTTTTTTGTAAATCACCAATTGATCTACCACAATTTCTTGTGGAACTGTATCAATTTCTCTGCAGGTATAAAGTAAAAGAATTTTTCCTTCTCACCCAGGAATATCCCTAAAACTAAGCCCTGAGATTCTGCTTGAAACCACCCCCGGAAGGTACAGACCACAGACACTTATTACACATTCTCAGGAGAAGAACAAATAAAAATAAAAATAACAAATAAAAATAAGAATAACAAATTAAATATATCATTAGATTTTTTCTGATAGTCACATTTTTATGTTTTTTTGAGAATATTTTCCTATCTTTCAAGGTCTGTCAATAAAATGTATTGTGTACTTAATAAAAATGCAAATTGGAATAAGAAAACAAATCTTTTCAAGATGACACACTCAAGGTGTGGCAGTACTGGCTGGAATGTTAATACGCCTGAGTCCAGTGTCAAGTCATGATATCCTATCATATCGATCCTCCCACCCCTATTCTGCTCATTGAAGTACTCAGTGACCACCCTGTGGAGAGCCTTTTCACTGTGCCCCTGGGTGTGCCTGGAGTGCATTTTTCTTTGCAGGTCATTGCATCATCTTGCTAGAATGGATTTTAATTGTCTTTGGGGATAGTTTTTCTCCCTTCCCAATTCTGGAAAAAATCCAGATGGTAGGAATTATTTCTGTCTTTCCCCTAAATATTACCATTCAATTGGTTGACCAGCAATGTGTCTCTAAGAAACAGAAACTGGGGTTGGAGAAAGAAAATCTTAATGCCACAAGGATTTAGTTTTTTAGATAAAGGGTAAAGCAGATTTATAATCACCTACCAGTAATAATTTAAAGATTCAAGTTGATTGTCTACAAATAAAATATCACAGGCTCTGATGTGTAAGTTCTGGATTTAACATGACAGTGCGTACACTGCATGGGACAGGTACTATACATATCTGGACATCGTAAAGAATATTGAATGCCTGCATTTAAACTACTGAATTAGTATGTACCTCACTTGGCCTCAGTAATCCACCTGCACCAAACTCATATCAAAAGTCACTAAATCTCTCATCTACATTATATATATTCTGTAGATACACATTCACAAAATGTGCATACTATATATACAGTTTGAACCGACACGAAGTCCCATGGTTTTTAACAATGTACCACAGATGGACATTATCATGGCTAAAATCTATATAATATAGATGAGATTATAAATCTGAAGTTTTAACACTAACAGAAGAAAACCCAGAGCATCTTGGTAAGTCTTGTTTTTATTTTGTTCCTGAGAGTCAGTAGAATGGCAGCTGTATGTTGTTATGGTAGTGCCATATATTTCTGTTAACTTTATTGTTTGCAAAAAAAGTTTTGCATGTATTGTATTTGTAAAAAGGTAAAATAATGATTTAAGATTTTTGTTAAATATGGAGATGT